>NW_018654717.1:1542232-1843813 GCF_000001405.40 Homo sapiens
CAAGACCTGGGGCAGAATTTAGCATTTTTAGTGTTTTAGAAAATAGGCAATAAAATGCATATACAACCCTAGTCAGTGTGAAGTAGCACCTCATAATTATTTCTTTAGCAAAACATTTGAATATACTAAGTGGGATGAATGAAGCCTCAACTTCAAGTCAGGTTTTGCTGCCAAGTGATTCTGAGCCAAACACTCAAAAAATTCTTTTCAGACCATCTTAGAGTTGGGAAGTTGTGGTTAAAAAATCGTTACCATACATACATCCGTATTTTACAGATGAAGTAACTGTGGTTCAGAGGTTAAGTTACCAAGGTTGTTCACCTAACTTAATAGCGTCAGAAATCGGACTTAATAACAGACTTAAGATATTAGTCTAAATAACAGGATTTAGATTGGACAGGAGCCAGATCTGCCTGATTACTAACAGCCTGCTCTTTCCATTACTCTCGGCTTTTGGGTGATGCCACACAACTTGCAGGCGGCATATGCCCGTAGATTTACTGATATGCACCTAAAAATTCAGTGTAAATCAAGTTTACTAAACCCTGAAATTCTATAGCCAAATGCTTCTGTGATAGAAATAATCAGCCCTCAATATCTGCTAAGCGTAAATTTTTTCCCTAGTTTGCAGAGAGAAACTGGTTGGGTGCAGTGGCTCACACCTGTAATCCCAGCACTTTGAAGGCTGAGGTGGGAAAATCGCTTGAGCTCAGGAGTTCAAGACCAGCCTGGGCAATGCAGCGAGACATTGTGTCTACAAAAAAATTTAAAAATTAGCCATGCATTGGTGACACGTGCCTGGAGTCCCAGCTACTCGGGATCAGGAAGCCGAGGTGGGAGGATGGCTTCAGCCAAGGAAGTCAAAACTGGAGTGAGTCATGTTCAGGCCACAGCATTCTAGCCTGGACGATGGAGTGAGACCCCCCCCTCAAAAAAAAAAAAAAAAAAGGCCGGGTGCAGTGGCTCACGCCTGTAATCCTAGCACTTTGGGAGACCAAGGCGAGCAGATCACTTGAGGTCAAGAGTTCAAAACCAGCCTCACCAACATGGTGAAACCCCGTCTCTACTAAAAATACCAAAAAATCAGCCGGGCGTAGTGGCAGGTGCCTGTAATCCCAGCTACTCAGCAGGCTGAGGCAGGAGAATTGCTTGAACCCAGGAGGCGGAGGCTGCATCTAGCTGAGGTCCCGCCACCACTGCACTCCAGCCTGGGTAACAGAGCAAGACTCCATCTCAAAAAAAAAAAAAAAAAAAAAAAGAGAAACTAAGATAATGTTAAGTGAAGGGAAATGTATTTTTCCAATTTATTTCCCCTAATTAAAGGTTCAGGTATTTTTTTAACGGCTCATGGGGATGTAAAAACTGCCCAGAAAGACTACAACTAACATAACAAATACTGCACCATATTATCAGAGCTAGAATAGCTCAAGTCTCGCTTTTAAAAAAACTCAAAATGTACAAAAACAGTATACTGTGAAGTCTTTCTCTACCCACTTACCATGACCACCCACTTTCCCTCCCAACAGGAAACCAATGCTACCATTTTCTCTAACAGTCTTTCTGTAGAAAGGAAAGAGACATAGAGGAATGAAGTCTGGACCCAAATGAGGTCTGACTGCACTCAGATCCCTTGCCCTGCTAGTATCTTCCTCTGCAGTGCTTTTCTCCACGTGAAAAACTGTACATTCGCTTTTTTAAATTGTCTCTCTTCCACTAAAAAGTAAGTTTTATAAAATCAAGGTCTTCACCTAGCTTGTTCACTGTTGTACCTCCAGCACCTAGAACACTATCTGATATACAACTGGTCGTCAAATATTTGTTAAATAAATGAATGCTATATCTAAATATAAAAAGTGACATCTGCCATATCAAATAATAGAAGTTATTCTGTAGCAAAATAATTCAAATAATGTAGCACCGGCAAAGAAAAGATGAAGAAAACTGAATGTTCTACAAATAGACTGAAGGATGTACCTGTATTAAAGATAGCACGTGAAAAATAACACCAAATGAGGGTGTAGTCTACTGGGGACAAAAACCAGAAATTTATTTTCTAGTGTGTTTACTGAAGCACATGGACACTGAAAGAAAGACTCCGATGTTCAGGCACCTATCAAGCCTCGGCCTGAGTCACATTTGCTACTGTCCTGTTGGCCCAAAAAAGTTACAGAAATCAGCCAGGCTGGTCCAGACCAGAAGAACTTGGCTGAATTTGTCTATTCATTCAATAATCGCGTACGAATAATTTTCTTGTTGGAATAAAAACACCTCCTATGCATTCATTAAACAAATAGTACAGGCATGAGGCAGATAAAAATCTAAGTAAAACCAAGTTCTGACCTTCCACCAACCACCTAGCTAATCCATAGACGTTAGATAACTCATTGGAACTTGGAAGCGTAGATAGGCGATTTTAAAACTCAGGAAGCACCGAGGATGAAGCGATGGAAGGCAGCAAGGCGGGGAGAGCTCCGGAAGAGGTGGTGAAACTGGAGGAGTCAGACTTCATTCCAGAAACGGCCTTCATGTGATGTTATCTGCATAGTTCATTCCGCTTACCAAAAAACTCACTCGTCCTCTCCCGCGTAACCCACCCACATTGCCTCAGATGTGTAACCCTCGGGTTAAAATACCGGTAAGCGCCGATGCTCACGGAGGGGACGAAACGGGGAGCGCAACCACCGGGAACCACGCAAAAGTCGCTCATGCCCAGGGCGGCTTGCGGGGGCAGGGACAGGTCAGCCAGGACGGCCGCGTCCACCCGGGCCCTACAGGGGGAAGGCTCGAGGAAAGGGGGACGGGAACACCCAGGCGTCGGCCCTGCTCGCCGCGCCCCTTGCCCCAGATCCGGGCCCGGCCGCTCAGGCCCTGAGGCCGGCCCAGCGAGCTCCTTCCCCGCCCCGGGCAAGCAGGGAGGCTCGGCCCACCTGGTCCATCTTGGGCATCACCTTCCGCTTGCCCCCGATCCGGAAGCGCACCAGGTTGTAGAACTCTTCGGGGTGGCCAAGGCATTTCACGAACTCCATCCTGGCGCAGGCGGCGGACTCCCGGGCGCGACTCTCACCTCTGCGGTCCCCAGGCGCTCACCGGCCGGCTGGACCTGTGGAGTAGGTGCTTCGAGGGGCTGGCCGGACAGGGGGCAGGCCTAGTACGGCGACGCCCCGCCCGCCGCTCCGCCCACTTCAACCGGCCTCGGCCGCCAGCGGGGCTAGCTGCGGCCTCGTGGGGTGGGCTGACGGGCGCTGATTGGCCAGGGCCGCTCACACTAGGAAGACCCCGGCCAATCAGTCGCGGAAGGAGACTGGCGTGATAACACTCTAGAAGCTCATTGGAGGCCGAGAAAGAGGCCGACGAGCGGGATTGGTGCCCTGATGGAGCCGGGCCTTTGTTTTCTTCCGCTTACCCCGGCTGGGAGCGCGAACGCTGTGGGGACTGGAGGTGAGGCGGTGGGGCTTAGGATGCGCAGGAGCCCAACGGTGGTCCGCAGTCGGGAGAGCAGTGCGGGGCTGCTTCCTCCCCACTTGGTCAATAAGTCGCCCACGTGTCCGGCCTCGGTGGCTCCTGCCAGCCGGGTGAGCTCTGCAGCCGCTCTCTGTAGAGCCTAAAACCGTGAAAAGGCCGGGCCAGCGCCAAGCTGGGCGTCTTTACTGTAACACACCCGAGCACAGCCCAGCTCGCCTGCCCGCCACCGCCATCCAGCCCCAGGGAGCCCCACACACTCCTGGAGCTTCAGCTGCCCCCTCTCTAGTGTTTACTTGAGATCCAGCTTAGTCCTAGAAAAAGGAGCTGAAGCCTTAGAGAGCCTGTAACAGGAATGTGGAAACTTCTCTCATCCTAGATCTCTCCAGCCCTAGAAACTACTGGCTACCCGTCCAGGCGTGGTGGCTCACGCCTGTAATCGCAACACTTTGGGAGGCCAAGGCGGGTGGATCACGAGGTCAAGAGATCGAGACCATCCTGGCCAACATGGTGAAACCCGTCTCTACTAAAAATACAAAAAAGCCGAGTGTGGTGGTGGGCGCCTGTAGTCCCAACTACTCCGGAGGCTGAGGCAGGAGAATCACTTGAACCCGGGAAGCGGAGTTTGCAGTGAGCCAAGATGACACCGCTGCACTCCAGCCAGGCCAACAGAGCAAGACTACGTCTCCAAAAAAAAAAAAAAACCTACTGGCTACCTAAGCCATCCTGCAGTCTGTTTTAACACAGCAACCAGTAATCCTTTTAAAACCTGTCAGGTCTAGCCGAGCGCGGTGGCTCATGCCTGTAATCCCAGCACTTTGGGAGGCCAAGGCGGGCGGATCACCTGAGGTCTGGAGTTCAAGACCAGCCTGGCCAACATGCTGAAACTGCGTCTCTACTAAAAATACAAAAATTAGCCAGGCATGGTGGCAGGCGCCTATAATCCCAGCTACCTGGGAGGCTGAGGCAGGAGAATCGCTTGAACACAGGAGGCAGAGGTTGCAGTGAGCTGAGATCGCGCTATTGCACTCCAGCCTGGGGGACAAGAGCGAGACTTCATCTCAAAAACAAACAGGAAACCTGTCAGGTACGTTCACTGCCCAAAGCTGTTCAGTGTCTCTCCAACAAAAGCCAAAGCACCTATAGGGATCCTGAGAGGCTGCAGCCTTCCACCCAGATTACCTCTCTGGCCTCCATCTCTTATGCTTTTGCTTTCTCTGGCCCTAGGACTTTTTGTCTAGCTGTTCACTATTCCTGCACTATCCCCCAGATACTGGCTTGACTAACTCCTGTGCCCCTCGAGTCTGCTCACACCTCATCTAGACCCACCTGTTTGCCCTCTCTCACATTTCCACCACTGCTAATCCCAGTGGGGGTCTACTTGCCTATATTTACCATATTCTAATACATCATTTACTTATGTATTAGATTACAGAGTGTTTCCCCTACTACTGTAAACTAAAAATCCTAAGTCCCTACCACTGGACAGCCCTCCCACTCCCCACCTCGGCCAAGGGAACCCCAGAAAAATCTTAAAAACTTAGTTTCCAGCCATGACGGTATAAAAAGTAAAGTAGAGGTTCCTCTTCAAAGACTTTCCTCCCCATTTAATTAGGAATAAATAGTAACTTCTCTTAGAAGCAAACTTTATTCAAAGACCTGTGCTAACATTCTTAAATATCTGCTAGCTATGATAAAGAAATCAATGTACTTCATGTTCTTAGCTCTCACAATTTAGCCTAAATATTTGCCCTGGCATGCTTATAGTGGTCCAAGAAAGCATTAGGTCATAGCCTGTTCCTCTTCCTTATTTGAAGGTGTTTCAACCTTTGTCACCATTCCACAAGTTACTTCCTCCTTCCTTTGTTCTCCTCTACCTTTGCCTCTTTTAAAAACTTCTAAGTTGCTAGCCAATCGGGACAAATACAGAACGTGAGGCACCGTTCCAGCCAATGGAAACTAGACACAAGCAGTGGGGTGGACGAGTCAGGTTATAAATGACCCTGTCTCCTTTGTTTGGTATACTCCCATGGCAAAACTGCTGGCGAGTGTACCCTTTCTGCAGGAAGTGAAAATGGCCTGCTTAGTAAATTAATGTTCAAGCGCTTTTTTTTTTTTTTTTTTTTTTTTTTTTTTGAGACAGAATTTCACTCTTGTTGCCAGGCTGGAGTGCAGTGGCACAGTCTCGGCTCACTGCCACCTCTGCCTTCTGGGTTCAAGTGCTTCTCCTGCCTCAGCCTCCCGAGTAGCTGGGATTACAGGCGCCCAACCACCACGCCTGGGTAATTTTTCGATTTTTAGTAGAGACAGGGTTTCACCATGTTGGCCAGACTGGTCTTGAACTCCTGACCTCATGATCCACCCCACCCTCCTCGGCCTCCCAAAGTGCTAGGATTACAGGCAAGCCACTGCGCCCAGCCTTCGAGTGCTATTTCTTCTTCATTTTTTTTTTTTTTTTAAATGGAGTCTCACTCTGTCGTGAGGCTGGAGTGCAGTGGCGCGATCTTGGCTCACTGCAACCTCTGGCTCCCAGGTTCAAGTGAGTCTCCTGCCTTAGCCTCCCGAGTAGCTGGAACTACAGGCATGTACCACCACGGCCAGCTAATTTTTTTATTTTTAGTTGAGACAGGGTTTCACCATGTTGGTTAGGATGGTCTCAATCTCTTGACCTCGTGATCCGCCCGCCTCAGCCTCCCCAGGTACTGGGATTACAGGCGTGAGCCACGGCGCCCAGCCTACAAGTGCTATTTCTTTACAGCACCAGGGAAAAAGCATTTCAAATAACGGGACAGGAGATCAGATAGCCCTCATTGTACCCCCTTCCTTTTGGAGTTCATACACAACTGGCTGGCATTAACATTAAAACAGAGATCATAAGACTAACGGAACAGACTCTGTGGCAATAAGATACCCAATTATAAACAGGACCTAAGGCCATGCAGGCAATGGTGAAGTCAGGCACCCCTACACTTGAAGAATCAACTAAGCTCTAACTGCCACAGGGCTCTTCTTTTTCTCCAGCAGCTAAACGCTGGCCTTGAGATAAGCAATAGTAAAACACCTGCAGCTCCACCAGACAGTGACTAATTGAACCCCTGTTCCACCAGCCATAACTACAGCTTTGACTGGTCAAGAGATTGATCTCAGTAACTTTCTCCTGATAAGACCGCCGACCGTGGACTGGTCTGGCCAGTTTACAGAAACTGTACACTCAAGGCGCCTTCCTGTCCTAAAAAGACCTTTTGACCTATAGGGTGTAATTGTAATGCATTCACATGTTGAGTCTCTATCCCAAAGTGAATATGGGTCATATATTACATACATGTTTGTTCAATGTGTCAGGTCCGCCATCATAAATATTCGTAGCTCCTCTTGTAATCTGTTAAATATGTACGTTTAGCCAACCCAGTCAGCATAAAGCTCCTACCTCAAACGCCTTTTCCTTCAAAGTGCCCGTCTGTGGTCTAAGCTGGAAGCATGCTGTAACCCTTTAGAAGAAATAAAGGCTCTTCTCCCTTTCTAAATTGATAAATCATATTTTTTAAGTCAACACGAGAAATCTAAGCTCAGTGACGACACACCTTTGTTTTGCTCACTAATGTCCCCTCAACCATCTGGAATAGTGCCCAGCACATACTGGCTCAATGAATATTTATTGGGTGCTCAATGAGTATTTATTGAATTGAGCTGCGTATAGGACACGATGGTGCCTAAACAATGCAAAGTTAGTTAACGTGCCCATTCTTTAAATCTCTCTTCCATTAAATCTGCTTCTCCTGTGGATAGCATTAACAGCCTCTCAGTTTTGTAATCACAAAATCCAGGTGTCATTGATAACGCCCTTTCTCTCCTTATATCCACCCCTTCAAAATCATTCATCAAGTCCTGTGGAGTCCAAGAAAACAAATACCTTTCATTTTAATCTCTCCTCTCTGCTCCATCTTGGTTTAAGCCACATCTTCTTTCCCAAACCATGTTGAAGTTGACTTCCCCTGTCCTTTCCCATATGGCAGGTAGAGTTATTCGTCTAAAACACACACTGGGCTGGGTGCAGTGGCTCACACCTGTAATCCCAGCACTTGGGAAGACCGATGCAGGCGGATCACTTGAGGTCAGGACTTTGAGACCAGCCTGGCTAACATGGTGAAACCCCGTCTCTACTAAAAATACCAAAATTAGCTGAGCGTGGTTGTGGGTGCCTGTAATCCCAGTTACTCGGGAGGCTGAGGCTGGAGAATCGCTTGAACCCACGAGCCGAGATCACCACACCACACTGCAGCCTGGGCAACAAAGTGAGACTCCGTCTCAAAAAAATAAAAAATAAAAACACACACTTGATTATAATCCTTCCATTTTAAATTCCTCCAATGAAATGTCTTCGAATCAATGGATTGATTTAAAGGAAATCAAGCCTTCTGGCATAGAATAAAAACGTCCTTGCCATTTGGCATCTACATCCTTTGTTGGGATTTCAGCCTCCTGTCCACCCATTCTTGTACTACTTTCACACCCTGATCCAGTCCTAGCAGCACTTATTGTCCCCCGAACAGGCTACAGTACTTCACATCCGGCCTTGGCCCAAGCAATTCACCTGCCTGGAATAGGCTTCCTGCTCCTTGCCTAGCCACCTGCCACGCCTCCATTACAGCTCAGGTGGAATCTGCTTCAGGAATCCTTTTCTGGTGTTTCCTGGCCTCTCCTTTATCTGTTCCCCTCCCCCACCGTTTTTTTTGTTTGTTTCTTTTTTTTTTTTTTTTTTTTTTTTGAGTGTGTGTGAGAGACAGACAGGGTCTTATGTTGTCCAGGCTGGCTCAAACTCCTAGGATTAAGGATCTTCCCATCTCAGCTTCCCTAGTAGCTGTGATTCTTTATCTGTTCTTTAAATGCAACAAACATTGGCTGAACATCTACAATGTGGCAGGAGACATGGGAAAAAACAAAGATGAGTAAGATAAGGTTCCACAGCCAAGGAGCTTACAATGCAGAGGAAGAAACAGACATGTTATGTGATGGTGCTATTTGTTAGAGAGCCCCTAATCCAGCTCCCTCAGTCTGACTTAGGTGTCCACTTGGAAGCTGAACATACGAATGGATAACAGCCAGACACTATATAACAGAACCATGGCTTAAACAACCGCTGCTGCAGGCAGTCCAAGGAACTCAAAATGAGATAGAAGGCGAGATTCGACTCCAGAGGTGGGGTTCAGACAGCCGACCAAATTGAGGACTAGCTAAAACAGGGAGGGGCCGAAGCAGCCGTCCTTAAGACACGCCCACCAGTTTGCCATGTCAGTTTACCATTGCCATCGCAACACCCAGGATTTACCACCCCTTTCCATGGCAATGACCCAACAACCCAGAAGTTACTACCCTTTTCCTACAGATGTCTTCAGAAACTGTCCTTTAATCTGCGTGCAATTAAAAGTAGGTATAGATCTGACTGCACAACTGCCCTGAGCTGCTTTCAGCACACTGCCTGCGGAGCAGCCCTACTCTGCAGGAAAAGTCACGGAGCTGTCACACTGCCTCTTTCATGAAGTTGTTTTCTTCCACCTTACCACTGGCTCACCCTTGAATTCTTTCCTGGGTAAAGCCAGGAACCCTCATGGGCTAAGGCCCAATTTGGGGCTTGCCTGTCCTGCAAGAAAACCACAACCTCAGCAGCAATCAGCCCCAAATGGTCAGGACTCTTGCAACTCAGAATCAACCACAGAAAAACAAATAGGCTCCTCAAACCAATCACTGAAGACACCTACCTCTATCAGCTGCTTCCAACTTCCCCAGGCCAGAAGCCTCCAATCAGAGCACTGCTGCAGCCTTCCCCTTTTCCACCGTAAAGCTTCCCACTCCCCTGCCTGCCTCGGAGTGTCCACTAAGTACAAAACTCCCTTACTACAGCAAGCTCCGAATCAAGAACCTTATTTGTTTGTGTTCATTGGGCTGATCTTTACTTTCACAGACCTCAGTACTTCTACCATGTTCAGTGGTTCCTCCCAACCTGAACTTTCTGTATTCTAATAATCTCTTGTCTGTTTCGCCACCTCACAGTGGCCCCCTCAAGCACAAGGGCTGGGCCTACACAGTATCTGGCAGAGTGTTTACAGCGTAATCAGATCAGTCCTAGAAAGCTCAGAACACAAACAGTCCAGTCACTTAACCCCCATCCTCACACAGCACTTTTTCCATTAACAGAAACACTTTACATACTCCCGTTACAGTAGGATTTGGCTTTGTATTTTGTTTAGCCTTGTATTGCCAAATCCTAGCATTTAGGAGGCATTTAAGAAATATTTATGAAATGTCTAAAGCCACTGTGAAAATCTATGTTAAATCCCCCGTTTTTCACAATGTCAGTTATCACAAAACCCCAACTCATGAACTAAACCAATCTTTCACCTTAGAGTCTGTCGAGTCCAAGTGTGTCCGGAATTGGTTGGTTCTTGGTCTCACTGACTTCAGGAATGAAACCGCCCACCCTCGCGGTGAGTGTTACAGTTCTTAAAGGCGGCGTGTCCGGAGTCTGTTCCTTCTGATGTTCAGATGTGTTCGGAGTTTCTTCCTTCTGGTGGGTTCGTGGTCTCGCTGGCTCAGGAGTGAAGCTGCAGACCGTCACAGCGAGTATTACAGCTCTTAAGTCGGCGCGTCTGGAGTTGTTTGTTTCTCCCAGTGGGTTCGTTGTCTTACTGGCTTCAGGAGTGAAGCTGCAAACCTACCCCGTGAGTGTTACAGCTCATAAAGGCAGTGCAGACCGAAACAGACAAGAATTAAAATTTATTGCAAACAACAAAGCTTCCCAGGCGTTGTAAAGCAAACCCAGCGTGTTGCCACCGTTTTTTTTAAGGCAGCCCGCTTTTATGCTCTTATCTGGCCCCACCCACACCCTGCTGATTGGTCCATTTTACAGAAAGCCGATTGGTCTGTTTTACAGAGAGCTGATTTGTCCGTTTTGACAGGGTGCTGATTGGTGCGGTTACAATCCCTGAGCTAGACATAAAAGGTCTCCACCTCCCCACTAGATTAGCTAGATACAGAGTGTCCATTGGTGTATTTACAAACTCTGAGCTAGACACAGGGTGCTGATTGGTGTGTTTACAAACCTTGAGCTAGATACAGAGTGCTGATTGGTGTATTTACAATCCCTTAGCTAGACATAAATATTCTCCAAGTCCCCACCAGACTCAGGAGCCCAGCTGGCTTCACCCAGTGGATCCCGCGCAGGGCCGCAGGTGGAGCTGCCTGCCACTCCCGTGCCATCCGCCCGCACTCCTCAGCTCTTGGGCGGTCGACGGGACTGGGCGCCGTGGAACAGGGGGTGGCGCTCGTCGGGGAGGCTTGGGCCGCGCAGGAGCCCACGGCGGCGGCGCGGGGGAGGCTCAGGCATGGCGGGCTGCAGGTCCCGAGCCCTGCCCCGCGGGGAGGCAGCTAAGGCCTGTTGAGAAATCAAGCACGGCGGCTGCTGGCCCAGGTGCTAAGCCCCTCACTGCCCTGGCCGGCGGGGCCGGCCGCCCGCTCCAAGTGCGGCCCGCCGAGCCCACGCCCACCCGGAACTTGCGCTGGCCCGCAAGCGCCGCGCGCAGCCCTGGTTCCCGCCAGTGCCTCTCACTCCACACCTCCCCGCAAGCCGAGGGAGCCGGCTCCGGACTAGGCCAGCCCAGAGAAGGGCTCCCACGGTGCAGCGGTGGGCTGAAGGGCTCCTCAAGCGCGGCCAGAATGGGCGCCGAGGCCGAGGAGGCACCGAGAGCGAGCAAGGGCTGCAGGGCTGCCAGCATGCTGCCGCCTCTCACACGTATCCCGCCTCTCCTTACTAAGATGGAAGCCTAGATTCACCCCCGACCCCCCATATTTCCGTGCCCTCCTTCACAGTCCTGTCAAGCGAAAACCTCTCCTCCTTCCAGGCAACAGGCACAGGCACAAAAGGCATAACCGCCACTGGTCACACTCCACCCTGCTGTCTCTGTACCATCTCCTCTCTTTCAGTCCACTTACAACATATCGTGCCTACCTCCTTTTATGTATTTATTTAAAATTTTTATTTTTTTATTTTTGAGACAAGGTCTTACTCTGTCACCCAGACTGGAGTACAGTGACATCATCTCGGCTCACTGCAGCCTTGACCTCCTGGGCTCAAGTGATCCTTCCACCTCAACCTCCCTAGTAGCTGGGACTACAGGTATGCATCACCATGCCTGGCTAATTTTTGTATTTTTTGTAGAGATGGGGTCTCGCTATGTTGCCCAGGCTGGTCTCGAACTCCCGGGGTCAAGCAATCCTCCTGCCTCAGCCTCCCAAAGTGCTGGGATTACAGGCGTGAGCCACTGCACCAGGCCCTACCTCCTTTTGGAACCAACCTGAAACCCACTGAGAACCTACTGCCAGGGTGAATTAGATCTCACTCACTGGGAGAGAAGCATGGGAGTGTGGGTTGTTACCTGCCCACATTCCCCCTTCCCCACCTCTTCCATGAGGAACATGTTCCATGGAGTTCCAACGGCACCAACCACAACACTTAGTCTCAACTGTTAGGTACTAGTATTTTCCCAATTATTAGTTTTTTCCGTAAGTCACTGCAGTCAGAGACACTATGAGCAAAGCTGCTCCAGAGATCCTCCTAAGGCAGGGATGAAGGTCATTCTTTCATGTTTCACTCTATAAACTTTGTATTGTGTGACTCTTTTGACGTCTGTAATTTTAAAAAAATAATGTTTCTCCTTGTCCCTTAGGTCTCCCACCATCCTTACCCTGACAAACGTCCATGTCCATTGTGGGGTAATCCAACATCCAATGTCTCCATTTTTTATCCTAAGCCACTGGATGCTGTCAGGGAAAGTCAGGAAATGCACAGGTGTCCTGGGCTTGCCATGTGGCTCTACAGCCCTTCCCTCTAACCCGAAGTGATCACGTTTCCCTTACAGCCGTTACAAACCTGCCCACTCTTCTGTACCCCAAAGGCCTCACTTTTAGCAAATTTTCTAGGGACTTGTTATTCTTTCTCTTCCCATCCTAGTCCAGTCATCTTTAAGCGACAGCTCTGGTGTGAGCTTTCTCTCTCTCTCTCCTGGTTTTCTCCCCTGAACTAACTATACATACATTTTCACGTTATATTCATCCTTTGCTCTCCTCCCTAGCCTTCATTTTTTTTTTTCACATTTCTTACTTTTATTTCAACATTTAAAATATTCATAGATGGAGTATTATATTCAGACATCTCCAAGGAAGATGTATGAAAACAAAACATACAGGCATTTCACAATTACAGAATTGCATATTTGTGATTATGTGAATGTTTACCCTAGAGTTGATCTGGAAAAACACCATTTAAAAAAAAAACTTTTGCGTGATTCACTGGATTAATTTCCATAAAAAATGAACTGCAAATAATTTCAGGATACCTAAATATTAGTACTTTTTAAAATTTTCAAACTTTTATGGTATTCTACTAACGTATCTCCTACAAGGAACACTTAATACTTAATTCTTTCTTTTTACCCTCAATAGCCAAGTCAGAATATACTTATTTCATTTTTCACCCAAGTCTTTGTTTCTAAACACATTATGTAGAATAGATTTGGTCGTCACAGCATCTTGAGTAGCTAATGAGGTAGGAGTATTCTTAAGTTCTTAGACATTAATAAAGCAAAGCAAAAGACAAGCAAATTACGAAGTTTTTCTTTTTTAGTGGTTGTTCTTTAAGTAAAATGCTAAGAGCACTGGAAATTGGTCAAAAGCTGCTCACATTTTAAAAACAAAGAGGAAAAACCCATTAGAAAGCCCTGATACACATAGAGTCTGTTAAAGGGAAAAACCTGAGTACTGGAATTAAATTCATTTTGACATTATAAGGTAAGGGATCTATGCCTAAAAATGCCAAGCTTTCTGCCTTGGAAAAAAAGTCTTACCAAGGAGATAAAATTTAAACAGAAAACAAAATTAATCTATACTTTCTTTTCAGAACAAGTTAATTTGCTTCTTTTAACCCACTTCTCTTTTCCTATACACAAAAAAGATCAATAATTTCAGTATACTGCATATCCAGTAACACATTTCAATGAAGTTAGCAGTCAACTTACCAACTGTGCCAGAGAAACACTCCTTATATGGAGGCTTCATTAACATAATGCTAAAGAGCTAGAAAACATGTAGGCAATAGATTTCAGCACCATCTGTTAATAGCGTTTCAAAATGCGTACACCCCCTAAATTCATATAAACCTAGGAAATTTACCCATCATTCTCTCCGTATCTACACCAAAAATCAAAGTTCTGTATTCTAACCATCCTGTGTGCCAAAAATAAGAAATACTTAAAAATCTATCCAATTAAGTTAATAGGACACAAACATGTTCCCCAAAAAAGGAGGGAAGTTACCAATCAAGCATGACGTGTCTAAAATACAAATTTTGGGAGTTTCTCTGAACTTACTCTGGTTCAAAGGGCTGCCAAAAAAAAAAAAACCACATATTTTTAATACATTGGTACCTATTATTTGATGAAGGCTAAATTACAAGAGATTTATTTTACTAATTTGCACCTCTTAAGGTTACTGCTAAATAGACTTCAAAAAGTCATCTAAAAAATGTTTTAAAAATACAACAGAATAGCTGCTAGAAAGAAAATTGATAACTATGTGGCCTGGCAAATGATTTTCAAATTAAGTCCTTGACAATCAACTACAAAATGTTTTAGATGTACGAATCAAACTTGGTAGCAAAATAGTGCAAAACTCTGATATGGCAGCCCTTAATAGCAGGTAATCATTTGAGATTTGCTACCAAAAATAAATTGTCAACAAGAATCTTTTATATGTCTTTAAACCATTCCTTTTTCTACTCTACCCAGAATTGTGTTGCACTGCAGTTATAAAAATCTCAAAATATCATATGTATATCATTTAGATAGAAGATAATTATTTCCTCTTCACTGCCGCCTCCTTTAATTTCAGTTATAGTTCCCTTTATAAACATTCTTTTCCTAAGGCACACCATGCCCTATTTATTGCCACAAAGCCACTAAAATCTGTGCCTCAGTCTGTCTGCTTCATGGGTGTGGTTAAATACAAACCACTTGCTAGTGTCTGCTAAAACTTAGTAACATCAAGACTAGAATGTCATTGTCTGATCTACTGGGGCAAAGGCCGAAATACACAAGCATGTGCTCATACGCTCTTTTCCCTACAAACTAACCATATTACCTACTGACAGTAAGCCTTATTGACATCTCTGGCTACATATAATTCATACTCAATATTATAAAATAAAATGTTAGGCCAGTAAGCTTTCACAATTTTTATTAAATCCTAGTCTAGTTTAACAATATCTGACGTTACACACATCATCCCATGGTGAACATGTTTAATAAGTGAAAGCAAGTCAGACATCTCATCTAGGTCATTATTTTCTGCAGACTAAGCAATAACTACACAGAACACTATGGGTAATGACAAACACCTGCTCGGTTTTCACACAAGCCATTTGTTTATCAAACTAGATCTGCTAATACTGAAGACAGTCGATTTGGTGATTGTAGTTCTCATACAATTATAAATATCTTATTGAGGTAACATTTTGACAGTTTCACTGACTTTCCAAATAAACATTTGATTGGAAGAAAACAGATCAAATATGGATTTCACAAACCAAAAGTTTATAAACTCAATGCAATACAAATCCTTTTTATTGTAAAAGCTCAGTTGAAACTAAAAGATTTATAAAAACTATTACTTTTGGCCTTAAACAGTACCAACTCTTATGATCAAAAAAGGCCACAACATTTAAGACTGTATTGCTCGATTTTATTTTACACTAGGTGGTGGGCACAAAGCAATCCTCCTTAATAAAGGTGACAATTGCTCCACTCAACATTTTTAATAATGCACATTAAAAAAAAGTTCATCTTACAAATTCTTCTGCAATCCAAACATACAATTGCTTGGAGAACAACATTTAGAAAACAAAAGCCAATGTAAAAAGACAGATTCAAACAACTAGAAAAGTACAGGTTTTGTTTGTATGACTCGGATTTTACAGTTTTCTTACTGCATCATCAATGACAGAAATCTGTTCCTTCAGCTGGCTCCATTGTTCTGGATTTAAAGCAATACCTTTTCTTCCTGGTTTCATTTCGCCTTCAGGATCCATCCAATATTCTCTAGTATCAATTAGCACTTTCCCTTTAAAATCTCCAACGCTAACGTACCTCATTTTCCCAATCTGAAACTTGTTATCATCTCTGCTGCTGCCGCTCTGTTTAGAAGATGACAGAGCTCTCGAAGTTTCACCTGTCTTTTGCTTCTTTACAGGTTTTTCTGGAGCAACTTGCTTTTTCCTCTTTAACTTTTTGTCAACCTCACTGTCAGGATCACTGCCAGAAGAGCTTGAAGAAACAAGTTCCTTTGATTTAGGCATCGCTTAGCTCAGCTCTAGCAGTCGAACACCCTCCTGCTTGTTCGCTCGCGACTCCTCCCTGCCCTTCATTTTCATCCCCTCCAAGGCCAAACTTCCTGCAGGGGAGACCACCCTCACATTCCACATCCTCCCTCCCACCCGGTCCCTTCCCACTGCTGGCACTCTGCACACAGTGCTCTCCTGAAGGTCATCATGACCTCGAATTTGATCACCTGCCAAGCCCAAGGGGCCACTGCTCCATCGTCCCGCCTTCATCTCTGCATGATTCACCATAGCGACAGCCCGCTTCTCCTTGGACGTTCCTTTCTCCACTTACATTTGACCCATCTCACTGACTGGTTTCTCCTTCCTGTCTTGCTCCTTAAACACAAGACTTTCTCTAGGATTCCCTGCACCTTTCCTCGTGCTCCATGACACCCTGTGAGCCTCTGTAGCTCATCATGACTCCTACTAGGAAAGCTGCCCCATCGGTGCCTCTAAGACCAGCCTGTCCCTGTGGCAGGGGGAGGCCAGGCCTGCTTCCCAATTACATTGTCTCCATCTCCACAGCACAGGTGGTCACAGGCTCGAGCTCAGCACACCTCAGGGGGTGATACACAGTGCCCGCTCACCCACTCTGCCTTTCCCCATCTGCCAGGCGGTGGCCTCTGCCACTGCTCAGCTCAGTGCCGGCTGAGCCACTCCAGTGTTCCCTCCTTGCCCCGGTGCCCACACTGTTGGCCAGCTGACACCAACAGAGCCCAGTGCCGCCGTGGCCCGCGCCTCTCACCCTCTCCACTCCTACAGCTACAGCCGCCCCATTGCTTCTTTGTCAACAACTTCCTTTTCGGCGCCACAACCGCCTTTTCCTTTCTACCAATCCCAGTTGGAGCAGACCACACGCAGGCCATGGTATTCAGTCCCCACTATGTCTGGGGAGCCCCTGGACCCACTGTCCTATAGACACCCACTCATAGGAAATGGTCTCAGCCTCATTTGCAGCAGCTCATGCCTGGAGTCCTAGTCTTGTCCTAACCATATGGGTTAGAAAGGTGCATTTCAGTACACACACACACACACTTTTTTTTTGAGATAGAGTCTCACTCTGTGGCCCAGGCTGGACTGCAGTGGCGTGATCTAGGCTCACTGCAACCTCTTCCTCCCCAGTTAAAGCTATTATCTTGCCTCAGCCTCCCAAGTAACCGGGATTACAGGCGCCCACCACCACGCCAGGTTGAATTTTGTATTTTTAGTAGAGACAGGGTTTCACCACGTTGGCCAGGCTGGTCTCAAACTCCTGACCTCAGGTTATCCACCTGCCTTGCCTCCCAAAGTGCTGGGATTACAGGCATAAGCCACCACGCCTGGCCCACATTCTTTGATGTTACATATTTTATATATGTGCATATATACACACAAGTGCATGAGTATGCTCTTCTACCCTTCTAAATACAAATAAATCCATTATTCAATATTTTCCCATCGTCTATTCTGGAATTGAGGTTTTATTCATTTTTTCTTAAATCCAGGCCTTCATGAAGGGAAAGTGAGGTTTTTATAAGCTATTGTATGTTTTTTCAAGAGTGGGAGGAGATGACCTTTGAGAAGTTGAGGATTTTCTCCCAAATTCCTTTGTAGCCTGTAACAGACTGAATTGTGTTCCCTTAAAATTCACATATAAAGCCCTAATGCCCAGTGTGATCTAGCAGAGGAACTGAGTCAGCCAGCCCTTGATCTTGGACTTCCCAGGCTCCAGAACTATAAGAAATAAGTCTGCTGTTTGAGTCACCTCCCCTAGGGCACATTTCGGCAGCCAGAGCTGACTCCGGTGTGGCTCTGGCCCTTGTTAACTGTGTGAGCTTAGGCGAGGTCCTCAGCCTCTCTAGACTCTTCCGTTTTCTCATCTATAACTTAAGGACAACAAGGTTGAGGACCTGTCTTCATGTGTTGTTTTGTAGATCATGTGCAAGAAGTAAGCGAAGTGGTGAGAACTGGGTGGGGGAGACACAGCCCTCGACACAGGGAGAGCACCCCGTGCGGGAGGAGCCTTCAGTACAAGAGACTTGGTCTGCCATCAAGTGGCTCTCTGCACTGTTGACAATTGTCAGTCATTTAAGACAGAGGAGGCCGGGCATGGTGACTCATGCCTGTTATCCCAGCATTTTGGGAGGCCAAAGCAAGTGGATCACTTCAGGCCTGCAGTTCGAGACCACCTGGGACAACATGGTGAGTCTCCCTCTATACAAAAATACAAAAATTAGCCAGGCATAGTGGTGCACACCTGTAGTCCCAGCTACTAGGGCGGCTGAGGTGGAAGGATCACCTGAGCCTGGGAGGTCAAGGCTGCAGTGAGCCATGGTCACACCACTGTACTCCAGCCTGGGCAACAGAGTGAGACCCTGTCTCAAAAAAAAAAAAAAAAAAAAGAGAAGAATAAAGGAAAGCCAGAAATATCAGCCAGTGTTTTCAGCTTCACTCTCACAAATCTCTGTGCAGACATCGTGGTGACAGAGGTCAAGTCCATCTCTGTTCAGCTGGGGCAGAGGAGCAGGTGTGCGCTCACCTCCTCTCACTGCTACTTTTATGTAGATTCCTCAGCTAACCCAGTAAGCCCTGGAGGCCACCTCCATGAATAGTTGGGTATTTAAAGACCTTTTACTACCAAATAAAGACAAAAACAGCGAGTAACAGTGAGCTTTATTTTCATGTCACCGCTCTAGGTTCATTCACCTGTTGCCAACAACATGAGGGAGTTTCTCCACAGCCCTTGATTCCTGAATTGTTCAACAAATCAACAGTCACCAATACATTGACTTAAGGAGTAAACAAGCAGCTTTTCTCTACACACCACCGGGCACCCCAGGAAGGCGCAGCTCCCTGCTCCACCCCCGCCTCTTGGTGCCTGTATCCAGCAGAAGGACCCAGCAGGAGGCTGAATCCAAGCACTGCTCTCAGGCCACTCTATCCTCATCCCTGGATCCTCCAGGGAACAAGATAAAAAAAAAAAAATCCTGTTTTCCTGCTTTCCAAAATGGAGGGCCTTAACATCAACCAAAGTTACAAAACAAAAACAAAACACAGGAGCTAGCTGGGCGCGGTGGCTCACACCCGTGGTCCCAACATTTTGGGAGACCAAGGTGGGAGGAATGCTTGAGTTGTAGGAGTTCAAACCAGCCTGGCAAATATGGCAAGACCCCATCTCTCTAAAAAGTAAACAAAAATCAGCCGAGCATCATATCACATGCCTGTAGTCCCAGCTACTCTGGAGGCTGAGATGAAGACTGCTTGAGCCAGGGAGGGCAAGGCTGCCGTGAGCCAAGATCACACCACCACACCCTAGCCAGGGAGACAGAGCAAGACTCTCTCTCAAAACAAACAACCAAAAAAAAAAAAAAAAAACCCACATCATCTGCAAAGCTATGTTGGGAGCACAGCCATTTCCCATAGGCTTTCTTTTTCCTTGCCCCATTGCCTTCCGGGAAGTTTTCCCCTTACCCATCATCACGATTTTTCCCATCTTTCACGATGGTGCAATTCAACAGGATGAATTAACTGAACTAGAAAAGGATAAAAAAAATCTAACCCTATGAAAACTCTGCCTTCAACATAACTCCAGGGAGACGAATATTATACTACTGGCACCTCTGACCCACACTATCCTCTGTACCCCGTCCCTGCCCACATCCTCCTTTCTGGACACTTAGACGTCAGGTTCCCCAAGCGGCAAGGTTCCGTGAGGAGCACCACCAGCTCCTTAGGAGAACTGGCACTGCTCTGGCTCCTCTGACAACTGGGGCTGGCACTGCGGGCACCACCAGGTGAGCCTCTGTAACCCATCTTCGGGCCCAAACGCCTCCTTCATGACCTGGTGGCCAGCAGGGCACTGTTCTTTCTGGTAGACCTGTGTGTGCTGCGGTCTGCCTTGGAACTTGCCCTGCAGCCAGGCTGTACTGAACTCCACCACGTGATCCACCAGGACCTCCCGACGCGAGGCACTCAGGACTGAACCGAGAGAAAGGGGATGGATCCCAGCTCTGTACAAGGCTTCATTCTTAATGATGTTCCCTGAAATAAAGCGGGGGAAGGTAAGGGAAGGACAAAGGACACATGGCATGATGAAACCACCCACAAAGTTAACAAGGCAGAAATCAGCTCTTCCATGTCCTGGGGGACCCTAGACGGGTCTGCGATCTCTGACTCCATTTCTCTGTCTGTAAAATGGAGTTGACAATTCCTACCTTTAAGGTTGCTGTGAAGATGAAATGAAACTCATGCATGGCCCGTCATGGCAAACAGGCTATCAAAAACGGATCGGGCATCTGACTGCCTGCACTTGAATCGCAGCTCAAGCAGATCCTACCCACGTGACCCTGACAAGCTCCTCAGCCTCAATTAGCTGCAGTTTCCTTATCTGTAAGGCAGGGATGGCTTACCTGGTTTTTGTGAGCATTAAATGAGAATTCACCAAAAGACGCTGAGCACAGTGGCTGGTATGTAGAGTACTCAATAAGTATTAACTGTTGTTATTATTTAAAATGTTGGCCTGGCGCATTCCTGTAATCCCAGCACTTTAGGAGGCAGAGGCGGGTGAATCACTTGAGGCCAGGAGTTCAAGATCAGCCTGGACAACATGGTGAAACCCCATCTCTACCAAAAATACAAAAATCAGCCAGGCATGGTGGCACCTGCCTGTAATCGCAGCTACTCAGGTGGCTGAGGTAGGAGACTAGCTTAAACCTGGGAGGTGGGGCTTGCAGTAATCTGAGATTGTGCCACTGCACTCCAGCCTGGGCAACATGGCAAGACCCTGTCTCAAAAAAATTTTTTTTTTAAATTAAAAACAAAATGTCAAGCATAGCTAGGCACAGTGGCACACGCCTGTAATCCCAGCACTTTGGGAGGCAGAGGCAGGAGGATCATTTAAGCCCACAAGTTCAAGACCAGCCTGGGCAACACAGTGAGAGCTTCTTGTCTCTACAAAAATTTTAAAAATTAGTGAGGCGTGATGTCATGCACCTGTAGTCTCACCTACTCAGGAGGCTAAGGTGGGAGGATCGCTTGAGCCACAGAGGTTGAGGCTGCAGTGGGTTGTGATTGTGCCACTGCACTCTGGCCTGGGTGACAGAGAGAGACCCTGTGTCAAAAAATAAAATAAATGAAATACCAAGCATAATGCTTGTTATGTAGAAAGTGTTTCGGGAGCTGTTATCTTATTATTTTTCTACTCCTGCCTCATTCTCTGTGAAGCCAGCCTCGATCCCTCCTTCCAGAATCAGTAACTCTCTTGGGAATGTTCCAACCATACTCTTTCAGCTCCACCAGGCATTCATTGCAATCTTTAGTAACCCACAGTGGACTGAGTCCATGCTTGCTGGGCCATTATACAATGATCTCCTTAAGGAGAGGTGGTGAGCGTGACAGAGCTCAAGTGAGTGTCTGTGTGTTTGGAGTGAGTGGGTGAAGGAAATTCCTGCTGTTTCCAAGAGCCTCATAGTCACACTCCTCATTACACACATCAGTCTCTCCAGAATTCATTGACAGAACACCTGGATTCACATCTCAGCTGCACCATTTACTAGCGATGTGTTCTCTGCTTCAGTTTCCTCATCTGAAGGAAGGGAAAAGCACTATAACCATCCTACAGGACAGCAGTAAGGACAAGAACGTGTGCCTGGCACATCAGAGCTGCTTGGAAAACACTGGCCGTTATTAATTACTACTGTTACTGTTAGCTCTTGCCATATATACCCAAAAAGCCACTTCCGACGGCTCTTCGCTCCTGAGTGCACAGGGACTCCCATGGTCCTAACATGAAAATGCAAGGCAAGTGCCTGCTGTACCACCTGGCCTCCTCCGACCCTCGTGAAGGGTGGTGAGCAGGCAGCAAGGCCACATGTTGGATATGGAGATGACTCTGTCACCACCAACCTGCCTGATTGCTTCAGCAACCAATTTTGGGCACAATTATTCCCCTACTGTGAGTAATAAGAACGCCACGCTGTCATAGTCCCGCTAATTAGCTGTTATATGTATTTTTGAAATTGTTCAGCACTTCTCCCTATCCTGAAATGCTCACAGTTTCACTGCTCACGCCACTGCAATAGAGAGAGGGAAACAGCTTCTTCACTCGCGTCGCATAAGAACCCAGTGTAGACTGAGTCATCTCTGTGCCCTGGCCAGGGCAGGAAGCTCCATCCACCCAAGAGCAGCATCCCTTAGAACACGCGCTCACTGCTCTGTTAGCAGCCTGCACGACTTCAGTTCCTACAGACACAGGTCAGGCACCTCCTACGTGCAGGCGCTGCACTGTGCAGTGGAGGGTACAGAGGTGCCGGAGACATGACCCCACCCTTTAGGAGGTGATGCTCCAACGCTGCTGGCAGAGGGCTCACAACTGATAACACAGTTAGGGTGTGGATTCTGAAGCAGAGAGACAAGTTAAAAACTGCCTGATCTAATGCCCTCAGTCTAAAAACAAGGGAAGTAAAAGAAAGGAGATTGAGCAAGTGGCACCTCAAAACCAACAGCACTGGCACAACTAGGGTGGCCCTCAGGTCTTCTGACTCCCACAGGACCGACTTTTCCATGAAGCAACTCTGTGGACTCACCCCTTTCCCATGAGTCATACCTAGCCCTGAGAAGTATCTCTGGTCCAGCAGTGTATAGCAGACAGGCTGAGCCTGGCCTAGAGCTTCTAAGGCTTGTCCTCGATGGAACTTCTCAGACAGGATGTCACAGGTGGGTGTGACCACTGGGGAAGAGCTCCAAGACAACTGACAATTATAAAATGCCAGGAAGCCACCACCACCAAAGTGCAGGACCAACCTGGGAAGAAAGAACAGGTCATATGTACACATCGTTACCACAGTATAGTCAGAGCACACCCTGTGGCTGGGTCATACACACATACACACATCCCCACATCATTACCACAACATAGAGCACACTCTGTGGCTGGATCATACACACATACAGACATCCCCACATCGTTACCACAGTATAGTCAGAGCACACTCTGTGGCTGGATCATGCACACATACACACATCCCCACATCATTACCACAACATAGTCAGAGGACACTCTGTGGCTGGATCATACACACATACACACATCCCCACATCGTTACCACAACATAGAGCACACTCTGTGGCTGGATCATACACACATACACACATCCCCACATCGTTACAATATAGTCCAAGCACACTCTGTGGCTGGATCATACACACATACACACATCCCCACATCGTTACCACAACATAGTCAGAGCACACTCTGTGGCTGGATCATACACACATACAGACATCCCTGACTTACAATGGTTCACTTTTAATTTTTGATTTTATAATGGTACAAAATCAATGCACACTCAGTAAAAGCCATACTTTGAGTACCTATAAAACCTTCATTTTCAGTACAGCATTCAATAAATTACGTGAGATATTCAACATTTTATAGAACAAGCTTTGTGTTAGATGATTTTGCCCAACTGTAGGCTAATGTAATTGTTCTGAGCACATATAAGGTAGGTTAGGCTAAGCCCAGATGTTTGGTAGGCTAGGCATATTAAATGCTTTTTTGACTTATAATGTGTTTTTTTTGAGATGGAGTTTCATTCTTGTCACCCAAGCGGGAGTGCAGTGGCACTATCTTGGCTCACTGCAATCTCTTCCTCCCAGGTTCAAGCGATTCTCCTGCCTCAGCCTCCCGAGTAGCTGGGATTACAGGTGCATACCACCACACCTGGCTAATTTTTTGTACTTTTAGTAGAGATGGGGGTTTCATCATGTTGGCCAGGCTGGTCTCGAACTCCTGACGTCAGGTGATCCACCTGCCTCGGCCTCGTAAAGTGCTGGGATTACAGGTGTGAGCCACCACACCCAACCTAATATTTTCAATACTCCATATACCCTTTCCATATAGAAAGGATATATAAAGCTAATTTTATTTATTTATTTATTTGGAAATAGGGTCTTGCTCTGTTGCCCAGGCTGGAGTATAGTGGCACAATCACAGCTCACTGCAGTCTCAACCTCCCTGGCTCAAACTACCCTCCCACTTCAGCCTCCCAAGTAACTGGGACTACAGGTATGCACCCCCACACCCGGTTAATTTTATTTTATTTTTTTGTACAAACAGGGTCTTCACTATGTTGCCCAGGCTAGTCTCTTACTCCTGGGCTCAAGTGATCCTCCTGTCTCAGCCTCCCAAAGTGCTGGGATTACAGACAGGAGTCAGTATTATACCTGGCAAGCTAATAGTATTTATTTCAAAGACCAACAAAGTAGATAAACTCAGGCCAGCCTATTAAAGAAAAAAGAGACAAAGCAAAGTAAACATAAAACAGGTACATGAGAAAAGAGACCTAACCAGGTAAAAAGAGATTTAAAAATAATGGCATGATACACATTCACTCTACGGCACTATATCTGAAAACCTAGGGGTGAGCCTCCTTCGGGGAGCACATTTCAATGCCTCCAGCTGGTGACTAATCCAGGACTCAGCAAAGGGCAGGCTCCTGATGATGACAGGTTTGCTGGGGGTTCTAAGAAAAGTTTCCTCATCTGAACTTCTAAAAATGATCTGCTCTTCTTCTGGATTTTTTGGTGTGAATAAAATCCTGGAGCTGCAGTAGCCTCTTGCTGCTGGTCTAAGGAGAAAACCAATGCGTGGAAAGTGCAAAGCCAGGAGAATCACAAAAACAGGAAGCCAGAACCTTGGAACGGCAGCCCCAAAGCCCACCCTCCTTCTGAACTTCCAGTCATGTGAGCCCAAAATCTCCAGACCACAGAAGCTACTCCGAGTTATTTTTACAGCCCATAGCATCCTATGGTACCTACGTCAGGCCACACAAATAAAGACTACACTTCTAAACATTTTTACAAGTTATAAAACTTCAGAAAATAGAAGGCATGTGACTTTCTCTGGGGGCAGAAGGGGCCTTTTTTTAGCAAAAGGGGAAACCTACAAGCAACCAAGAAAAATACCCACCGTTGATGATATAAAAATTTAAAATCCCAAATGCCAAGAGACATCATAAGCACAATCAAAGGACAGAGGACAGACTTGAAACAATACTGGCAACACATGTCACAAAAACAAACAGACTTTCTGTGCAAAAGCTTCATTACATTGATAAGAAGTACACAAACGACCTAACATTCATGAGATTTCAGCTCAGCTAGCACTTTCCTAAGGCCAGAAAAATGTACAGCCCTAAGAATATGCATTCCCTCTGACCAGCAATTACTCCTCTGGGAATTGACACTGAGGACATATCCTAAACCTAGATAGAGTCTTATGCATAAAATGTTGATCTCAACATTCATAGATTATAAAAACTGGGGCCAAGCATGGTGGCTCACGCCTGTAATCCCAGCACTTTGGGAGGCGGAGGTAGGCGATCGCTTGAGGCCAGGAGTTCCAGACCAGCCAGCCTGTCCAACATGGTGAAACCCCGTCTCTATTAAAAATACAAAAGTTAGCCGGTGTGGTGGCACGCACCTGTAGTCCCAGCTCCTCCGAGGCTAAGGCAGGAGAATTGGTTGAACCTGGGAGGCAGAGGTTGCAGTGAGGCGAGATCGTGCCACTGCACTCCAGCCTGGGCCAACAGAGCAAGACTCCGTCTCAAAACAAAGCAAAAAAACTCATCAAGCTGAATACTTAAGATCTGCATTCTACTGAATGTTAATTATATCTCAATAAAAAATAAACACACAAACAATATACTTAAAATAAAACTGGGAAAATCTTCTCCCTAAATTCAAAGCACACTAGTCAGGAGTCAGGCAATAAAATGTTCTTCAGGGACAGTCCCCCCTCAAGTGCCACATTTGCTGGGAAAATTCTCCCCTTCTCCCAGCCACCTCTTGGTGCACAACCCTCTCCTGCATGCAGACCACAGTCTACTTCCTATCACAGGTAGATACAGAGGTGGCCTCTCTCCCCAAGACAGCAGGGCCCTGGGGGGCAGACTGGACGTCCTCAGTATGTCCCCACTGCTGAAGTCCCAAACCCCACCAAGCAGGGCCCTATGACTATCAGAGCCCACGAAAATCAGATGGCCACACCATTACCTCGGGGAAGGGTCCCTCCAGTCCCCCCTCTTGTTGGCTTTCTTGGCTCTGGAGAAATCGTTCACCCAAACGCTGCCAAACAAACCAAAGCTGACACGCAGCCACCTCCCAGCATCTCCTGCAGGGGCGTCTCTCTCCAAATACTCAGAATCATCCTCGCCCTGGGGGACGAGCTCTGCAGACCGTGAGGATCCATCAAGGGTCTTCTGCCCGCTGGGCTCCCCGACCTGCTTTGGGTCCGCAGCCCCTTCCTTCTGCACTTCTTTTTGTGGAGGCTCTGGTGTTGGGCTGCTGCCAGGGGGCCCCATTTCTTCATCTAGATCAAATCTAAGGAATAATTTCTTTCCATGGACCTAGAAAAAATGAACAGAGATCCAAGCCTTACAGACCCAGAGAGGGGAACTGGGGAATGCGGATATTTATCCTATTGCAAAGGTCTTCCTTCTCACCCCTCCTGGGGGGCCTTCCCAAATGAAGTCTTTGGACTCTGCCTTTTGCTCTTTTGCTCCAGTGGTGTGAGCAGTTCGCATGTGGTTTTCAAAGTGACTGGGAGCAAGGAGACTTAGTTGGCAGTGAAACACACCCATGCTAGATGGCAAGGCCACCCTGGAATACCTGAAGGGAATCGCTCCCAATTTTTTCATGCAGTAGCTAAGAAATGAACATAAGTTGTCATTCCTTCATTCCATTCGTAATACATTTTCTATGCCAGAAATAAGCGGTGCGTGGGAATGCACACATACAGAGCAGCTAAAGACAACACCCTGTGAAACTGGGTACCCCTCGCTACCCCCTCCACCAGCATATTGGACTTGATAAGGAAACTGTAATCAATAAAAATTAGATACTGAAACAAAAATTGATCAGTGAATCAGATCACCACTCTAAAAAGTATAAGGCAAAGGACCCACCTCATCTCACTGAAAATGATTTCAGTAGAAGAAAATAAATATAGAAAATGTGTGTTAAAGGATGTTCTGCTGCCTTTTTTTTTTTTTTTTTTTTTTTTTTCAGATGGAGTCTCGCCTAGACTGGAGTGTAGTGGCACCATCTTGGCTCACTGCAGCCTCCATCTCCTGGGTTCAAGTGATTCTCTTGCCTCAGCTTCCCAAGTAGCTGGGACTGTAGGTGCACACCACCACCCCCAGCTAATTTTTGTATATTTAGCAGAGACCACGTCTCACCACGTTAGCAAGGCTGGTCTCGAACTCCTGACCTCAAGCGATCTGCCCGTCTTGGCCTCCCAAAGTGTTGGGATTCCAGGCATGAGCCACCATGCCTGGGCCCTTGCTTTGACTTTATTTTCATATTGCACCTCCTGATATGCAATATGTAGGCCTAGATTCCAGGATGAGTCAGTTCTACACAGCCTGAAATTCAGGCAGTCTTTCAAGGAGTATAAACCAAAATATCTGGCATTAATACTGGAAATGCCTGTGTTACTTTCTTGACCACTACAGGTCCGTGCTTAAAGATCACTGTTCTGGTATGATCTTTAACTTGTTAATTAGTACACAGATTAATCTTGAAGTCCTCCACCCAAAAGAGCATTACCTTTCGAAATAATCCCAGAATAGCTTATCTGTAAATCTGAGCACAGATTGTTATCTGCCACATATTAGAAATGGTTTAACTGACCTACATAAAAAAAAAAAAAAAAACTGAGCAAGGATTTAAGTGGGCATAATAGAATTTGCTGCAGAAAATATTTCTTGGTATAAACTCACCAATGTTGATATAATTCTGATGAAAATAACTGTCAAATGCCCATCATGAACAAAACATTTACTAGGTCAAAAATGTCTAGGTCAGGATGTCCTCATACCAACTATGGCAATTTCTGCCGTCCCTCTTTTGGGTTCCTGTGACACTGCAGCCACTTCAATTCACTGATCATTAATTAAGCTTATTCAATGTGCCTGGCAGTGTGCTAGGCTCCAAGGGCAAACAGATGAATAAGGCTCTGCAATGCTTTCAATGTGTTCCTCAAAAAGTATGTGTTGGAAACTTAATCCCCAATGGAACAGTGGTAAGAGATGGCAACTTTGAGATTAGGCCATAGAGCTCTGGCCTCCTGAATGGAATAATGCCAATTGCAAATGACACGGCAAGATGCCAATGCCATGCCCTTGGACTTTCCAGGCTCCAGAACTGTGAGCTAAATAGACTTACATTGCTTATAAATTATGCAGTCTCAAATATTCTGTAATAGCAGCAAAATTAGATTACAACAATCTCCAATCTTCCCTTATCTATAACATGGGTGAACTTTGAGGACTTTATACTAAGTGAAATAAGCCAGTCAAAAAAACTCCAAATACTGTATAATTCCACTGATATGAGGTATCTGGGGAAGTAAAATTCATCGAGACAGAAAGTAGAAAGGTGATTGCCAGGGGCTGCAGGGAGGGAGGAAAGGGGGAGTTAGCGTTCAACAGGTATGGAGTCTCAGCTTGGGGAGATAAAAAAGTTCAGGGAAACTGTTAGACAACGTGAATACACTTAACATGACTGAACTATATACTTTAAAATGGTTAAGACAGTAAATTTTGTTATGTGTTTTTCATCACAATTTTAAAAATTTTTAAAAGGCGGTGGGGGTGGGAGGGGGACAACTGTGAAAACAGATACTACAAGAGCACAGAGAAAAGTGTGGCTAGGCCAGGCACAGTGGCTCATGCCTGTAATCCCTGCACTTTGGGAGGCTGAGACGAGAGGATTGCTTGAGCCCAGGAGATCGAGACCAGCCTGGGTAACAAAGTGAAACGCCCATCTGTACAAAAAAAAAAAGAAAAGAAAAGTGTGGGTAGAAGCAGACGTAGCACACGGAAGAAGAGTCTACATGATGAGGGGAAGCTGGCCGTTACCTGGGCTGGGCTTCACAAGAAGAGTGGAGGGCAGAGGAGACAGGGTGTGCCCAGCTGAGGGGACATACCTGAAGGCAGAGGTGGAAACCCTACACTGGAACAGGGGCTCCTGGTCAGACACAGCAGCCAGGGCGTGCGCTGTTAGCACTACTCCCAACAAACCCGCTATAGGAACCAAAGAGCTCTCAACTCTCAGGACCAAGAGGAGGAGCAGACAGGAGATACAAAGTCCCCCCAGAAGATGAGGAACAGGCACAGGAAGGGTAACTGATGAGGGAGAGCAGAGACCCCTGCTGCAGCAGAGGGGAGCCCCAAGGAAGAGAGAACCCAGGGGACCTACCCATCGTGACCCCAGGTGACCTGGAGATGGGGAGGCCCCAGGTGCTGTGGCAAGAGGTTATAAATGGAAGGATTGGTCCTCATACACTGCTGGTGGGATGATAAAATGGTGCAGCTGCCTTGGAAAACACTACAGAAGACACTAAAAAAGTTCAACATACTATATGGTCCAGCAATTCCACTCCTAGGAATACTCTCAAGAGAAATGGAAACATACGTCTACACCAATACTTGCATATGAATGCCCACAGCAGCATTATCCATAGAAGTCAAAGAGTTGAAACAATCCGAATGTCCAACAACTGATGACTGGACATCACTGACCATAAAATGTGTGATATGGTTTGGCTGTGTCTCCACCCAAATCTCATCTTGAATTTTAGCTCCCATAATTCCCACGTGTTGTGGGGGGGACCCGGTGGGAGATAACTGAATCATGGGGATGGGTTTTTTCCCATGCTGTTCCCACAACAGTAAGTCTCACAAGATCTGATGGTTTTATAAAGGGCAGTTCCCCTGCACATGCTCTTTCTTGCCTGCTGCCATGTAAGACATGCCTTTGCTTCTCCTTTGCCTTCCACCATGATTATGAGGACTCCCCAGACATGTGGAATTGTGAGTCCACTAAACCTCTTCCCTTTATAAATTACCAAGTCTTGGTTATGTCTTTATCAGCAGCATGAGAACAGACTAATACTGTAAACTGGTATTGGGAGGGGGGCATTGCTGTAAAGACATCTAAAAATGCGGAAGCAACTTTGGAACTGGGTAACAGGCAGAGGTTGAAACAGTCTGGAGGGCTCAGAAGAAGACAGGAAAATGTGGGAAAGTTTGGAACTTCCTAGATACTTGTTGAATGGCTTTGATCAAAATGCTGATAGTGATATGGACAATAAGGTACAGGCTGAAGTGGTCTCAGATGGAGATGAGGAACTTGCTGGGAACTAGAGTAAAGGTGATTCTTGCTGTGCTAAGAGACTGGTGGCATTTTGCCCCTGCCCTAGAGATCTATGGAAATTTGAACTTGAGAGACATGATTATGGCATCTGGTGAAAGAAATTTCTAAGTGGCAAAGCATTCAAGAGGAAGCAGAGCACAGAAGTTTGAAAAATTTGCAGCCTGATGATGCAGTAGAAAAGAAAAACCCATTTTCTGGGGAGAAATTCAAGCTGGCTGCAGAAATTTGCATAAGTAACTAGGAGTCAAATGCTAACCACCAAGCCAATAAGGAAAATGTCTCCAGAGCATGTCAGAGACCTTCACAGCAGCCCCTCCCATCACAGGTCCAGACACCTAGAAGGAAAAAATGGTTTCCTGGGCCAGATCCAGGGCCCCCTCTGCTGTGTGCAGCCTAGGGACTTGGTGCCCTGTGTCCTAGCCCCTCCAGCCATGGCTAAAAAGCGCCAATGTACAACCCAGGCTGCTGCTTCAGAGGGTACAAGCCCCAAGCCTTGGCGGTTCACATGTGGTGTTGAGCCTGCAGGTGCACAGAAGTTAAGAATGGAGGTTTGGAAACCTCCACCTAGATTTCTGAGGATGTATAGAAACAACGGGATGTCCAGGCAGAGGTGTGCTGCAGGGGCAGAGCCCTCATTGAGAACCTCTGCTAGGGCAGTGCAGAAGGAAAAGACGGGGTTAGAGCCCCAAGGCAGAGTTCCCACTGGGGCACTGCCTAGTAGAGCTGTGAGAAGAGGGCCACTGTCCTCCAGACCCCAGAATGGTAGATCTACTGACAGCTTGCACCCTGCCCTGGAAAACACACAGACACTCAATGCCAGCCTGTGAAAGCAGCCAGGATGACGGACTGTACCCTACCAAAGCCACAGAGGCAGAGCTGCCCAAGGCCGTGGGAGTCTACCTCTTGCATCAGCGTGCCCTGGATGAGAGACATGGAGTCAAAGATCATTTTGGAGCTTTAAGATTTGACTGCCTCACTGGATTTCAGACTTGCATGGGGCCTGTAGCCCCTTCGTTTTTGCCAATTTCTCCCATTTGAAACAGGTGTATTTACCCAATGCCTGTACCCCCATTGTATCTAGGAAGTAACTAACTTGCTTTTGATTTTACAGGCTCATAGGTGGAAGCAACCTGCCTTGTCTCAGATGAGACTTTGGACTGTGGCCTATTAAATTAATGCTGAAATGAATTAAGACTTTTGGGGACTGTTGGGAAGGCATGATTGGTTTTGAAATGTGAGGACTTGTGCTTTGGAAGGGCCTGGGGGTGGAATAATATAACTCCCATGATTCCCATGTGTTATGGGACGGACCTGGTGGGAGGTACCCAGTGGGAGGTAATTGAATCATGGGGGCTGTTCTCGTGATAGTAAATAAGTCTCAAGAGATCTGATGGGTTTTTTGTTGTTGTTGTTTTTCAGATGGAGTCTCACTCTGTTGCTGAGGCTGGAGCGCAGGTGCGATCTCAGCTCACTGCAACCTCTGTCTCCTGGGTTCAAGCAATTCTCCTGCCTCAGCCTCCCAAGTAGCTGGGATTACAGGCGCCCACCACCATGCCCAGCTAATTTGTGCATCTTTAGTAGAGATGGGGTTTAACATGTTGGCCAGGCTGGTCTCAAACTCCTGACCTCAGGCGACCTGCCCACCTCTGCCTCCCAAAGTGCTGGGATTACAGGCATGAGCCACTGCACCTGGCCTGACGGTTTTATAAATGGTAATTCCCCTGCACAAGCTCTCTTGCCTTCCACCATGTAGGATGTGCCTTTGTTTCCCCTTCGCCTACTGCCATAATTGCGAGGCCTCCCCAGCCATGCAGAACTGTGAGTCCATTAAACCTCTTTCCTTCATAAATTACCCAGTCTTGGAAGGGGAGAGTAGAAGGAGCTTGGTTTCCAATGTTGCTCCTATACCACCCTGGACTGTTCCATTACTGGAGGAGGAGAAAACCATGAGCTAGAGTAGCCATTTTTCTGAGTCTGTTATGAGTAATCCAACACAACTCCTATATAGAAAATGGAGAGCTGACAAGGAAAGGATGTGCCAGACAAACAGATGGCACAGAGTGCAGCCAAGCTCCCTCCTGCCTCATCAACTCACCCTGCTCACTCCACCTCCATCGGCCCGCCTGTAACTGCTTCTCAAGCCTGAAATGCCCTTTCCTCCCTCTTCAGTCCACTGAAATCCTCCAGCCTTCAAGGCCCAACTCAAGTCCTACCTCCTGCACATCTTCTCCAGGCCACCGGGACCTCTTCCTGTCAGGGTCATTACCTGGGCCTTTATGATGTGCTCTGCCCTCCCCATTTAGCATAGCTTAATAGTGTGGCCTGTGTCGATACAAGCCGTATGTTCTCAATTCAGTTCTAAGTTCCTAGGGTCAGGGACCCGCCGACAGGGAGAAGCAGGGAAGGGCGCTCACTTCAAAGCACTGCCAGGCAGCCCCGAAGGTTCCCTGCAACCTTAGGTTCCCTGCAACATGGTTTTCTGCTTGGTTTACTGGGAAAGCAGCTCCCAGTCCCGTCTACGGGTTCCTTCACCGCACATCCATCTGCCCACCCATCCACTTGGGAAATATTCTCTTACAGCCAGCTCTGTGGCAGACACCCTGGTAAGTGCTGGGGATCCAGAGACAAGAGACAATTCTGCCCCTGCAAACCTCGAAGGACAGTGTGTACAAAGAGGCCACAGTCCTGGAGGCCATGGGACCCCGTGCTCTCACCTGTTCCTTGCCAGCCACCTGAGCTTGGGCTAAGTACTCCCTTCTCCGAGCCTCAGTCTCCAAAGGAATCAACTATGGGTACAGGGCTACAGGATCTCTTCCAGTTCTAACTAACAACGGTTTTAAAACCTCTGTGTGTGTGTGTTGCGGGGGTGGGGGGTGAGGGCAAGATGGAAGAAAGGGAACTAGTACTTATGGAGTACCCGTTATGTGCCAGGCATAAACTCTACTTAAAACAACAACTTTAAGAGGTCAATGGCTTATCTCCATTCTACAATAGAAGAAAGAGCTATGAGATGAACATGCTTAAGAGCACACGGCTAAGCAGCAGCAGAGCGCGTGAGCTCATCCACAGGCACCACCCGTGCTTCCTACGTGCCGGCACTCAGCTAAGTGCTGGGGGCACAATACTGGCGAGGAGCAGCCCCTGCCCTCTGCATCTGTCCTCTCCCCTCAACAAGCAGAACAACTCAGTAAAAAGGGAAGAACAGGAGGAAGTACATGATGTCCTGGAAGCACAGAGATGGAGTCTCCTTCCCACCTAAAGCAGACAGGGCAGGCTTCTCTGAGGATGCAATGGCCAAGTGGAAGCTGGAAGACCAGGAATTACCATTATAAATTGAGGGAACAGGGGCAGAGTTGGGAGAAAAAGGAAGAAGTGCTTGAGCAGGGGGCAGCAAGTGAAAACCACGGACAGAAACACTAAGAAGAGCCAAAGGCAGTTTCATCGATCAGAAGACAGGTTTGGGGCAGGATAAGAAGGCTAGAGAGGGACGCAGTGGTGAGAAAACAGGGAGCTCCGTGAGCCCCTGGAAGGATGAGCTGGTTTGAACCTAGATCTGAAGGTTCTGCTCTTTTCTTTTCTTTTTTTTGAGACGGAGTCTCACTCTGTCACCCAGGCTGGAGTGCAGTAGCACAATCTCATCTCACTGCAATCTCGGCCTCCCGGGTTCAAGCAATTCTCCTGCCTCAGCTTCCCGAGCAGCTGGGATTACAGGCGCCCACCACCACACCCAGCCAATTTTTGCATTTTTAGTAGAGACGGGGTTTCATCATGTTAGCCAGGCTGGTCTTGAACTCCTGACCTAGTGATCCACCCGCCTCGGCCTCCCAAAGTGCTGGGATTACAGGTGCGAGCCACCGTGCCCAGCCGGTTCTGCTCTGTCCTTAATTCTCCACTGGCTCAGGGGAATAGAACACAGTTCCCAGCCAAAGGTGCCCATCAGCTGCGGCCGGAGAGAATAGGAGCACTCCAGACCCTCTGAATCGGGGTCTCCAGCTCATCCACACGTGTTCTTTACAGTTCTACAGTCCACAGCGATATCTACTTCTGGCTGAGACATGTGAGACTGAAAGAGGGAGCTGCATGGAGTCCGAGCTTGGTGGTTCCGGACTCAGGGAAGTGACACCCTGAGACATATGGGGATAGATCCTAGGGGAGGCGCAGGATGGGCGACAGAGCCAGCCCTTCAGAGGAGTATTACCTCACCTGGGTGTCCTGGAGCCACAGAGACTGCAGGCTGGCGGGCTGTAGCTTCTTACTGCTGCCCCCTGTCTTGACCACCTGCTGACCCACAAAGGGGGAGACCAAATGGTGAAATTTCCTCACCAACGGCCCTTCTGGCATCCCTGTGGGCAGAAATGGGCAAAAGAGGCCACCGACTTAGCTCATTTATCTCTAGCATCTTTAACAGGTGCCAAGCATCCTCCATGCCGCCATTTTTGCTGCCAACTAACTTTAAGAGCAAGCATGGCCAAAAAGGGAGTGTGGCTGGGAGGCGGTCAGATCATAGAGAAGAGCAGCTGTGGCAGGGTGTGGGAAACGTAGCAGGAAAGGCAGCCCCTCTTACCTTTCTTCATGCAGCAAACACTTATTAAGCACCAACAGTGTGCTAGGCAGCACATCATGGGCACCATCCACTTTATTCCTGAGCGGCACCTGCCACACCAGGAGCTGGCCTTTGTTACTTTTTGCCTGGACTGTGAACCTCTAACACCTCCTGACTTTCTCTGTCCCCCTGCTCCCGCTCTCAAAAAACAGCCATTCTGACCCACTGCTGCCGACTTATTTCCCACTTTTGAAGGGACCAGATGCCGCCCTCCAGGACCGCCGACCACTAGCGTGGGGGAGGTGTGCATGAAACGACCAACACGCAGACAGAGCTCAGAATCATAAGTGAGACCCCCAGCCACGTAGGTAAGCCCGGCTTAGCTACAGACAGTTATCTCTGATCCCCGAGAAACAGCTGTGGTTCTGTTCTAATCACCACGCAGGGCTCCCAGGGCCACCTCTACTCTCCCTGCCCCCAAATCATCCCAGTCCACTGACAGCCGCCTACATGAGGCAGTCTGAGTGGTGTACACCCGGGCTGTTCGGGCAGAGGAGACTCCCAGCCTCACCCGGGGCAGCTGCCTAACCACCTGTTCCTGCACCAGCCTCTCTATAAGTTATGATGAAAATCGAAAAGAACTAAGTAGATATCGGGCAGGGGGTAGCTATTATATTTCAGTGATTCTAAAAAACATTTTAGAATACTTTTAAAATCTAAGAAATGGTGACGGCTCACAATCTCGGCATTCTCATATTCGGCAGCAGCACATTCAATAACGCGCATCTTACACTCGCTGGTGCCGATTCGCTGAGATGTACTATTTCCCCTCATCAGGCTTTCCAGACACTCCCCAGGGAATCCTGACAAAACCGCCAGGCTGGAAGGAGACGTGCCAAACGCTGCTGACCTTAACCAGTTGGATGCCTGATCCTCTTCTACGGGGAAGCTTCTGGAAAAGCCTTCATCTGAAATGCACCAAGTCCTGAAAATCTCCGGACACGTGGGCATGTTTCGTTTAGGGATTTTTATGGAGATGGACAGGTGGGAAGCAAGCCGCCTCTGCAACAGCCTTGAAAGATGAGACGCGGAAGGGACTTCGAAGAGTCGCTGAAGATGCCGCGCCCACCCTCCGGCCCTCCCTGCCCGGGGGCTACCGAGGAGCTCGAGGCTGGCGCTGCGCCAGCCAGGGAAGAGGAGGGGTTGTCTCCGCCGTTCTCTTCCGAGTGCCCGAGGTGGGGGGTCTAAGACCACTGCTTTCCCAACTCTGCCTCGGGGTGCGGGGAGAGGGGCGCAGACGCGGGTCTGAGGGTCAGTGGGGGCCTCCAGGCGTGGGCAGCACCTCCGCAGGCGGCTGAGACGGAGGAGGGCCCGGGGCCCGCCCTCCCTTCCTGTCCCCTCCCGACTTCTCCGCCAGGCCGCAGATCTACCGGAGGGCGGGCGGCTGCACTCACCGGCTCCGGGTGGGTGGCACGTCGGCCCGACCCAGCACCCCTACGCAGCCCGCACAGCCGCTCCAGCTGGGGGCGGAGATTTCCCGGCTCGGCGGCCCATGCGGCCTCCGTCCCCTTAGGGGACGCCCCTGTAGGTGGAGGCTGCGGGGCTCCTCCCCCAAGTGGGCGTGGACTCCGGCCTGGAGGGCGTGGCGGGGTGCGCGCAGGCGCAGGGCTCATTCCCTGGAAAGTGGGTCTAGGTCGAGGCTGCTCTTTTGTGGGTGGGCGAGGGGTTCCATCCCGGGGGTCGCTGGAGGCAGGGCTGCATTAGAGGGTCGCGAGTGAAAGCAGGGATGGAAGAAGGGTGCAGGCTGGGACTAACATTGGAGAGACGCTCTTGGAAACTTTTTTTTTTTGCGGGGGGAGATAGTCTCGCTGTGTCACCCAGGCTGGAGTGCAGTGGCGCGATCTCGGCTCACTGCAACCTCCGCCTCCTGGGCTTAAGCCATTCTCCTGCCTCAGCCTCCCGAGTAGCTGGGATTACTGGCGCCCGGCTAATTTTTGTATTTTTAGTAGAGACCGGGTTTCACCATGTTGGCCAGGCTGGTCTTGAACTCCTGATCTCAGGTGAGCCGCCCTCCTCGGCCTCCCAAAGTGGTGGGATTACAGGCGTGAGCCACCGCACCCGACCCTTTTGGAACATTTCTTGTCTCAAGGAGACAGTTATAGGGAAAAGTCAATGGGTGTGTGAATGGGACAGCCTGGGTGTTCCCACAATGGCAAGCCTTTCTGTGGGTTCTGCTTGGCCTCCGAGCCTAATGAAGTCGGGTGCAAAGGAAACAGGTGTTCAAGACTCGTGAAATGTTGAACGGGTGGGATTTTTTTGCTTTCTATTATTTGAATTTTATTACTTGAATTTTTACTATAAGCAAATTTTGCTTAAAGTATTTGTGTATTAAATTTTTTATTTCATAGAATAAAAGAGATAAAACAATAGGCTGTTTAAAGATACATATGTTTTCTTGTCTTTAGTTCTCGAAGGAGGATGGGGAGCCAGCACTTTCCAGGAAGTTGGGAGGAAAGTCTGGGGAACTCCCCAGCAGGTGTTCAGGAAATAGGCTGGGGTGAAGTCACCATGGACCCTAGCTGAGGGGTCCCTGGGGAAGGACTTGGTCAGCACAGGGAAACAAGCCCAGCCCACCGTCAGAGACATGGTTGTGTCCTACTGATTGAGAGGGAGGTTACAAGTGGCCTTCCCACAGTGGTCACCTACTGAACAGGCTAGGGCAGGAGGTGAGGAGAGGGAGGCCTGGGGAGGCCTAGGGTATAGGGTCCTCATCTAGAAAGGCATCTGGAGGCAGAGGGGATGAGGTTGGAGGGCATGGGGTTTGCAGGAGGCATCCCTTGAAGAGCCTCTGGTCCCCCTCTTTCTATGTCCGGCCTTTTCTGGAGAATAACGACCCCCCCACCCCCAGGATGCCCCTGCTATAGGATCAGGCTCACCACAATGGTAGCTTCTGGGCCCCCTAGTTTCTCTTTCTGTAGAGTGGCTGAGCCGGGAGGGAAGCCGTAGCCACAGTCCTCGCCTTACCTGGTGGAATGAATGCCTGGTGCCTAAAGGGGTTCTTCTGAGGCTAAGGGGCTATGCAATTGAAAATCTCATGGTTCACAGCTTGGCTCTGTCATTGATTGTTATTGTTTATTGAGCGCGTACTATGTGCAAAACACTGTTGTGAGCTCTTTGCATATATTGCTTCATTATTAGTTGTGGGGATACAAGCAAGTCACAGTATCTCTGACTTCATTCATTAAATGGGATATCTATTAAATGGTATTATAGAAATATCACAAAGCCACGCTTCTCAAACTTCAATGTACCTATGAATCCCCTGGGAACCTTGTTTAAATGCAGATTCTAAGGTCTATACCAGGGCCCAAGATGTTGCCTTTCCAGCAAGCTGCTGGGTGACGCTGATGCTGTGGTCTAGGGGCCACATTTTTGTTTTGTTTTGTTTTCCGTGACATAGTTTCACTCTTGTTGCCCAGGCTGGAGTGCAACCCAGGCACGATCCCAGCTAACTGCAACCTCTGCCTCCTGGGTTCAAGGGATTCTCCCGCCTCAGCCTCCCAAGTAGCTGGGATTACAGGCACGCACAAGCATGCCCAGCTAATTTTTGTATTTTTAGTAGAGACAGGGTTTCTCCATGTTGGCCAGGCTGGTCTCGAACTCCTAACCTAGGTGATCCTCCCTCCTTGGCCTCCCAAAGTGCTGGGATTACAGGTTTGAGCCACCGCGCCCGGCCCTAGGGGCTACATTTTGAGCAGCAAGAATTTAGAGCATCAGCTATTGGCAGTTGGTAGACACTCAACAAATTGAGTGAATGATTCAATTCATCCATGTTATGTGAATGATTAAATGAGATACTAGCTAAGAAACACACATAAACTGTAAGTATATGCAAGTGCTATGCAAGCATATGCAATCATCATTCTAAGACAAAAAGGCTGAATAATCTGCCTGGAAAAGGCCAGCCTAGAATAGTGACTCCACAGAGGAGTGGCTAGAAACCTGCTCCCATACCAGGCTGCCTGGGTCCACATCCCACCACTCAGCTGGGAGAGCCTGGGCAAGTAACTCACTCTTTCTGCATCTCAGTTTCTTCATCTGTAAATTATGACCTTACTGATTTATTTTCTTTCTTTCTTTCTCTTTCTCTTTTTCTTTCTTTCTTTCTTTCTTTCTTTCCTTCCTTCCTTCCTTCCTTCCTTCCTCCCTCCCTCCCTCCCTCCCACCCTTCCTTCCTTCTTTTCTTCCTTCTCTCTCTTCTTTCTTTTCTTTTTTTTGACAGTCTCGCTCTGTCACCCAGGCCGGAGCACAGTGGTGCGATCTCGCCTTACTGCAACCTCCATCTCCTAGGTTCAAGTGATTCTCCTGCCTCTGCCTCCCGAGTAGCTGGGATTACAGGCGCCTCCCACCACACCCTGCTAATTCTTGTATTTTTAGTAGAGACAGGGTTTCACCATGTTGGCCAGGCTGGTCTCGAACTCCTGACCTCAGGTGATCTGCCCCCTCCTCGGGCTCCCAAAGTGCTGGGATTACAGGCCTGAGCCACTGCACCCGGCCTCTGTGGGATTTCTTGAAAGGATTCAGTTCCATCACTGCATTGGGTCTGGTGACTGCACTGGGTCTCCAGCACTGGATCTGGTGTATAGCATCACTAAACGTTTTAGAAAATATTATTTGTATTATTATTATTAGTAGTAGTAGTAGTAATATTTGTCTGCCTCCTGGATTGGGGCAACCCCCAAGCCCACTGGAGTGGGCCTCAGCTCCAAAAGGATGGGCGCCCAGCTTTCTAGGAGGCGCAGAATCAATTGCTCCCCCTTCCTTTGTGCCCCTGTTTTTTTTCCAACAGAGCTAGAGTTGTAATGCACATGAAAATAGATTAAAATACAGCCACCCCAAAGAATGCGAGGAAGGGAGTGAAAGAGAAAAATACTAGGATCCTGTAACGGATTGAGTTGCTGCTGAGAGTTTGGGGATTCTGAAGCACACGGTGAGGGTCCATGTGGCTCTACGGGCACCTCAGGAGCAGGGGCTGAGTGAGGTTCCGCAGGCTCTTCCAGTTGTCCCTTTTTGGGGGTATGTGGCCATGAACAGTAAGCCCTATTCCCCAATGTCTCTAGGTCTTTCTTTCATTACTTATAAGTTGGGAGAATTTGGAACCAAGGATTCTCCTCAACTCCTAGAAAGACACTGAAAGACTCTTCCTCTTGGACTGCCGTCTAAACCCAGACTGCGCAGGGCTTCCCATTTTGTAGATTTCCACTGTTTAGGAGACACAAGAGTGGGGTGTAAAAGCCCAGATTCTGGAGTGAAATAGATGTTGTTTGAACCCTGATTTCCACTTACTAGCTCTGTGACCTTCAACAAGTGACTAAAAATCCGTAGGCCATATCTTTTTTATGTGCAAAACGTGAGTGGGGGGATATGGAAGTGTTTCCTGCGGCTATAGAAAGCTGCTAGCAGCGTTTGACATGCAGTCATGTTCGATTAGCAGCAAGTGATTTTTGTTGGCAGAATTTCGGGGCTGCTGAGGGATTGACCGCTGGAAAACTCAGGCTGTAATGGAAGCTGAAAGGGAGAACACGTGCGCCCCCGCATGGTAGGCGCATTAACTGCAAGGGCAGTACCCTGGGTCGGTCCCATGGCCCTCCTAGTGAGGGTGGGCGGTCAGTGAATGTTGCTCTTCCTCACACCAGCTCTGTGGCTTTGGGCAAGTTCCCTTGACTAAGAGACAAAAGGATTTCAACCAGATGGTCTGGAGACCCGACATGATTTGTAAATGAGTCAGGCATGGTACCTCAATCTGGGCTTCCTTTCCTTAGCAGGGTTCAGTTTTCTTTGTTCCATTCAGTCTCTCCGGCCAGCTGTTGGAAACTTAGGGGTGCTAACTTCCCAGTCATTAGCAGCTTGTCTTCTGGGAGAAATTCAGTTTCCAAGGCTACTTTGAGGAACAATGCTCTTTGGATGTATGATTCTGGAATCATTTTTTTAAACCTCATTAACTGGGTCACAATGAAGACACTGCTTTCTATTTGAGACTCGAGACACCAATTTTTTTTTTTTTTTGAGACAGAGTCTCGCACTGTTGCCCAGGTTGGAGTGCAATGGCATGATCTTGGCTCACTGCAACCTCCGCCTCCTGGGTTCAAACAATTCTCCTGCCTCGGCCTCCCGAGTAGCTGGGATTACAGGCGCCTGTCACCACGCCCAGCTAATTTTTTGTATTTTTAGTAGAGATGGGGTTCCGCCATGTTGGCCATGGATGGCCTCAAACTCCTGACCTCAGGTGATCCACCCACCTCAGCCTCCCGAGGTGCTGGGATTACAGGTGTGAGCCACCGCACTTGGCCAAGACATCAATCTTGAGTCTCCAGAAAGAGCATTTTCAAATCTTGGGGCCCTGAGGTGTCATCTGTACCAATGAGAGTGTGTGAGGCCCAGAGAGAGGGGTGAGTCATTTTCCTCCAATATGTGATTCCGTAGCTGCTGGTCCAGTCTTGGACACCTGAAGCTATCCAGGCCAAACCATTTTACAGATGAGAATGCTAAGGTCAGAGCAGTTGGGTGAATGGCCCAACAGCACACAGCCAGCCCATGACCAAACTTGTGCCGGAAGACAAGTCTCAGAATTCCCCGTTGTGGGCACTTCCGGTCCCCTCCTTTTTTTTAAGGAGGCAGAAGCGCAGGGGTCTATGGATACAGGATCCTTCCAGGTGTGTGTGTGCGGCAGTGGCCCCTCCTGGAGGCCCAAGGACCCAGAGGAACCCACAAGCCATTGAAAAACAGTCAGAAAACATCTAAGTAACCATCCATTTAGTATCTGTCACAAGGCCACAAAGTAAACTAAATGGAATGTCTTTGCCTTAGGCAGGAATCCAGCTTGCTGTATTGACTCTCTGGTACTTGTTAGCAGAGATGAACCGTTATGATTTTTGTTTGTTTGTTTGTTTGTTTGTTTGTTTGTTTTGAGATGGAGTTTCTTTCTGTCGCCCAGGCTGGAGTGCAGTGGCGGGATCTCGGCTCACTGCAGCCTCCATCTCCCAGGTTCAAAGGATTCTCCTGCCTCAGCCTCCCAAGTAGCTGGGATTACAGGCACCCGCCACCACCCCCAGCTAATTTTTGTATTTTTAGTAGAGATGAGGTCTCACCACATTGGCCAGGCTTGTTTCAAACTCCTGACCTCAAATAATCCACCCGCCTCAGCCTCCTAAATTGCTGGGATTATGGGTATGAGCCACCATGCCCGACTTGTTCATTTTTAAATTGAGGTATAATTTTCATGCGTTTGTTTTTGAGCTACAAAAAATGAGGAAAACCCCAAATGATTAGTTAAAACTACTTCAAAACATGGGACCTGTGCTGGGTGTGGTGGCTCACACCCCTAATCCCAGCACTTTGGGAGGCCGAGGTGGGCAGATCACTTAAGCCCAGGAATTTGAGGCCAGCCTGGGCAACATAGTGAGACCCTGTCTCTACTAAAAATACAAAAAAATTAGCCAAATGTGGTGGTGGCACACATCTGTAGTGCCCGGCTGCTCAGGAGGCTGAGGTGGGAGGATCACTTGAGCCCGGGAGGTGGAGGCTGCACTGAGCTATGATTGCACCACTGCACTCCAGCCTGGAGGACAGAGCAAGACTCTGTCTCAAAAATAAAAACAAAAACAAAAATGGGGACCATGGCAGGGGTGGGAGTGGGTAAAGGGGACTCTGCCAGTGGGAAGGTTGGAAGCCACTCTGAGGAATCCCCAAGGAAAGCTATACAATGGGCGACTGTGGAGGATATCACAGAGGATTCCAGCCCAGAGTCTCCAGCAGGGCCCGGGAGCCTCGGAGTTTATAGCAGCTCCTTCCAATGGAAAAGCATGTTAGGGGCAATCTGGACCCATTGCTTTGCTCAGCAGGGCCCTGGCCCACTTAAGGTTCTTGATTTCAGTGTTTACCGACCACATCTATCCTCCATTCCGGCTTAACAGTTTGAGATCATCAAGAGCCCAAGAAGTAATGGATATTTTCCATTTTTATTAAGTTCTCAAGGAAAAGGAGAGAGGAGGAATGATAAATCTCAGTTTATTATTATTATTATTATTATTATTTGAGACACAATTTCACTCTTGTTGCCCAGGCTGGAGTGCAATGGCATGATCTCGGGTCACTGCAACCTCCACCTCCCAGGTTCAAGAAATTCTTCGGCCTCAGCCTCCCAAGTAGCTGAGATTACAGGTGCCCACCACGATGCCTGGCTAATTTTTTGTATTTTTAGTAGAGATGGGGTTTTGCCATGTTAGCCAGGCTGGTCTCGAACTCCTAACCTCAGGTCATCCACCTGCCTCGCCTCCAAAAGTGCTGGGATTACAGGAGTAAGCCATCGCGCGCAGCCAATGTTTTTTTTAACATCTCTAATTACAACTCACTTTCAGCAAATTCGTCCTGAAGAGGCAGCACCAGAGACTACGGTATCTTTGTTGTACGAGCAGTATGCTAATATTGTCCACTAGTATTGTCCATAGTATTGAGCTGCTTCTGAATTAACTCCTTATGTCAGCCATTCACTTATTAGGAAGCTGCGACTGGTTCATTTGACTTGAAACGTGATTAGAACTGGTGCATCCTGTTACAAACTGCTTATAGATCCAGCGGGCTGTGTGTGTGTGTGTGTGTCTGTGTGTGTGTGTGTGTGTGTGTTTCTGTGTCAGAGGGAGGGAGAGGGAAAGAAGTTTATCAGGCAAATAACAGCAGCCACAGCGGTAGGACGGAAGACAGTCATCCCAGAGGAAATGGAGCGAGTGTGAGTGCGAGTATGAGAAGTGACTCATTTATCACTCATCTTGGGACGGGAGCAGCCCCCTTTTTGTGTTCATCTGAAAACCCCCCGACCTGGAGCTTACGATCACGAGCACCAGTATCTCACAGGCTTTTTCGATTCTTGTGTTCTGGTTAACTTGGAGCACAGCGGTGCCATCAGTACTTTTTGCAAAACTAACCCCCACACACACCCCCGCCGCCCCCGGGTTTTAGCCAGAGAAGTGAGCTGGCAGTGCACGGACCAGAAAAAAGAATGGACTTTGAAAAATGAGGGCTGTTTTACTATCATCTTCGCTTTGAAGATTTTTTCTTATTTGTTCTCAAATAGCCTTTTTGCAAATGCCACTGCCACTGCTATCTGGAGGAGCAATGTAAAAGTCACAAAGGAGCCAGAGCTCATAGGACAGCACCATGTCCCTGGAGGATAAGGGACAGGGCCTCAGTGACCGAAATGGGAGCAACAGTGTAAAGTGGCAGACAGACAACCGAAGGAGATTCCTGGAGATTCCACTTCCCAAGCTAAGCCTCGCAGGCATGATGCATACTTGTGTTGTTACAGGGTGACGGGACATTTGTGCTCCAGCTTCAAGCAAGCAAGGCAGGGATGCAAACTGAAGAATAGGCGCCAATGTCACAAAATGATAAAACAAGCAAACCAAAACCAGAACACCCAGTCCCACTCCAAAAGAAAGAGCTTTCCGAATGGCTGTGTCCCATGCACTTGGTCCACGAGTGAGAGCTGGGGGGCTCTGCAGTGCGGGGCTTGTCCTAATACTCCCCACCCCTGGCTCCATTTGGTACATATTCAGAGGTTGTAAACTTATTATTGTTTTGAGATGAAGTTTCGCTGTTGTTGTCCAGGCTGGAGTGCAATGGCGAGATCTCGGCTCACCACAACCTCTGCCTTCTGGGTTCAAGCGATTGTCCTCCGCTTCCCGAGTAGCTGGGATTACAGGCAGACGCCACCACACCCGGCTAATTTTGTATTTTTGGTAGAGACGGGGTTTCTCCATCTTGGTCAGGCTTGTCTCGAACCCCTGACCTCAGGTGATCCGCTTGCCTCAGCCTCCTAAAGTGCTGGGATTACAGGCATGAGCCACCGCACCCAGCCTAAACTTATTTTCATTACTGTTAAGCCAAACATAATCACAGCATAATCCCAGCTAAAATTAATTTTGTTACTGCTCACCTATCTTAGAGGCATATAAGTCTAATTTTAAAGATAAATGCTCTCCTTAATTGTTAAAGGACTTGATGCGGGCTTCAAAAGGTTTTGTTTGTTGTTTGTTTCATTGTTTGAGACAGAGTCTCGCTCTGTTACCCAAGCTGAAGTGTAAGTGGCATGAGCTCAGCTCACTGCAGTCTTGACCTCCTGGGCTCAAGCGATCCTCCCACAACCTTCTAAGGAGCTGGGATCACAGGGGCACGCCACCATACCCAGCTAATTTTCTACTTTTTTGTAGAGAGTCCCCCTCTGTTGCCCAGGCTTGTCCTCACCTCCCAGGCTCAAGCAATCCTCCTGCCTTGGCCTCCCAAAATGCTGGGATTACAGGGGTGAGCCACCGTGCCCAGCCCCACTCCACATACTTTTAAGATGAAGTGGTTAAGCACCCCTGTGGCCTAAGGAGGTGAAGACAAATGGATAAAGGAGAGGAACTGCCAGCCTTCTCTCTCATTCTTGTGGGACATAATTTGCCCCTTAGCCTGTTTGGATCAAACCATAAAATGGCAAGAGCTCCTTGCCCTGGAGGGACACACTTTTAAGTCAGACAGGGCTAGACAGAACATTTTCTTCCAGGTAGATGGAGTCTCTTGCTCCAGACCCTGAGGTCTGGAGGAGAGCTCTAAAAATGCCCTCAGATGGTTGGGAGCGGTGATCCATGCCTATAATCCCAGCACTTTGGGAGGCCAAGGTGGGAGAATTGCTTGAGCCCAGGAGTTTAACACCAGCCTCAGCAACAAAGCAAGATTCCATCTCTACAAAATAAAAAATTAGCTGGGCATGGTGGTGTGCACCTGTGGTCCCAGCTACTCAAGACACAGGCAGGTGGATCGCTTGAGCCAGGTAGGTCCATGATGGCACACAGCACTCCAGCCTGAGCAACAGAGCAAGACCCTGTCTCAATAAATCAATAAATACATTGAGCAACTTTTGTTGGACCACAAGGAACTCTGTTTATGGATAGGTACAACCCTCTCCCAGGAAATTAAAGCCCAGCGGTGACCCCCATCTAATGTCTCATGTTAGCAGGGCTGGGATGAGTGTGCTTTTCGGGACCCACTGCTACCTAAAGAGGGAGCATTGGCCAATGGCCAAAAATAAAGTAAGCAGCTGTGAGTGGGTCAGTGCCTACACGGCCTCAAGATTCCCCGGGAGAGAACAGCAACGCTGAACCTCCCAGTGAAGACCACTAAGGGACGAGGGAAAGAGGAATACAGATAAATTTATTAGTTAAATACTGATTTTCCAGCCATTTCACCTTAAGACAATGTTAACAGGTTTGTGGGTTAGGGAGGGTATACGAGGGGGCCTTTGGAAGAAAACAATGTAAATGATGATTAAAACAGAATCTTGGTTCAAAGGTATTCTCTGCTACAGCCAGTAGGATTTTGGAGTGAGGGGTCTGGGCGTGTGGGGAGGCGTAGTAATGCCACAGTCAGCTACAGCTCTGCTGAGAAAGAGGAAGGAGTCTCCTTGAGCTCCAGCATCAGGGGCAGAAACAGCAATGTGCAGAGGAGAACGCGGCAGATCCCGGAGCAGCTCAGAGTCGGAGGCTCCCTCCAGGCCCCCCTGCCGTGTCTTAGCAGTCGTCTTCTTTCCAGGAATTCTGTTGTGTTGTGTTTGTTTGCTTCGAATTCGTGTTGCAGAATCTCTGGCTTTTTGCCTCCTGGACAAAAGACTTCTGCCGGGGCGAGGCTGCAGGTCCTGAGGGACTCTGGCTGCCATCTGACCAAGGGCTAGGAGGAGCAGACAGACAGCAGGTGGGCCAGCCCTTGGGACACTCCTGCCCCCTGACCAGGACTCTGTCCACTTACACTCTCCCCAGAAGGACCTCGAGGCTGGGCTGAGTGCTTGCCAGACTGGCTTGAGCAGCAGAATGTTTTGTTCTTACTCAGAACCCCTCTATGTGTGACACGGTGAACGAAGGGTCTGCAGTGAACTCGAGGGGGTGCCGTTTGGCTAAACTACCCAGCTCTTGTTTTGCCAGGGGAGAGACATGTACAAGCTGCGGGCAGAGCTGAATCGCTCAGAGCGGGAAGAGGGATTTTTATTTTGAGAGATGTTGGAAGTGAAGGAGCAAAGGCCGGCAGCAGGGGGAAGGCACCTGGGGGAGAAGTTGCCAGCTGCATTTTGATGAGGCTGCGCTGTGGTGGGTTAAGTGCCCCTGTAGCTCCCCAGGAAGTGTTCAGTCACTTGTGTGTCACACCCCACAGTTTTGGAGTCAGATTTGGTATTAGGGATGCAGGGCGGTGCCATGCCTCAAGCGGATGGATGGGGCAAGGGCCTGTCCCCAGGGGCCCGTCACATCCAGGTACATGGCAAACAGATGCCGTCATTCGGGCTGGAGCAGGGGTCCCAGGGCCCGGCCCTCCGCTTGTTCTCAGATCCTCGGTGCTAGAAACACAATGCAAAACCCACGGTCTAGGCCACAGTGGGGAACGCAGGGGACAAGGACATCTTGGGAAAGAAGTCTCCAACTCACAGGAGAGATGCAGTGTGCTCGTGCTGAAGGGTGGGCTCCCTCCAGTCCCATCAGCGTGTAAAGGCATCTGAGAAAATCCAACACCCGCTTCCCCTAACCAGATTGTCGACTTCAAGTTTCTTCCCAGTTGTTGTTCTGGAGTCATTACCAGGCAGAGGAGGCCGGCCCCTGGGAGCCCAGGGCCTCCTTCTTTGCTATCCTCCAAGTCCCAGGTCCGTGCAGGAATTTGAGGAGGGAAGAGGGAAGATTACGCAGTGATTATGTCCCCGTGACTGTCGGCCAAGACCAGGCTGTTCCAAGAGTCCTGCTTGGAGCTGGTCTGTGGAGACTGGCTGACGGGAGACGCATAGCCTTGTGGGGAGAGCTTCAGGGCCGAGAGGACAGGGTGGATGGAGGGCCCATGGCCAGACATCGCACTGACTGAGAACGTCTGAAAAGCAGAAAGCACACGATGAGGCCCATGGAGACGCTCCTGAGGGCTTGGGAGGTCTAGGCTGGGGAGGGTGCCCTGCTATGCAGATGTCCCCAGGATGGCTCCAGCCCTCAGGAAGGGACCAAGGAGCACTTCTCTCTGTTTCTCCTGATCCCGGTGATCTAGGCATGAAGGGTCTGGGTGATGCATCAGCTGCTTCTGAGCACAGTATACAACCAGGGCTATGACCCGGTGGCCCTGTGGATACTGTGGTTGCCCAGAAGGCTCTGATGGTTACAGGAGACACTTTCTACCATCCTATCACCACCACATCCACTTTCCAACAAAGAAGCCGTCCACCCGGCCCAGAAGGGGCTCCTGGTGCCCCTGGTTCTGTGGGATCAGGTTCTCCCAGACAATAAGAAGCTCACTAAGACACGGCCTCCTTCAGTTAAGAGCAGAGACGAGATAACAGCCAGGGCTGGTCAAAGGAGACCGTGATCAAGCTTGGTGCATCCTGGTCCCAAGAGAGGGAACTGCAGAGGGGAGGAGGCAGGGAGGCCGAGACGCCATCGTCCTCCGCCAGAGGGAACATGGGCTGCCCCAGGGCGTCCCCTGACACACGTGCAGAGCTGGGTCTCATGAAAGTGGCATCCTGCCTGTGACCTCCCCACCAGCCTGCCCTGCCTGCCCTCTGCAGGATCCAGGCCTTTCCCCATGCCAGCTTCCTCCTCCTTCCCCACCCTCCCTGTTGAAGTCTAACCTCCCTGCACGTAGGAGGCAGACTTGCCTAGAGAACCTCCGCTCGGCCTCCGACAGCGCAACCACGCCTCCCCTCGCCCCAGCACGCAGTCTCATTCAGGTTGTACTTCTGTGTTGTTTTCCGCCCCTGCCACCCATGCTGTATGCCAGCCCTGGACTCCCCTCTCTTTGTTTCCAAAGATGATGGCATAGAGGAGCTGTTAAAAAATTGTGAGTCACAGTCATGTCCACATCACCATCTTGATAAGATGTCCTGAAATACAGCCCGATGCAGATGCCCCTAGCCTCATGCGGCCCTGAGGGCACCACACAGCTCAATGGCTGGGTCTTCCTAGCGCAGAGGGTAGCTCACTGCTTGCACCTGTGAGGCCTGGCTGCAAGTCCCACCCAGTACTAGGCTGGCCTCTGGGACTCTGCAGTCGGCCTCCCCACAAACAGCCCTGGCGCCCCAGCCATGGCGCGTACCTGGGACACGGAGCTGCTGTGCCCGTAGTGAGATGACAGGCCAGGCTCCGTCTTGATGGGACGCATCTCCTCGCTGCTGCTGGTGGTGGCGTTGCTGGAGTTGCTGGAAGCACCGCTGGCGGGAGGAAGGCTCTCACTGCCTGAAGGAGCTGGAATGAAGCAGAGTCAGCACACCCAAATCAGCGGCAGGGACAAACGAACAGCCGGCAGCCTGCGAGACAGCCGGGATGGGTGCAAGCTAATGGCTTTATCTACATTTGCCGGGGACAGCAGCAGAGGTCCTTATCTGCGGAGGGCTACAGTTCTCACAGGGATGGCTTCTTCCCCCTATCTCATCTCAAACCCTTGAGGCCACGTGTGTTTCAGGCTTCAAAACTTTTTAAAAAAAGATTCTTCCTCATTCAACTTGAAGATTCACATTTTTAAAAATCCAAATACTGTGTATTATTACAGAATACCTCCAGCAGGGCCTGAGATAATCCTCTGTAATGAAATACAATAATATCCCCACAGCAAAACACGTGAATATCATACTGAATGGAGTAAACAGAGACTATCAACAGCCTAGTGTCTGTTCAAAATAGGTTTTGCTGCCGAATCTTGCTTCCTGGATTTGGAATTTTGGACTGGGAATCGTGCGCCTGAACCGTATGTCTTCTCTATCTGTGATTGCTACGTGAGAGGAAATAAGGTTACCCAGGGGACATAGGGGACTCGTCAGCAGTAGGGAAGCAGGAGGAGAGGTGGAAGACCACAGGTGTGAGACACTGAAAATTCCAGTAGGAAATATGCCTGCCAGAAGGGATAAGCCATGGTTGAATGTACAAAAGCAGAACTTTGATCATGTTCTTGGTAGTGGAAAGGGCCCATTTATCTGACTCTGTCATGCCTTAGGTTAGAAGATAAATTTTTCGTCAGATCAGCCAATTCATTTTCTCTGTGACTGCAGCACCGACCAGTCAAATCTTTAACTGGGTAGCAGTACTGAGTGAGGAATGTTTTGGTAGGGAACATAAACGTATTAAAGAACAGCCGTTGTTCTGTCAGAAATTTATATATAATTTTATAAATAAATCTAATTTAAATTTAATAAATAGTTAATATATTTATTAAAAATAAATTTAAAAAAGAACAGCCCTCGTTCTTTTTAAATGTATTTCTTTTTTTTTTTTTTAAAGACAGGGTCTTGCTCTGCTCTCCAGGCTGAAGTGCAGTGGCACGATCATAGGTCACTGCAGCCTCAAACTTTTGAGCAGCCCTTATTCTTAATCTAGAAATTAAGAAGGCAGAGTGGTATATTGAAGAGAACATTGACCCAGAAGCAGAAAAACTTGGGTTTTAATTCTCTACCCATTAACAGCTGTATGACCCTCGTTAAATCATTGTCCTCTATGAGCCTCAGTTTGCTTGTTAGTAAAATGGGGTCATAAACTGGTTCTCATGGAGTCTTACTTTCATGGAGATAATATTTCTGAAGGGGCTTTCTAAAGCACAAAGCACTGCATGATGTTAATTATACATTGGCTTAGAGATCAATCTGTTAGGGACATGATTAATTGGACCCTGCCCTCCTGGATCCCCGTTAGCCCAAAGAGAATTGAAAGGAACTGAGCTTTTGGGTGGCTGCAGCGCCAAAGATGAAAGGACCGAGTAAAGTTCCTCTTTCCTGCAGGACCTCGGCTGGTCCAGCCTGAGCACTGGGTCTTTGCAGTCGGCAATGATCAGGCCCCAGCTTGAGTTGAGCCTGCTTTGAAAGCTCCCAACACGTTCCATGGCAATTGTTACTTTTTTGCTGGGCTCTTCATCCTGTCCTGAAAGGCCAGGGATGTCCGATGCTGTCACCACCCCCTGGCGGCCCGGGCTGGCCTGCCTAACCCGGAAGATATGATTCTTAGGCACTCTGAGGGCTCCTGATGTACTCATATAATCACTCACAGATCTTTTCCTCACCTGCTGGTGTCTTAGATTTATTCAGGTTCTTGGGCTTCCGTTTTCTGGTTTGGATCCCCTCTTTCCGCATTGCAAGAGGCCTGGGGACCTGGAGGGTCACAAGTAAATATATAGGGTTTTCCATTTCTGCGTAGTCTGCTACAGCATTGAAAGACACACACCTGCTGCGAGAAGGCAACACCTAAGCAATCTCTCCACAAAGCCTGGGGCCCAGACGGGCTGCACAGGCCCCTGGAACTCAGCGAGAAAGAAATCAATTCCATTTTTAAAAAACTTATCGAGCACCTGTGTGATGTGATGGCTACTTTACTAGAGCCTGGAGAATAGGGAACTAAAGACACACAGCTCCTACCCTCAGAAATTCACAGACAAGGAGAAATAACCAGACTCTGGTCGGTGATGTAAAAAGACAGAGAAACACTAAACTCTGTCCTGGGGTGAGGAGTGGGAAGGAGGGGCACGTGAGGATATCAAGGAAGGCTTCAGTGTGGAGGTGACACCTGAGTTTGTAAAAGGTTTTGAGTAGACAGAGGCAGGCATTTCAGGCAGCAGAGACAGACTGTTCAAAAGCCTTTATCATCCACACAAGGACCCTGAAAACAAAAAGTGGGTGCTAGGCCAGGCACAGTGGCTCATGCCTGTAATCCCAGCACTTTGGGTGGCCGAGGTGGGAGGACTGCTTGAGCCCAGGAGTTCGAGACCATCCTTGGCAACATAGTGAGACCCCATCTCTACAAAAAAGTTTTAAAATTAGCTGGGCACGGTGCTGCATGCCTGTAGTCCCAGCTACTCAGAAGGCTGAGATAGGAGGATCCCTTGAACCCAGGAAGTCGAGGCTCCAGCAAGCCGTGATCGTGCCACTGCACTCCAGCCTGGGTGGTGGAGCAAGGCCCTATCTTCAAAAGGTGTGAGGGTGCAGGGGTGCTATCAATTATTGTGCTGGGAAAATTGGCCTCAACAGCAACAGTCCCAGTGAGTTGAGATGTAACATCACTCTACTTATTGCAGCTCTGTACTGCATTGGGTCTGGCTGGAGCCATTGGTGCTTCTGTGAATGGTGGGGAGCAGTAAGAGACTATGCTAGAGACTGCCCTGTGACCAGGTTCTGAGATAAAATGTCCCTGGACAACACTTTGACCACAGTTCTGTTGGGAGGCAGGCCCCAGAGCCATTCACAGATGCCTAAGCCAGTCCTGGGGAGCAGGACTGCAGGGTGCCTTCCCCACATCTGGTTTCTCTTAGGCTGAGCCAAATCTTTTAGCCCCTTTTCTATGCTGTGCTTGTCTACCATGTGGGATTGATAAAGGCCACACCTGCAAATACAGAAAGAAAAGCAATTACTGCTTCAGAGACATGAACACGCAATGGTTAAGCGAGAAATGCACCAGCATATGTGAACTTGAACTGGCCTCCTATTTAACTGTGGGTAGATGGGGTGGCACTTGCACCCCCCGACCCCACCATCTGCACATCTCTCTGTGACTCTACACCCAGACCCCTATTTCCCACCTTGTGGAAGGGTGTCCTCCCCCACCCCATCCCCCTAGCTATGCCTCAAATGTTCAAACCCATTCTGGCCTCAGAAGAATCTCCCCCTCACGTTAATCTCCATTCACTTAGGTATGCTTTTTTTTTTTCAGTTGCAGTAAAATGAAACACACCTAACTTAAAATTTACCATCTGAACCATTCTGAAGTATATTGCTCTGTAGTGTTAAGCGCATTCACACCGTTCTGCAAGCCTGACCACCATCCCCAGAACTCTTCTCATCTTGCAAAACTCAAACTCCATACCCATTAAACATCACTCCTCATTCCCCCTTTCCCTAGCCCCCGACAGCCTCCATTCTACTTTCTGTCTCTATGGATTTGACATGTGGTGTCAGGGGCCAGAATTCCCTTCCTTTTAAAGGCTGAGTAATATCCTACGTGTATGTATATCACACTGTGTTTATCCATTCATTTCTCCATGGACACTTGGGTTGTTTACATCTTTCTGCAATTGTGAATCATGCTGCTATAAACAGCAGTGTACAAATAGCTCTTTGAGGCCCTGCCTTTAATTATTTTGGGTATATATCCAGAAATGGTACGCTGGATCATGTGGTAATTCTATTTTTTTATTTTCTGAGAATATAATCTTTTTAATACCTATATAATATTTCCCAATAAGTTTCTTGTACCATTCCCATATTGAAGAACAATAGTTTAACCATTTTCCTTCCAAAGGTTTTCTTTCCTCCATTTTTGCTATTACAGTGATTAACAAACATCCTTGTATACATGCTTTGTAGAAATATTTTCTTATGAATGTTCATAACTTTAGCCATTTGCTTGTTCATTATAACAAGAAATCATGAAAAGATACATGAGACTAAGTTAACAACAGCCCTCTCACTCTACTACCGTCAATCCTATCCCAGTGAGGCAAATGGATTTAACAGCCTGTTATATATTCTTACATTTAAAAAAATTCTCAAACATCTGTACACATATATATCTATTGACTTGGTTTGGCTGTGTCCCCACCAAAATCTCATCTTGAATTGTAGCTCCCATAATTCCCACATGTTGTGGGACCGACCTGATGGGAGATAACTGAGTCACAGGGGCGGTTTCTCCCATACTGTTCTCACTATAGTGAGTAAATCTCATGAGAGCTGATGGTTTTATAAGGGGAAACCCCTTTTGCTTGGCTCTCATTCTCTCTTGCCTGCTGCCATGTAAGACGTGCCTTTCACCTTCCGCCATGATTGTGAGGCCTCCCCAGCGATGTGGAACTGTGAGTCCATTAAGCCACTTTTTAATTTTGGGTATGTCTTTATCAGCAGTGTGAAAACAGACTAATACACCTATACGTGTATATTTGTGTGTGTGTGTTCACCCATCCACTGGTCTGTCCACCCATCCATATGTATGTCTGTTTAATGCACCTTCGACACTCATAGTATGGGGTCATGCTACATATATTTCTTTGCAATGTGCTTTTTCATTTTCTAGATCAAGATACATGGCCCTAGATTATTATTTTTAAGTTTCTTCTCAATATTCCACATTTTGGGATATAGCAGAATTTTTTCAACCATTCCTTTATGGGGTTTTAAGGTTGTTTCTAGTTTTTGCCACCACAAACAATGCAGCAATAAATGGTTCAAAGGTCATCATGTACTGGTTATTTTTTATAGGCTAGTTTCCCAACAGTAGACCTGCCAGATATAATGGTGTTCATGGTTTCAACCTTAAAAAATACCACTAAGTTAATAGATGCAGTAATTCAAATACAGATCAATAATATATGAGAGTATCTAATTCCCCAAATCCATAGCAGCAAACACTTTAATTTTTGCCAAGTATATGGGCAAACTAGGGACTTTCATGGTCATTTTCAGGTACATTTCTCTGATTTTTAGTGAGATTCAGCATATGTGCACATGTTTCATGGCTATCTGGGCAGCTTCTGTGAGATGTCAGTCCATATCTTTTGCCCATTTGGGGGAAGTGGGGAAAGATCAATTGTTCTTTTCTTATTAGGCTACAAGACCTATCTGTTTCTGGTTTGGTTTGGTTTTAATTTAACTTGTATTTGAACAATTAAGACTTGCATATGTCCCGTCTAAGGTACCAAGGGGGTACACAGCAAAAAGAGTGTCCTTCCAATCCCTTCTCCCCGGGACCCCAGTTTTTCTCCTGGAGGCACCCCATGTACGTATATATGCATACATGTGACCATGTGACCAATCTCTACATATCCTACCAGAGGTGTTCTGTATATGTGGAAGCAACCACCTATAAATTATATTCTTCCTCATATTTATAAAAATAGTGCCATAGTAGGTAGTGTTGGGCACCTTGCCTTTTTGTTAATATTGTATAATGGAGAATGTTCCAATAAAAATTAAAGAGCTTTGTAGAAGCTCCTTGTAATTCTGGAAATATTAACCCTTTTTCTGATACTGTGTGTATTGGTCTTTACTTTCCCTAGGTATCATTTCCAGGCACAAACAGTAAATATTTACAAAATCAAATATATCTAACTATTCTTATATGGCTAAAAAGTTTTAAAATCTTGTTTAAGAAGTTCTCCCATCCCCAAAGTTATATAAATACTTTCCCTTACATTTTCTTCCAGTGTTTTTATTGTCTGATTTTCTTTGCAGTATTTTATTATCTAATATTTTTATTTTTTTGGAGACAGGGTCTCACTTTGTCACTCAGGCTGGAGTGCAGTGGGACAATCAGAGCTCACTGCAGCCTCAAACTCCTGAGCTCAAGCCATCCTCCTACCTCAGACTCCTGAGTAGCTGGGACTAGAGGCATGCACCACCATGCCCAGCTAGATTTTTTTTTTTTTTTTTTTTTTTTTTTAGTAGAGACAAAGTTTCACCATGTTGTCCAGGTTGGTTTTGAAATCCTGAGCTCATGCAATCCTTCTGCCTCAGCCTCCCAAAGTGCTGCAATTACAGGCATGAGTCATGATGCCTGGCCTTACTTTTAGTTTATTTCAAAGATGTTTTACATGTAATATCCTTAATTCACCCAAGTTTATTTTTGTTTAAGGTAGGAGGTAGAGGTCATGCTTTCCTTCTGTTTTCCAAATGAACAGCCAATTTTGTCAATACAACTATCCTTAAGCTTCTTATCCACTGAATCGAAACGTCACCTTTGTTACACATCAAACTGCTACATATAAATGTAGCCTGCTCATCTGTAAAACGGAAAATTCACTTATACAATGTAAAGGACGGAAGAGGCCAGCAAAGTAGTTGAAAGCCCCTTCCAAATCTAAGTCTCTTTGTTAAGAAGGAAAAATGAATGCTAGTACAAAGGAAGAAGACAAGGGAGGACTGAGAGATGGGCATCAGAAGGCAAGGATGCCGCATGGGCGCAGGACCCACGTACCCCGTGGAGCTTCATGTAGAGGCCGCAGGCATTGCACACAGGCTCGCCCTCCGCATTGCGGCGCCACAGCGTGGTGGTGGTGGTCTGGCAGTTGGCACAGGAGAGGCCCACTCGGCGGGAGGCGGACTGCAAGACAGGAAACAAATGCTTCATGTCCAAGTAAAAGGTGTGCACTGCCCTTCCACCTCGCGTGTGGCTGCGGAGCTGGGCCTCCCTAACGGGAGGCAGGGCTGGGCCCTAACGACCCTGCATGAGATCTCTGACCTGTGACGGCACCTAACTCTCCTGTCACCTGCGCCACTGCGAGGAATAAATCAGAACAAGGTTTCTGCTGCCCGAGGAGAGCGAACGTGGGCATCGAGACCTGGTTTCCAGTCCTAACCATCATTCACCGTCAGGCGAATAACCAGTGAGCGCCGGGCACTGCCGGCAGGAAAGCTTCTCCTGAGAGGAGAACTGACCGGGGCTGCAGGTGCCGGGGGCAGGCAGAGAGTGAGGAATCACGGTGTCCAAATGGTATCAAAGTCTGAATGGCCCTGGGACCTCAAGAAAGGGAGGCACCAGGTTTATCCCCTCTGTTCTTCCCTCCTTAATATAGTGCAAGCTGGTTGGTGTTGACCAGAATCAAATTATATTAAAAAGGAGCAGGAAGCCAGGAGCCAAGCCCCAGGCCCAAACTCTTCCCTAGCCACGGGGCCCAACACAAGCTGCTTGCACTTCTGGGCTTTGGGATTTATCAACTGATCAACTGAGGTCAGGGTAGAGACCAGCCTCTGAGGTGACCTTCCTTGCAGGGTTGGTGTGGGTGGAGGAGACACTCCAGTCAACACTGGACTGGGAACCAGGAAACCTGGATTCTGGTTCCAGAGTTCTAGATGGGAGACTCAGTACCTGAGTGGCTGTGGGCAAGGCCACTAGCTTTTCTGAGCCTCACTTTCAGTTTCTGTGTGCCGAAGAGGTTGAACTAGACAGCCTGGATCATTCTGGTGGCTCCAGCTAACTCTAAAGTTGTGAGAATTATTATGGGGCTCTCACCCACGTAATCCCCGATGCACACCCTCAAGTTCCAAAATTCAAAACCAGAGGATGTCCCACCAAGGCGAGAGCTCCGCAGCCAGGTGCCCAGAGGAGGCTGCGAGGCACGTGCTTACCAGCCGGCGCTGAGGCTTGATGAGCGGCCGGTTGATGCCGTTCATCTTGTGGTAGAGGCCGCAGGCGTTGCACAGATAGTGACCCGTCCCATCTCGCCTCCAGAGCGGGGTGGACATAGCCCCACAGTTGACACACTCTCTGCCTTCTGAGAAGTCGTCAAACATATCTACTGAGTTGGGGGGAACAGACAAGAAAAGACACAGAGGATTAATTCTTTGTTTATGCCCAGCTCTCACATCTGAGAATCTAGAGCGCACAGAAACAATGCCCTTTCCTTGGAAAGAGAAGACCACCTCGGGCTGCTCTTGCTCTTCCTCACTCTGACTTCAGCCCCTGCTCCCTAATCCCAGACACTGAGAGTTCCCCTGAGCACGAGAAGAGGAAAAAGTTGCAGTGATCACCCACGTCCTGGGCTGGGAGGCGGGACACCTGGATTTCAGTGCAGGTATCACATTCAGAGCCTCCAGCCCTAGGCCTCTCACCTCACACTGAGGTCCACGCAAACCTTGCTCTCTCTTTTTCCCTTTCAAAGTTAGTAAGATTACTTTTCCTTTTGCATAAAGATATAATAAATATTTACCTTAGGAAAATTAGTGCCAAAATATATAAAGAAAATCCAGATTGTCACTAATGTTTTGAGCATTTGGTTCTATTGTATCCTTTGTAAGACTGTATTTATTTTATTCTTTTTATTAGAGACAGGGTCACTCTGTCACCCAGGCTGGAGTACAGTGGTGCAGTCATAACTCAGTCCAGCCTTGAACCCCTGGGCTCAAGCGATACTCCAGCCTCAGCCTCCCAAAGTGCTGAGACTACATGCATGAGCCACTGTGCCCAGCCCTTTGTGAGACTTCTTTTCTCTTTTTGAGACGGAGTTTCACTCTTGTTGCCCAGGCTAGAGTGCAATGGTGCGATCTCAGCTCACTGCAACCTCTGCCTCCCACGTTCACGCGATTCTCCTGCCTCAGCCTCCGAAGTAGCTAGGATTACAGGCATGCGCCACCACACACGGCTAATTTTGTGCTTTTAGTAGAGACGGGGTTTCATCAGGCTGGTCTCAAACTCCTGACCTCAAATGGTCCACCCGCCTCAGCCTCCCAAAGTACTGGGTGAGTACACCACACCCGGCCTTGTGAGACTTTCATATGTTGATCCATATTTTTGCCAAGCTATATAATTCTGAGTCTGTGTGGGTCGTTTGCTTAATACCAAAACATTTTCCCAATGACAAATTCTTTATAAACTCATTTTATAAAATTCTTTATACACTCATATACCATTGTTCCATCATATAAAGGTGCCATCATTTAACTAGTATCATTCAGCTATTAATCTTCATCCAGTTTTGGATTCTTGTTTCATAAACACTGCTCCTTACTTAAGTCTGTGCATTTCTAGTTATTCCTTAAGATACTCTCTGAGAAGTAGAATTTCTGAGTCAAAGGCACTAAATTTCTTTTTCAGTTCTTGGAATTTGCTAACTGTCCTGCAAAAAAAGCTTCATTCATTCATTTTTTCTGTTTTAATATACCTGTATGGGCTGCCATATCATAGTTGGACATTTTTCTTGCTTATTGGTATATAAAATAAAGGTGCATATTATAAGCAATGGCACTTTAGAGCTGCTCACATAAGCGTAGCATCTCCCCAGCTACCACAAGGCTGCCGGGGTCTGCCGCTCCCTTCACTCGCTCACCCCTCCCCGCCATCACCTTTATCATCCATGTCTACAGAATGTTACAATTGACAGATTCCACCTGTGTCCATTCTCCTCACCCTCGTGAGACAGGCTGGGCCAGTTTTCTTGCTCCCCGTAGTCTCTATAAAGCCTGGCTCACCATCTCCAGAAGTCTCTCTGACTTCATGTTATCCTAATTTGCTGTCCCAAAACACATCTACCTTGGTCTCCAGATTCTTCCTATGCTGCTGCCAGAGGCAAGGGCAGATTTTTCTCTAGTGAAGAGGGGTGCTTTTATTGAGTTGGGAGGACAGGTGGTAAAGAGCTCTCTTTCCAACAGGACCCAGCTCGGGAGTGGGTTGAGGTTGCGCATTTTGCTAGTTATGTGGCCCAGCTACTTGCTCTAGGGGAATGTGGGCCAGAGAAGAGGATGGTGGGGGGCCCTCCCCACAACTCTGGGTACACAAACAGTCATTTGCACCTGCAAACAGGTAGCTGTGTGTCCACACCAAGTAAACAGTGTGCAGGTGTAAGGGGCTATTTGCTCAGGCCAGGGAGCGGAGCACAGGCGTCACAGCAGAGGCTATTTTTACACCTGGGTCACACTGACAGCCTCCACCAAGGTCGCCTGCCCTCAGAGCCGCCCATGAGATGCGGCCACTCCCGCCCATAGCTTGCTCCCAGCTGGACCACCACAATCAACACTACTGTTGCCACCTCTACAGTCCGTGCCTATGGGCTGTCAGCCCCGCTTCTTTCATCCAGGCCTGCCCATGAGGGGATTAAAGAGGCCAGGAATTTACAGAAGGACATTAGACCAAGCCCACTCCACAGCAAGAGGCGGGCGCGGGCAACGTCGTCGTTTTGTTGGGTGTTCGCAATAAACACTAGGTGGCGCTACCATCTCAAAATTGAACCAAGACACGCGGTCTAGCCTGAATCGCACTTGGACATAGAGGCCTTGTAAGATCACCTTTCCATTCCAAACCTAGTGCAACCCTCCCATTCTGGTTTCCTTTTTTATTTTATTTTGCTCTTTAGAGACCGGGTTCACTCTCACCCAAGCCGGAGTGTAGTGGTGCAATCACAGCTCACTGCAGCCACCAACTCCTGGCCTCAAGAGATACTCCTGCCTCAGTCTATTTTACTTTTTCTATCTTTTTTTTTCCTTTTTTTTTTGAGACAGAGTCTCACTCTGTCACCCAGGCTGCAGTGCAGTGGGCATTGCAACCTCTAGCTTCCTTAGAACCTGGGACCACAGGCACACGCTACCATCCCCAGCTAATTTTTGTAGAGACAAGGTTTCACTGTGTTGCCCAGGCTGGTCTCAAATTCCTGGGTTCAAGTGATCCTCCTGCCTCGGCCTCCCAAAATGCTGGGATTACAGGCATAAGCCACTGCACCCAGCCCTATTTTTCTTTATTATGAAAAAATTTAAACATATTCAGAAGGGGACAGAATATGAAAACGAACTCTTAACTATCATCCAGCTTCCAATCATTTGTGGTCAATCTTGTCTTACCTGTACCTCCATTCACTTTCCCCCACATTGTGTTACTGAAGAAAATCCCAGACTTCTATTATTTTATTCATAAATATCTCAGTATGTTCCTCTAACAGATAGAGTCACACTCCTAAAAATAAGCAAACTGGCCTCTCTCCTACATTCTGGTTCATTTAAGTGAAAAACATCTCATAATGTGTTCCTCTTGTTCGGAGGGGAGATTCTCTTTTCTCCTCACAATTATTGTTTTATATGCAGGAATGGAGTCTTTTTTTTCTTTTTCCCACACTACACTGATGTAAAGAAAAACTTTTTGTGAGACAGGGTCTCACTCTGTCCCCCAGGCTGGAGTACAGTGCTGCGATCTCGGCTCACTGCAGCCTCAACCTCCTAGGCTCAAGCAATCCTCCCACCTCAGCCTCCCAAGTATCTGGGACTACAGGTGCATGCTGCCATGCCTTGCTAATTTTTTTTTTTTTTTTTTTTTTTTTTGGTAGAGACAAGCTCTCACTGTGTTGTACAGACTGGTCTTGAACTCCTAAGCTCAAGCGATCCTCCCACCTCAGCCTTCCAAAGTTCTGGGATTATGGGCGTGAGCCACCATGTCCACCCCAGAACTGTGCCCACCCCAGAATCTTATTAAAGGACGCAGGAATCCCTGGAGCGTGATCTCAGCTGCCGACTCACCTCTGGCTGCCTTGAGAGCCCAACACACAGGTGTGCCTCAGCAGCTCCTGCAGGCTCACCTCAAAGTTGGGTTATGCATTCAAGCAATTATTTTACTGTCCAGGTAAAGTCACTGGAGGTTGCCAAGTATGTATTTGCCACCAACAAATATTTACTGAGCATCTGCTATTTAATCACTCTGATAGATGTCACAGGAGCTAGGAGGGAACCCAGGTCTCAGAGTGCTAATGATCTATTTGGACAAATTGGATTTGAATATCAATAATGACTAATAATATTAGTTCATTTTTAGAACACACCCTCAGCAGAGTGGGGGACTCATGGCAGACCCTAATTGTCTAGGGCAGAAAGTGTGGAATTCCCACCAGCATAGAAGTCCCATTGCGATAGAAGGGTCAGGGGTTACCAAAACAGCCAAAGTAAAGGCTATGCTTCCTAAAGACATCCAATAGTCAACCTCCTACACCTCCAAATCGGCAGAAGTTTCCATATTTCCAACCACAAAATCCTGCCATCCAACCTGCTCCATGAAATGTTACACATATTTTTAAACAATTATTACCAAAACAAGGTAACCATAGAGGAAAACGTTGGCCCTACAATGTTAAATCACAAACACAGCACTAACTAAGTCCCAAACTAGCACTGACATCTGGTATGAACCTCGGTAAGCACCACTTCTCATTCCTTCCTACGAAAGGCACTGAGAGGAACTTCCCTGGGGGCAAGAGTGATTCCGAAGCCAGGGGGCACAGCTGTGGCCTCGGATGCAGCCCCTCCCACCCAGTGCTGGCATCCCGGGAACTCCTCCAGCCACTTGGAAGGCATCACCCACGTTTGGAGGAAAGACTTGTAATAATAGTTGTAAAGTACTTTGCAAATGAGAGGAAAAACTTACAACAATGGCTGTAAAGTGCTTTGCAAACATCAAATGAGATAACAATGATGGATTATTGTTAGGAGGCTGAAGTTGGAGGGGTCAGGAGGGAGTGGGAAAGACCAGGACAAACTTTGGCGCTGGTTATTGGAGGAGGGGAGGACAGATAAAAGAGCTAGGAGACTGGGGAATCTGACCTTTCTTAAACCACTGGGGCTATACTCAGAATTGTCTGTGCTCTCAGCGGTCAGGTTTGAGACTGCAAGCCAGGAACCAACTGACAGCAAGGCTGACCGCGTTCACTTGTACTCAGTCTCCAAGTTGCTTCTCATGGGAAGTATTAATTAATGATTAGTTTAGCAATGAAAAGCACAAAATAAATTTTGTCCTAACTCCAAGGATGGGGATCTCACTCTTCACTTCCTCCCATACCTTGCTAAAAAAAGTTTTTTTTAAAGAGGAAACAAAGTCTGATAGTCTGATTTCTCAGCGAGCCGGTGCAGTATGGATATTCCTATCAATTAAACAAGCTGCTCCCACCCTAGTGCCTGAAAGAAGAATGCAGGCCAGGAGGTTGAAACATCCCACCCCTGACTTCCCTACAAAGAACTGACGCAGCCAGAGGCAAAGACACCGACCTCTCCTCTCCTCTGACCTGCTCCATCCATCTTGGGGAACCCACCCACCCCAACAAGGGGAGGCCAGTCAGGGCGGGGAGAGGGAAGGCACGGGAGGAAGAAAGGGAGAGGAATCAGAGGCCAGGGTCACGGTTCCGCTCTCCACTCCCTCCCCTGGGCACTGCTGGCCGCTGGGGAGACAGCTCAGGCCACTGCTGCCGCCCCATCGGCGCCACAGAGCCTGGTCTGCTCTCCTGCAGATGCTCCCCTCAGACTTCCACCTGCTGGGGAGAGCTGGTGTTGAGCCCCAGCCTGTGTTGGAAGACCCTCACCCTCATGCCTGGAGGCAGAGTTGATGGGTCTCAGCCCCTTCACAGCAATGCCTGAAACTCAAATATCTGCCATGCGTCTGTATACGCGCCCCTGTCCAAGTGCTAGACGTAACGAACATGTTGGCAAAATCCATGCTAACTCCTTGCCCAAAGTTGTTTTGGTCTAGCTGGGGATGCACAACTCAAAAATAATCACTACCTTTGTGATGACAAACGGCAGTGGGCCTGGGCCTCACAGTGGTGCCCAGCCCACCACCTCCAGCTTCAGATCTTCAGCATCCTGGACGTTCAGGGAGAGACACGTCAACAGTGGAAAGGGCCCGTGCCCGGGGCAGCTGGGCAGTGCTACACAAGAGGGGCCAGAGGGGGCCAAGGAGATACAACACAGAAGGCTTTCTTGGAAAGGGCCAGACCCCAGCCCAGACTGGGCAGGAGGGGAGGGACCTGCCCAGAAACCGTTCCCTGGGAACCAAAGGGGCTTCAGAGCAAAGTCTCAGCCCCACCCAAATGTCCCTTGCTGAACCCCAGGCCCATGTCCCATCCAGAGTTCACCAGAGATGGAGCCTGGATTTCCCGACAGGCCCGGATCTGTCCCTGCGGCTGGCGCCTGGGTGTGGGGCACGAGGCCCAAACAAAGCCTGAGGTTTTCCTGGCAGCTCTTGAGCCGTGGGTCTTCTGGGCTTCGTCAGGCTCGGCAGATGCCTGTGACAGGAGGCTGTCACGGGGAGGCCCACACAGCTCCAGCGGCGCTCCGGCCGGGGATGAAATCACCTATTTTGGAAGCTCCTGCAGCTGCTGAACAGAGGCGGTTACCAGTTACCGCCCACCTTGCAGTCACCCCACAGAGTCCAAGGCCTCTGCTTCTGACCCTTATAAAGGACAAGAACCCAGGACGTCAGCTGGCTGGAGTGACAGAATGTGACTCAGTTTTGTTTTGTTTTGTTTTTCCTAAATCACAAACAGGCAAGGACATTGTGAAAGGGAAAGGAAAAAAAAAAAAAAAAAAACACCAAAAACAAGAACGGAGGGAGGGGGGAACGTAGAGAGATAGAGGAGGAAGAGGTTGAAGAACAAATGATAGGGGAAAATACACCCGCTCATATGCAAAGAGGTTTTACAAATGACAAAGAGAAAGATGAGCGTGAAGGCTGTAACAGGCAACCACACCTGTCACTGGAGGAACTGTGGAAAGACTCAAGCCCCTGACACCCTGGGCCCCAGCGGCTCCTCCCTGGAGGTCTAAGAACTCCCAGCACCTCCACACCTGCCTGGTCTGTGCTCATAGTAGGGTGAGCGTGGGAGGCTGGTCCAGGAGAGGATGGCAATGGAGGAAAGTTCATGAGCTTTAGAGAACAGATCCTGCCCAGGGCCACAGAGCTAATCAACAGCAAAGTGGGATCGAACCCAGGCTGGGCAGTCAGTCTCTTAACCGCAGGCCAGCGTCCCACCAGCGCTGCCCACAGATGCCTTGGCCATCCCTGACCCCTTCCCCAGCGGCAAAAGCTGGCAGCAGATGGAAAATCAGTCTCAATTTGGCCTGAGAGCAGCAAGGGCTGCAGGAGTTCAGAGCGCAAGCATGCTGTTTTCCCATCTTGTCTGATCTCAGAAACTTCCCAACATCTCTGTCTCAATGCTTCTCAGCTCACCCACTTGGGAAACGCTTCCTGGCCTTCATCATTGTCAAGATTAGATTTTGAGACCTTCGAGAACCCCTCCATGTGGGCCTATAATTACAGCATAAAGATTTCCCCATAAAATGCAGGATCAGTTGCTGGCTCCAGGAGAAATGTAGGATGCTTCTGAATTCAAATCTGAGCCTCTGCAATCACAATGCCATAGAGCTAAGTCCGCGAACTTGTGGACTGTTGCATTGCTCTCACAGGGACTTTTTTTGTTTGTTTTTTTTTTTCAATGGGGTCTTGCTCTGTCACCCAGGCTGGAGTCCAGCAGCTCAGTCATAGCTAATTGCAGCCTTGACTTCGCGGCCCCAGGCGATCCTCCTGCCTGAACCTCCTGAGTAGCTGGGACTACAGTTGCACACCACCACGCTCAGCTAATTTTTCTAGCATTTTGTAGAGATGGGGTCTCACTATGTTGCCCAGGCTGATCTTGAACTCCTGAGTTCAAGCAATCCTCCCGCCTCAGCCTCCCAAAGTATTGGTATTACAGGCATGAGCCACCACTTCTGGCCACAAGCACTTTCTTGAAACAAGTGAAACAAAAGTATGGTGGTGAATAAGACTTCATTTGCTGCATCTCGACACTAAACATGCAGACTCCCAGAAAATGGTCACCATGGCCCCTTCCCACCAGAGAACCGCAGGCTGGGATACCATTTTAAAAACAGGCAAAGGGTCAGGTGTGGTGGCTCATGCCTGTAATCGCAGCACTTTGGGAGGCCGAAGCGGATGGAACACTTGAGGTCAGGAGTTCAAGGCCAGCCTGGCCAACATGGTGAAAGCCTGTCTCTACTAAAAATATAAAAAGTAGGTGGGCATGTTGGTGCACGCCTGTAATTCCAGCTACTCGGGAGGCTGAGGCAGGAGAATTGCTCGAACCCAGGAGGCAGAGGTTGCAGTGAGCCGTGATCATGCCACTGTACTACAGTCTGGGCGACAGAGTGAGACCGTGTCTCCAAAAAAAAAAAACGGAAAAGGAACAAAGAAAAGAAGGCAATACTGAAAGACTGCAGTGAGCTCTACATTTCTATTTGAAAACTCTCCCGAATGGCAGCATTTTGCCCCTATACCAATACATTTTTTACAAAGACTGTCTTGCCAGCTGTCACCCTCAGGTGAAAGAACTATGGAGTTTTCATGGGGGCCTCCATGTGGGAAGCTACGATCAGTCCCAGAGTGGAGGGGCCTGGGCCTCCCAGCTGCTGTGTTTGCAGGGACCCTGCCCAGCAGTCCCCACCCCGAAACCTGGGACAAGGTTCTCCTCTTTGTGCCGTCCGCCTCCCCGGATTAATATGGGAGCCCTGTGACCTACCATACAAAATGGGACACTTCTGAGGGGAGGGGGCATATTACTAATTATTCTGAAAGCACAGTCTTCACACCAGGGTGTGTGGCCACCCTCTGCAGACCTCACTGTGAGACCTGCATCCGTGACATGCTGATCCCTCCTCTCTGTGTCTCCCTAGTGTCCCGGCTGACAGGTAGTACGGCTGACTTGCCCCCTTCCAGAAAAGCCACACGCAGCATGCCAGGAAAGAGGCCAGGACAACGCATTGGGCACTGGGTCCTGCAGCTCCTGGGGCTTCCGGCTTCAGGCTCAGATACAACCAGGGGAGCCCTGGCTGGGGATCAGCACTTGAAAATATTTGCTCCTTCCTGGCCTCTGGGGACTGCATGCGAAGGGTGCCCCCGCCGCTGCTTCCCTGTCCACTGCCTTGTTGAGTCGGCTCTCTCTGCACATCCCCAGTCCTTCTGTGGGAGAGGCTGCGAGGGTCCAGGAGCAAGGGGCAGGTGGCACAGTGGTACAGTCTTAAAACCTGCAAGCTGGGTCTGGGCTATTTCGTGAATATCCATAAGAGAAAACCAAGGTGCAGAGCAGGCCGGGCAAGTGCCTCATCTGAGCTCCCAGTCCTCGCCTTCCGCACACGACAGAAACTCCGCACACGACAGAAGCTCCGCACACGACAGAAGCTCTGCACACAGAGCCATCGAGTTTCAACAAACCCAGTGCCTAGAGAGTCCCATGAGGCGGCCGAAATGACGATGGGACAGCGTCACTCCCAGGGCTCGGCTTCCGGCCAGCTGGGCTGCCCGGCCACTGAGATGCCATGTTCCTGGACACACAATATAATTCAGCTGTGAGAATTATCTATGCAGGGCCAGAAGTTTCCGTGTGTGTGTGTGTACACATACATGTGTGTATATAAAATCATATATGATGGATGTATATGGAAAATCACACCACGTTGCACTAAAAGCCAGCCCACTCTTGCTAGCAATAAAACTGCTCTAATAATTCACTGGAATAAACTTTTTTAAAGGGAAAATATCTATTTTTCAGGTATTCCTGCCAAATACTGGAAACAACCAAAACGCCCAATGGTAGAGGAATGAGTACAAAAACAAAGTTTCACCAAAGCCATACGGAAATTGGAGTTGGTTTATTACATGACAATTGGATAGACTATGTTCTTCAGATTTTCTCTTCCTGTAACATGGTTTAAATTAGTTAAATATGCAGTTAATTAAGCAAGCATCTCTGCCTAGGCACTGCAGGATTGGAGATGTTTATTTTCTTCAATTTCCTGGGATCCTCCTGGCCGGAAAGAAAAAGTACAAAGTACTTTTTCCACCTCGGTCCCAGCTGCCTCCCACCACAGTGGCAGCCCCATCTGGGCTCAGGCATCGCTGTGGCACCAACTGTTCCTCCCACTCTACAGAAAGAAAGGGAGAGGCCCTCCCTTCGGGGTACAGTCCCAGCCAGGGTAGAATGTACAGGAAGAGCTTTCCAGTCACGCTGTGGACAAAGTCTGGCACTGGTCCTGGATCCTCCAAGTCACTGTGTTGTGATGATGCCCCTCTCCAGGCTCCTCCCAGCTTGCCTCAGTCATAGTACTGTGCCCTGGGGTTGGGGGATGTGGGAAAGCAGACACCCTGGGCATTGATGGGAAGTGTGACATGCTACAGCCCCGCAGCCAGTGGGGAAAGCAATTTGGCAATATCTTATCAAAAGTATAAATGCATGTGTCACTTGATCCAGAAACTCCACTTTCAGGAATTTATCCTCCAGATGTACTTCTGTGTAAAATGGTTTATATACAAGGATATTCACTATGGCATGTCCTTCCATAGCAGAGGACTGGAAAAACAACTCTTACGTTCATCAATACCGGACTGGTTAATTCAATTAAGGCACACTATGTAGCCATAAACAATGATCTTGATGTACTGATATGGAATTCTTGTAGTATATGCTATGAAATATTAGAAGGCATGGACATTACATTGATATTCTCTTACAAAAAGAAGGGGAGAAGAATCTATACATGGATTTGTTTATATACAGAATGAACATTTTTAGGAGGACAGACAAGAAACTGATCATACTGGTTGTTTCCAGGGAGGTGTCTTGGTGGCTCACGGAAGGACTTCTCATTGTTTGCTGTTGTGTACCTTTTAAATACTCAACTATGTTTATGTTAATGTATTTCTTATTTGTGATAGTGATTTTTTTTTTTTTTTTTTGAGACAGAGTCTTGCTCTGTCACCCAGGCTAGAGTGCAATGGCATGATCTTGGCTCACTGCAACCTCCACCTCCCAGGCTCAAGCAATTCTCCTGCCTCAGCCTCCCCAAAAGCTGGGATTACAGGTATATACCATCACGCCTGGCTAATTTTTGTATTTTTAGCAGAGACAGGGTTTCACCATGTTGGTCAGGGTGGTCTTGAACTCCTGAGCCTAGGTGATCCGCCAGGCTCGGGCTCCCAAAGCACTGGGATTACAGGCGTGCGCCACCATAGCTGTCCTATGATTATTTTGCATGTTAAATAAAATACATAAATATGTCAGGGGCTAGCATCATCACTCTTTCATGCAGTAACATTTTTAATTTAAAGCTGGGCAGGTTCCATTTTCAGATTTTTCCATAAAAGCATCTTTTCTCCCACCTTCCTTTCCTACAAAAGCATCTTAATTCCCTAATGGGAAAATGGAACCCATTTCCCAAGTGGGTCCTCAGCTTTGCTGCACTCCTGAAGCTGTTGACCCGCTGTCATCTTTCACAGCACCCTAGCTCCTGTCCCAGCGAGCCCCAGCCTCAGCCCCAGGGAACCCTGGCCTGGCTTCTAATGCTGTGATATGGTCCTGGTTTCTTTTATTTATTAGGAAGATTGCAATGGAGCTTTGGCCAGAGGAGACTTAAGCTGGGCTAGTCTGGGCCATTTGACTCTGCAACCCCAGTTAGTAGCTGGCAGGACGGAAAGGGAATATTGAATAAATTGCCAGGGCAGCTCCCTCAGGGACCGAGACAATGGGTCTGCAGGGAGAGGCTTTTCCTTCCAGGCCCATGGCCTGCCGTCAGGAGGAAACAACTTCCCCTTCGCCTCTGGAATGGCAGCAGCAGCAGCCAGCTGGGAGATTTATGGAGATATAATGTGACCTCTTTATTGCCCTGAATGCTAGGGAGGCATTTCAGGGGAGATTTACGCCTTTCAGAAGAGGAGGCGAGCAAGGGTGTAGAAATTTATACGTGGGGACTGTTTTCCCCTCTCGGGGGTGTCTGGGGGATTACTTAATCAAACCGAGGTTAAGCTCCAATCGCCATCACTTTACATCTTTTTCTCCTGCTAATCCACCGAGTCACCCTGCTACCCTGAAAGCTTTTTGCATGAAATATGGAGTCTAAGCCAAGTTGCAAGGGATCTGTTTAGTTCTAAGTTCAGTTAACACAAAACAAAACAAAAAATAAGAATGAAGACCACATTACCAGGGCCAGGAGACAATGCCCTGCAGTCGTGGACCTGGGCAGCACACATTTTGCCTATATAGGCCTCAGATCTTCTTTGTAAAAGGAAGGTGTTAGACCAGATGACTTAGGTGCTTCCTAGTGTGAAAAGAATCTAGATAATATCAGATCAAATGCTAACGCTATACCTTACTCTGCACCAGTGATTCTTCTGTCACTTTTTTTTTAAGCTGCAGAACTCTTTCTTCAAAGAAAATCTAATCTGAGGAAGCCCAACATTAAAGACAGAGGAATGCAATTGACTGGGTGAAAGGGTGGCTCCGCCTTCTGCCCACCACTCCTCCAGGTCCACATCCACACCCCCCGGGGTCTTGACGAAGGTCCTCCAGCCTCTAGAGGGCGCCCTGGGCTGCAGAGTTCCTGCCAAGCGCTGCTCAGGGCTCTCCTGATGCAGTGAACGGGGTCCGCCCCTGGCTTCGCTATCAGAAGCCACGCAGACCAGACTTAAAGGCAGAGGCAGGGGCAATTCCAGACGCAAGTAGAGGTGGACGCCTTAGCCAACAGTCATTTCACCTCTCTTGGTCTGGTCTCCACAACTCAAAAGTGCAGTAGTTGGAACAGATGATTTCTAGGCTCCTACCTGTGAAAGCATTCAACGTGGCACTGCATTCTAACTCTCATTTATGTTTTTAGTCCCTGTCCCCTTCAATTTGTGTTTAAATTACGCAATTTTTAATTGCTACAAAAATTCAAACAGGCCAGGCATGGTGGCTCTGGCCTGTAATCCCAGCCCTTTGTGAGGTCGGAGTATGGCTTGAGCTCAGGAGTTCAATACCAGCCTGGGCAACATAGTAACACCACATCTCTTAAATAAAATAATAATTAGCTGGGCTTGGTGGCCCTCGCCTGTAGTCTCAGCTACTCCAGAGGCTGAGGTAGGAGGATCACTTGAGCCTGGGACTTCAAGCCTGCAAGCGAGTTATGATCGCACCACCACACTCCAACCTGGGTGACAAAGCAAAACCCTATCTCAAAAAAAAATTTTTTTTTTCAAACAGGCAAACGGTACAGAAGAATGTCACGTAGAAACAAAAGGTCTCAGCTAGGCGCGGTGGCTCACGCCTGTAATCCCAGCATTTTGGGAGGCCGAGGCGGGCGGATGACCTTAGGTCGGGAGTTCGAGACCAGCCTGACCAACATGGAGAAACCCCATCTCTACTAAAAATACAAAATTAGCCAGCGTGGTGACACATGCCTGTAATCCCAGCTACTGGGGAGGCTGAAGCAGAAGAATCGCTTGAACCCGGAAGGAGGAGGTTGCAGTGAGCCGAGATTGCACCATTGCACTCCAGCCTGGGCAATAAGAGCAAAACTCCGTCTCAAAAAAGAAAGAAAGAAAGAAAGAAACAAACAAACAAAAAGTCTCCACCATCACCCTGATCCCATCTCCAGGGGCAGAGGTGGCTAACAATTTTCCTGTTTTTCCAGATATCTTCCACTGCATTAATTAACATTTTTATTTTTAGAAATTTTAAAATTACATAAAAACACAAAGGACACTGTAACAATTCTGTTTATTCCCCCACCATCTGCTATCCAATCACTATATTGAATTTAGTGTATATCCTTCCAATTAATCTATATACTTCTACACACAGGGATAAATGTTCCTCTGAAGAACATAAGCATTGCTTTGCAATTTTAAAGATTTACATGAATGCTTTCTTTAAAAAATATGAAATATTTCAGTCATTGAGAAAAAAATATATAGCAAACACTCTTAAACCCACCACCAGCTTTTTCAAATCTTTGTTTTACCATATTTCCTTCAGATGTTTTTAAAGAAATACAACATTGCAGATACAGTAGATGCCTCTGTGTAACCCACAATTCCAGTCTCTTTTTTGCCTATTATGTTTCCCAGTTTTAATTATACATGTGGATCTGCTTTATTTGAGTTGATTTACAGTTTTCCATTATATTAATAAATCACATTTTACTTGTTCATTTCTTTATGGTTATGGACTAAACGTCTGTGAATAACCCAAATTTAGATCTTGCAATCCTAACCCACATGTGATGGTATTTGGAGGTTGGGCATTTGGGAGGTGAACAGGCCATCGGACGGAGCCCTCATGAATGGGATTAGTACCCTTATAAGAAGAGACAGAGGCTGGGCACGGTGGCTCACTCTTGTAATCCCAGCCCTTTCGGAGGCCGAGGCAGGGGGATCACCTGAGGTCAAGAGTTCGAGACCAGACTGACCAACATGGTGAAACCCCCCCATCTCTACTAAAGATACAAAAATTAGCCGAGCATGGTGGTGCATGCCTGTAATCCCAGCAACTCAGGAGGCTGAGGCAGGAGAATTGCCTGAACCCAGGAGGCGGAGGTTGCAGTGAGCCGAGGTTGCGCCATTGCATTCCAGCCTGGGCAACAAGAGCAAAACTCTGCCTCAAAAAAAAGAAAAGAAAAGACAGAATAGATATCTCCCTACACCCACCCCATGAGTGGATGCAGTGAGATGATGGTCTTCTGCAAAGCAGGCTTGGGACTCTCACCAGACACCAATCTGCCAGTGCCGTGATCTTGGACTTCCTGGCTTCCAGAACTTTGAGAAATAAGCGTTGTTAAAGCCACACATTCTATGGTATTCTGTTACAGCAACCTAAACTGGCTAAGACACTTACTGATATATATTCAGATTGTTTTCAGTTTTTTGCTGTAATAGCAATGCTTCATCAGGCATCCTTGTACATGTCTGTTTATACACATGAGAAAAGTGTATCTAGGATATAGGAGATATATTTTAGCCATGTTCAAATGTATATGTATAAAACACTTATGCTTGGTTTGGTGCTGTTTAAGCTGTTATGCTGTAACAAACAAATAGTTATTTGTTTGCTGTTCACATTACATGTCAGCTGCAAGTTGGCCGAAATTCTATATGTATGCTTCAATTGGACATGCAGGCCGAAGGCAAAACCTCTATGTGGTTCATGCCAGCCTCGTGGCAGGGGGCAAAAAGTAATGACAGAACCACGTAATGGCTCTTAATGCCTCTGTGTGGAAGTTGCATAGTGACTTCGAGTCACATATTCTTGATCAAAGCAAGTCTCATAGCCAAGCCTGTGTCATCGGGGTGGTGGAAATAATCCTCACCAGAAATGGGCTCCCTCAGTACAGGAAAGAACAGAGCAGTGTGCTGAACACACGTGGGATCATACCATGGATACTCCTCTGCAGCTGTTTCTGCAGGGACGCATATCTGTTTAGACATTTTTCCATATCAGCACAGATCTACTTCTCTCTTCGAAGAGGATTTATTAGTTTTGCATTGTTAAGGCACATAACACTTACATTCTACTCCATAATTCTCACAGCTGTTTAGCTGTACATGATATTTGAAAGGATTCAATGCTAATGCCAATCTTTTTATGCCACAGCCTCCCCATTCCTAATACCTTGGCTGCATTTCAGCAAGTAATTTTTCACTGCTACACACAACAGGGCTGCAATGAACATCACTGCTTTAGCTTCCGTGCCAGTGTGTCTCTAGTTTGTTTTGATTTCTGATAAGGCAAGTTCCCCTTTCTTAAGTCTCCTTTTAAAAAATTATCTTGGCTATTCTTGTACAATAACTCTTTCATATAAATTTTATAATCAGCTGGACACGTTGTATTTAAGAAATCTTGCTGGGATGTTTCCTGAGACTGTGTTAAATTTATAGATTTGTTTGAGGGAGTTTGGAATAAAGAATGCTGCCAACTTTTCCAATCCAAGGATCTAGTATCTTTCTCCATTTATTCATGTCTTCTTTTATGCCCTTCAGTAAAGCTTTATAGCTCCCTCCACAGGGAATTTACATTTGTTTAGTGAAGTTGACCAGTATTTTATCTGCAAATAATGAAAACATTGCCGCTTTCTTTCCTATCTCATTCATTTTATTAACAAGGAAATTTACTCCTGGCAACCCTAACCCACATGTGATGGTATTTGGAGGTTGGGCATTTGGGAGGCGAACAGGCAGGAGAGCTGAGAGGTATGGACCAGCTCTCGAAGTCTTTCCCTCCATGTGGTCTGGATTTATATTATATTCGGCAGTTTTCTATAGTTGGGGATATGAGTTATCTCTTAATTTCACTGCAGATAAAAGTTTTACTTGATTTGGGGGGTTCTTTTCATCTGATGTGCTGGTCTTCGGGGAGGAAAGGGAGAAAGCAAACCTTTACTCTGCTAGCCTTCGCAGGAAGTCTCTACCTCCTCTTCAGACCAGACACACATCCTCCTCAAATTCCGTCAGCTCCTCTTCCTCTAGCCTCCAGACTCGGGTTCACCTGACGTGTTCATGAATCTTTATGGCAATCAATCACATCTATCTTGAATTATCTATTTTATCCTTGTTTTGCAATAGCAGTTAGTTTTTTGGTGTTACTTCACGTTTTCTTCCCAACCTCTCTCCTTCTGTTTTGTTTTGTTGCTCTAGCCTCAGAATTCTTTAGCCAAGCAAATCAAACATTTACAAATCAAATATAAAGTAGATGAAACGGAGCTTCTCTGCAATAGGGGCCCCACAGACCCTGCTCTCAGCCTTCCTCCCATCTAAAGCACCTGCACTGAAATCAGTGCCCCTGGAGAATAGTTCGATGACAATACGTCTAGTAGTTCCATCTGCCTTTTTACAAATACATTTCACTTACTTGGCAGACATCTTAGGTAGAGCATGAAGCTGCTACAAAATCTACAGTCTTTTATTACACATGGTTAATAGCTTTAATCCAATCTGATTTGCATTCCAAAGAAATTTTAAAAGTGCATCCACTCCTATATTTTATGAATGTGACTTAAAATTTTAATGCAGATTATAAATATGATAGATTTGCAGATCAAAACTCGGTTGCTTGTAGTACAACATTTAAAAATCACCATTTTCCACCTCCTCACCAAGGATAACCTTCTCCTTAGTGATCAGCCCTGCTGTGATAGCAGGATAACACTGAGGCTTGGGCAAAGAGAAACACTGAAGAGCCAGAAAGGCAATCTTGTAGAACCAATTCTGGATGGCTAGTTCTACCTAATCGTCCATAAATGCTACTTACACCTTTGGCCAAAGAAGCAAATAGAATGAAGTGTTAGGAAAAAGGTTTTCACAATTTACTTTCTACTTACTAAGCTTGTACACTGCCTCTCCATTTTTCTCTTCTTTAAATTGTGATAAAATACATATAAAATTAGCCATCTTAACCATTTTTAAGTGTACAGTTCAGTGATAGTAAATGTGTTCACACTGTTGTGAAACTAATCTCTACAACTGTTTTCATCGTGCAAAACTGAAACTCTGCACCCATTAAACTCTAACTCCCCATCCTCCCGCACCCCGATCCTGGCCCCACCACCTGGCAACCCCTCTTCTGCTTTCTGTCGTCACGAATTTGACGGCTCTGGGGGCCCCACAGAAGTGGGATCATAGAGTGTTTGTCCTTTGGTGACTGGCTTGTTTCACTTAGCGTAATGTCTTCAGGATTCATCTGTTGTAGCAGTGCAAGACTTCCTTTTTAAGGCTGAGTAATACTCCACTGAGCACACAGACCACATTTGTTCATTCATTCATCCACGGATGGACACCTAGGCTACTTCCACCTTTTGGATATTGTGTCTCTCTCTTTTAATCAATAATGCGCTCATTTTTACAAGAAAATAAACATTGGGAATAAATGTAAACTCAAAATACATCAATCAAATGTGGATCACTGTGGTTTTGCTGATCCAGCCAGGAAACTCCTCAAAACCGGGTCTTCATAAGACTCAGTCTTCCAGGAGGAAACTCAGAGGCAGTGGTAGCTGCAATATTATTCTCTTGCTGACCAAGAGTGAACAGATTACAGGTAAGGAAATGAAAAACCAGAAAAGTCAGGACCAAAGGAGAATCCTGCAGCAACAAATGGAGAGGGAAGGAAGACTGCCCGAGAAGCTCGCCCTGACAGAGCCGTCCAGGCACGCGGGCTGCACCTCAGTGGGCACTGGGCCACATGCCCTGAAATGTGAGCTCCCAAGGCAGATGACACGAGACAAACAGAGAGGGCACTGGCCGGGGAAGTCAGGCTGACCTAGGTCCCGCCAGCCTCGGGCCTTCTGTGGCCTTGGGCAGGTCCCTGTGACCTGGGTTTCTTCTCCTGCCCATGGACATTACAGTTCCTGCCCACAGGACAGTCGCTGGAATAAATAACAAAACAATGCCAGGGCAGCAGGAAACATCCTAAGCGCTCAGTGTTGGCTGGGCCTCAGTGCTACCACCAAATATCATCCCTTTTCCCACAGCTGCTCTGCTGACCAGGCTGGCCATGGCCTGAACACCCAGGAGCCATCCTCCTCTTCGCTGTCTGCACCTCTGCCTAGTTCTTGTCCTCAGGCCCCTACGTGGAGGCCAGACAAAGCTCCCAGCTCCTGACCAGAACAGTACAAATAATCACTCTTCAGATCCCCCTGTTTCACATTCTATTCCGATTTTTAGTAAAATCATTAAAACATCCCCGACAGTGACTGTTCACCTTCACTGAATCTCACAGATCATCAGAGGTAGAAGGGCCCATAGATCTAAGAGGTGTCTGGTTTCAGTTCACTCATCTTCACAAGAATCGAAAGCCTAGGCAAGCCCACTTGGCTCCTCTGAGATGGACACCACGTCCCTGTCACTCCTGCAGCGAAGACAGCTGGATCCTTACTCCAGCCCACAAAACCACTCACTGAGGCCAGGCACGATGGCTTATGCCTGTAATCCCAGCACATTGGGAGGCTGAGGCAGGAGTATCACTTGAGCTCATGAGTTCAAGACCAGCCTGGGCAACATGGCAAAACCCTACCTCCAAAAAATATAGACGTTAGCTGGGCATGGTAGTAATTCCAGCTACTCAGGAGGCTGAGGTGTGAGGATTCCTTGAACCCTGGAGGTAAAGACTGCAGTGAGCCATGATCACGCCACTGCACTCCAGCCTGGGCAATGGAGCAAGACCTTCTTCTCTCAAAAACAATAGAAACAACGACAACAAATAGTAAGTGGTAGGAATATCCAGGAATTATATATTGGGTTTAAAAACCAAAAATGTATAACGACTAACTAATAAGTAACTCCTCATTTTCCTTCCTTCTCCAAACTCACTCAGAATTGAGCAACCACCATGGGTCAGATGCATTTCCAGGCGGAAATTCACAAGGCAGCGGACTTAACCCCTGCTTTTCAGCGAACACAATTTTGCATCATGATAATTCAAGCTGGAATGATTCACTTATTTCCAGAGATTACTAGAGACCAACGCTGTGAGGGCTTTCTCAGAACACACACTACTGAACTACACAGTCCTTCTTCCTTTCTGTGTTCAACCTAAGTAGCTTCTGCATTTTTTTTTTTTTTTTGAGACACAGTCTCGCACTGTTGCCCAGGCTGGAGTGCAGTGGCACAGCAACCTCTGTGTCCTGGGTTCAAATGATTCTCCTGCCTCAGCCTCCCAAGTAGCTGGGATTATAGGTGCATGCCACCACGCCTGGCTAATTTTTTGTATTTTTAATAGAGATGGGGTTTCACTACGTTGGCCAGGCTAGTCTTGAACTCCTGACCTCGTGATCCGTTCACCCTGGCCTCCCAAAGTGCTGGGATTACAGGCATGAGCCACCGCGCCCAGCTGCATTTTTTCTTTTTGTTCAAACATCACTGGAGAAAATCATCTGGTCCCAACTCCCTCAGCTAGATCTTTTTTTTCTTGCTCTGTCACCCAGGCTGGAGTGCAGTGGCACGATCATGGCTCACTGCAACCAGGTTCAAGTGATTCTCCTGCTTCAGCCTCCTGAGTAGTTGGGATTATAGGCACCTGTCACCACACATGGCTAATTTTTCTATTTTTAGTAGAGAAGGGGTTTCACCATGTTGGCCCGGCTGGTCTCGAATTCCTGACCTCAAGTGATCCTCCCACCTCGACCTCCCGAAGTACTGGGATTACAGGCGTGAGCCACCACGCCTGGCCGTCAGCTAGGTCTTTAAACTATTCTAAAGCTATGACTATAACCCCAATTAGTCTGTGCTTATCTAAATGTGCCCCCCTATGTAAGAGAAATTATAGACAGTAAGTTGGATATGGGGTCTATGACCTAAATGTAGATTAATACTGAGAAGGAAGGCAAATTCTCACTAATATAAAACCCCACTTAATTCAACTTGGCAGCCTCCTGTGCAATCTAACCCTTTATGGTATTGAATCCAGGGCTGGGCACAGTGGCTCAAACCCATAATCTCACCATTTTTGGAGGCTGAGGAAGGAGGATTGCTTGAGCCCAAGAGTTGAAGGCTACAGTGAGCCATGACCATGCCACTGTACTCCAGCCTGGGCAACAGAGCAAGACCCTGCCCCTACAGAAAGTAAAATGATAATTAAAAAAAAAAAAGCTGGGTATGGTGGTGCACACCTGTAGTCCCAGCTACTTAGAAGGCTGAGGAAGGCGGAGTGCTTGAGCCCAGAAGTTCAAGGCTGCAGTGAGCTATGATCACAGCACCGCACTCCAGCCTGAGCATCAGAGCAAAACCCTGTTTCAAAAACAAAACCAAAAATAAAACAAAAAAGATACTATTTTCAATATTTCCTTTAATGATAATAGCATTTATTAATGGTTGGCTTAATGACTAATATTTGGCTGGGTGCAGAGGCTCACGCCTGTAATCCCAGCACTTTGGGAGGTCAAGGGCGGTGGATCACCTGACATAAGGAATTTGAGACCAGCTTGGCCAACATGATGAAACCCCATCTCTACTGAAAATACAAGATTAGCTGGTGTGGTGGTAGGCGCCTGTAATCCCAGCTGCTCGGGAGGCTGAGGCAGGAGAATCGCTTGAACCTGGGAGGTAGAGGTTGCAGTGAGCTGAGATTGCACCACTGCACTCCAGCCTGGGCAACAAGCGTGAAACTCCATCTCTAAATAAATAAATAAGTAAATGCAGACTAACATTTATAGACACTTACTACATGCCGAGTACTATGCTTTATGAATAATATTTCTTAGCCTCTATGGAGTAGTTTCCATTCCAATTTTATGGGCATGAAAACTGGGTGACATTATACGGGGTAAAGCTGGATTTTTTTTACTTTTTTTTTTTGAGACAGAGTCTCACTCTGTCACCCAGGCTAGATCACGGCTCACCGCAGTCTCCACCTCCCAGGCTCAAGTGATCGTCCCACCGCAGCCTCCCTAGCTGGGGCCACAGACAGACACTACCATACTGGGCGAATTTTTTGTATTTTTAGTAGAGACAGGGTTTCATCATGTTGCCCAGTCTGGTCTCGAACTCCTGAGCTCAAGCGATCTGCCTGCCTCAGCCTCCCAAAGCGCTGGGATTACAGGTGTGAGCCACCGCACCCAGGCTAGCAGGAATTTTAAATCAGGTGCCTGACTCCAGCTTCTTTAACCACTTACTAGACTCTAGTGCCTCTCCTTATCAACTGTCAAATAAAAAGTTGGCGGTCCCCATAAAGATTATAAGCAAAATCCCTGAAAACAAATGAAAAAAGGGTCTGGCTAATGGGCTCCCCCTTCACCAGGAACAGCTGCTTATATGGCCAGCTCTCCCCCCTTCCCAGCAGGCGGGTCCATTCTCCTCTTCCTTCTCCCCCCATCCTCTGCTTTGTCCTGGGGAAAGGGTCCCCATTATTAATGCCACTCCTGGAGATGTGTTTACACAGGGGAGGAAACTCAATATCAACATTCCCCGAAGAAAAGTGTCTTGTCACTTCTGTGAAGGTTTTCAGGCAGTGAGTCACTATCCTCCAAGACTGACAGGCACTTACCGCCTTTAAACGCCTTTAAACAGGGTCTGAAGGGAGCTTGTTTCCCTGTGACGTTTGTTATGATGAGGCTGAGAGGCATGGCTGGCACGCACAGCTCTCCTGGTGCCTCAAGGGGCTCTCCAGGAAGGATCATGGAGAATCTACTCAAAGTGAGTTGGAGGGAAAAACAGTCGGCTGAGGCACCCAAGATGGGAAAGGACAAACTAGATGAGTGAAAACTCCAGAAGTCTCTGCAAGCTGGCAGGGAAAGATTGTGAGTCATCTGCTCCAGGTCCAGAACACTGATGGAATGTAAAGATGGCAGGGGGCCTTTGGAAGCCAGGAGGGCACCATCAGGGCCCAGCAGAGCATCAAGGGATCAAGTGAGGATGCAAGGGGTGTCTACAGGCAAACACGGGGGCACACGCCTATCCACTTCCTCATCTCCCTTGCCTGGCTCTGGGCCTCCCAAGGCCTCCAACTGCATCAGAAGGCAGCTCTGCAGAGCTCCTCCTCCACCCCTCTGCACCGCCCCCACTCCCCTGGGGGCTCTCTCCTGCTCTCAAGGGTTCAAACAGAGACTGGAGTATCCCACATGTGCACCAGCCCTTAGCCCTCAGAGTCCAGCCACTGCCACCTGTCCCCCTGTCCCTGGGACATCTCCACCTGCACCTTTCTCCCTGCCTCAGACCCAAGAGGTCCCCGGTGTTGGCCACACCTCACTGCCCTGTTCCCGTGTTACTACCTTTGAGAACATAATGTTAGAACTTTCTGCGCTCTTCTCTCGCTTCCTGGCCTTCTAGGTTTTGGGCGCCTTTGCTACCTCAATCTCCCTGGCGTCTCTCAGGGTCCTTCTCCCTGTAAAACTGGCCAGGGATCCACATGGGCTCATCCCTGGGCTTCTGTTTCTCAGGTTCCTTTTACAAGGATGGCTCCGCTCCCGCCGAAGATGTCTCAGCAGAGCCTTTCACAGAGGTCTGAATATGTGAGCCAAAGCTGCCAAATGCTTCAGGATGGATTCCGGGCTGCATCTTTTCTGTGAAGGAATACGTGCATGTGTCCTGTATGTACCAGGTGATGGTATTCCGGACCCCAGAAGGAAATGTGGCATAATTCTTGCCCTGAAAATACTTCCAGGCTAGTGGAACTATAATCCAAATAAAAGGACAGCACCAGAAGGTAGAATGAGAACAGAGGCCACAGGCTGACGCTCAGGAATTGTGGCTGGAGATGAGTCAAAAGCTGCATGCAGAGACAAGCCACACAGAGATGCAGAGGCCAGAAGCCACCCCACCCCCCGGGCCCAGGCCCCTTTCCCGCCACTGGCTTTCATGCACTTGCAAGATGCACCTTCTGCTTCCCTCTTTGAGGCCATCAGTACCAGATGGATTGCCAAGGTGCCGAGTAATAATGGCTTAGGGTCAGCACTCGCTGTGAGCCAAGGCTGCTGGGTCCACGCTCTTCCCTGCCACGACAGGCAGGCAGCAGCAAGTCTGACCTCCAGAGTGAAGAGCGAGGGGCAGGAGTTTCACGAACCTTGGCCATCCCCACTAAGACCAAGACTCACCCCAGCCTGCGCAGTAAAACCCAAGCACTCTCCAGAAATACTGTAGAACTTGCTCTTCTCCCAACAGGAAACCAGGCAAAAAGAGGCCTTCGGTTCTGCAAGTTCCCTCCCTGGCAGTGGCATCCACTTCCCAGCGTGTGCCCGGAGCCGGAGGCTTCTGAAGGTGGGGGCCAGTACGGAATCAGATTCCCCAGCCCTTGCGTGATGCACGGGGCTTCAACAGGACTGGGGGTGAGACAGTCTTTCCTAACTTTCACAACCTACTCAAAATGTACTCAACTCCCTATTCAAAAGTTCCTCCAGACTTTCTCCACCCAGCAAATAAAGCTATTGGGAAAACATGGATCTAAGTCCCTGCTGGGGAGGATGATGACATTGGCCTGGGCCACATGACCGGATCCCATTTGCTACAGGGTATCCCTCCTCCCTCATCTCTACCCCAGCCCCACAGGGACTGCATGGGCTGCGCACGAGGCTCCAAGGACAGAGCGTGACTCCTTCCATGACAACACAGAAGGACAGCAGAGAATGAAAGGCGGTGAAGCAAACGTGAAGGCCACCCCTGAGCGGGCAACGTCAGGATGACCCACCCCCAGCCCGTGTACACTGCGGGCATGAGGGGCACATGGAAGGCGTCTTACACATACAGCTCTTCCCTTCACACTGTGGCTACAGGAGCTCAAGAGAAAGACGATGGCCACTGGCTCCCCCATGGCCTTCCTTCCCTATTTGGCCTGTGACTTTCCTTCCCTCCATGTCCTCTGTCATCACCCACTCACTCCCAAGGCTGGGTTAGGCCTCTGATCGCCTCCTCTCTCAAGACTCTGCCTTCAGCCTCCATGTGGGCAATGCATTTGATACACACACACACACTTCTTTGTGCATGTGTCCCTAAGGCACTTATTTATTCATGCCTGCCCATGTGCCACCAGCTCACGAAGGTGATGAGGAGCCCACAGCCAACAGCTAGAAACACTGGAGGTGAGCCCAATGTCAAAAGGCAAGACAAGGCAAGCAACACAGGGCGGGTTTCAGGACTCGTACTGCTGGTGAAGTGTTCCTATTGTTACTCAGAGATGAGGATGTTATGACATACAGAAAATGAAGAATTACGTTGGAGATGTTGAGAATGGGATTTTTGGAAAGACTGACAGATGTAAAGATGCCATGAAGGATATAAAATGGTGCAGTCTCTGGAAAATGGGATGATGGTCCCTAAAAACCACATAGCATTACCCTAGGATCCAGCAATGCCGCTTTTGGGCATATACCATAAAGAAGTAAAAGCAGGGAGGTGAATAGATATTTGTTCACCCATGTAAAAATGGCGGCATTATTCACAATGGTCAATGGGCAGACGCAACCCAATTGTCTATGGAGGGATGAATGGATAAACAAAATACAGTATCGATCCATACAATGGAATATTATTCAGCCTTAAAAAAAAAAGACATGCTGCATTCTGACATGCTACAAAATGGAGAAACCTTGAAGACACTATGCCAAAGGAAACGAGCCCGTCACAAGAGAATACTGTGTCCTTCCATGTAACTAAAGTAGTTACATTCAGAGAGACAGAAAGCACAATGGGGGCTGCCTGAGGCTGGAGGGAAGGGGATACGGAGACGTTATTTAATGGGTACAGAGTTTCACCTGGGAAGATGCAAGAGTTCCGGAGACTGCTGGGGGTGATGGTTGTACAATACTGTGGATGTACTTAATGCCACCCAACTGTACACTTAATAATGGCTAAAACGGTACATTTTATCTTATGTATAGTTTAAGATAATTTTTTTAAAAAGATGAATGAAGCAAGTAAAAGCCTTTTAGCCCTAAATTTGAATTGAAAGCATCAGTATGAAGACATGCTGTATTTTATCTTATCTTTGGGGTAGGAGGGGTACGTATTTCCTGACTCTGCATGTTGAATGACTAACCCAATAGCAATAAGCCCAGCTGGCAGAGCTAGCTCTGAGATTGATCTCCAAACGCCATTCCTCACTAACAGGAGCCAGGTTTCTTGGGGCAAATGGCCAAATCCAGGCCTGGCAAGAGAAAACTCATAAAAAGAGATTAGGACATTTTATAGGATGGAAAGCAAGAAACTATTAAACTAAGATTTTGTCAAAAGAGCTCAGTTTAAGCAAGTTCCCTCTAGCAAAGATAGGACAATCTGAACATCAATCAGGATATACGGATAGAAACACATCATGCTTGTTTAAACCCATGAGGTTTTTTTGTTTTTTTTTTTTAACACAGGGTCTTGCTGATTGCAGTGGTTGGACCATGAGTCACTGCAGCCTCGAACTCCCAGGTCAAGCAATCCTCCCTCTTCAGCCTCCCAAGTATCTGGGACTACAGGCACATGCCACCACCCCTGCCTAATTTATTTATTTATTTATTTATTTTGTAGAGACAGGCTCTCACTATGTTGCTCATGCTGGCTTCAAACTCCTAGGTTCAAATGATCCTCCAACCTCAGCCTCCCAAAGTGCTGGGATTACAAGCATGAGCCTCTATACTCAGCTGAAGTCCATGAGTTCTTAATCATGCTGAAAACAATTTCATTTCATTGGTAATTGTTGAAGGATGCTAGAGAACTAATTTGTTCTTTTGAACAATGAAAAGTAAAGCGACTGTAGCAGGCATGTATCCTGCCTTTCCTAGACAAACTGTACCTCCAAGTAACCAAATATTCAATAAGCTAAAAATGTGCTTGTTGCTATAGAAGAATTCCAGCTAACAAATGAAGAAGGAATGGTGGCAGTAGAATATTACCATTAGCAATGCCTAACAAAGTAAAGGGTCTAGGCAATGAGCATCCAGGGCTGCTGCCATCACAAACTTGAATCTGAGTGTGCCTATCTTTCCCATCACAGACTTACATGAGCAACAGGGGACAGAGGAATATGTTCAATGTCATGAAGAGAAGGCAGTCAACAAAATCCAGTCTGCAGAAGTCCTCTGGGAAAAGCCTCATTTCTTTAGCAAACAGAATGCAAGGAGAAGAAAAGGAGATGAAAGAGAAACCCATAGATTAAAAGAAACTTAACAGGCATAACACAGGCAATGCTTAGACCTCATTTAGATCCTGATTGGAACAAGGCATTAAAGACAATTAGACAAACTGGGAAATTGAACAGTGACCGGATATTGAATGATATTAAAGAGTGACAATTTGTTTCAGGGTGATAACATGGCACTGGGGCTGTATTTTTTAAAATAAAAGAGTCCTCGTACTTTTCAGACATATATACAAAAGTATTTGTGGGTAAAATGACATGCTGTTTGGAATATGCCTCAAAATAACACTGTGTGGGGGAAAGTGAGTAATGTATAGATTAAACAGCTGGTCATGAAATGATATTTGTCAAAGCTGAGGGATGAATATTCTACTCTCTATTTTTATTATGTTTGAAATTTTTCACATTAAAAAACTTATTTAGGTGGGGTGTGGTGGTTCACACCAGTAATCCTGGCACTTTGGGAGGCTGAGGCAGGAGGATCGCTTAAGCCCAGGAGTTAGAGACCAGTGTGGGCAACAAAGTGAGAGTCTGTCTCAAAAAAATGTTTTTTAACCTATTTAAAAGGTAGAAATTGAACTTAAAATTAAAGGAAGGGTGATGGATCAAAGTGAGAGAGGTTCAAATGAGAAAGAAAGATCGGTTGATCTGAGCCCTTCCTCTTCACCTCTACACCTCCTGGGAGGTAGGTGAATCCACCCTACAGGGTCTGGCAATCCATCCTTGCATCATAGTATTGTCCCCTGTAATTATCTATATTGTAATCCTATGTCATCCCACCACCTTTAGAGAAAGTACAAGAAGAGGGCAGAATTACAAGATGCTTGACCTTCTGGGTCAGACGAACACTCCTCTTCCTTCCCAGGGCAGGGCTCCAGATTTGGGGACTAAAATTGGCTTGAGTTTTCTCCCCTCTTGGCCCTCAATTTGAACTCAAACCACACAGCCGCCGTGCCCTGCTGCCGAAGCACACCACATAAATCCTCCAAAACTGGCCTGTAGCGTGCGGCTTCATTTTAACCAGAGTTCCTTCTCCGATGGGAAATGGGTGACTCAGCGGGAGGCGCTCATCACCCTGCTTGGGTGCAAAACAAAACCAACAGCCAGGAGCTTGCGCCTTCTTATACCATAACCAAAGCGCTATATCTGAAGTGCTGCTCGAATCCTGCTCACCTTTCCAGCATTCTAACATCCCTCAACGCCGTGCTTCTGCTTGCATTCCTGCCTCGCGCCCTCCACTCGGGACTGCAGAACAGCCTGATTCAAGCTAAGTCCTGGGCTCAGAATGGCCTTCCTATAGGCAGCAAACGCCTACTCATCCTTTAGGATGCCACAAGTCTGCCTTGCCCAGGAAGCCTGGCCTTGACTTCAGGCGCCCAGGCCAGTTTCGGTATCCTAAGGGCTCCGTAGAACCCACTTTCGCCCCCTTGCGCTTCAGATCCCCTGCCCCTAAGAGTGCACATCCACGTGTTCCCTCCCCTAGCAAGCTCTAAGTTGCTGGGATTCGGAGACACTTCTGTTCATTTTGTATCTTTACAGCCTGACCAGCGCCAGGCTCACAGGGAATGGGGAGAAGTATTTATTGGCTGGTGGATGGATGAAACAAATCACGCATGTGGAGCTGGGGTGTGAAGGGAGCTGAACTTCTATGAAATCTCCACCACTGCCTAGACCTGCAGACAACACTCAGTGGGTTTATTAACTGAAAAGCAAAGCCCAAGCAGCAGGAAACTCAGAGCACCTGAGGTCACTTTGCATAAGAAAAACAATGCAGCCGTATAAAAAAAAAACCAGATCAGGTCTCTTGAGGGAACATACATGGAGCTGTAGGCTATTATCCTTAGCAAAATAATGCAGGAAAGGAAACTAACCGCATGTTCTCACATATAAGTGGGAGCTGAATGATGAGAACTTATGAACACAAAGAAGGAAACAGCAGATGCTGGTATCTAATTGAGAGTGGAGGGTGGCAGGAGGGAGACGAGTAGAAAAGATAAGCATTGGGTACTGGGGCTTAATACCTGGGTGATGAAATAATCTGTAAAACAAATCCCCGTGACACGAGTTTACCTATGTAACAAACCTTCACATGCACCCCCAAATCTAAAATAAAAGGTAAAAAGAAAAGATGAGTCCATCAAACCCAAGATTTCACAGAGTTGCTTAAAACGAGGCAGGCAGCCGTGGAAACCTACCTGACACAGGCAAGCATGAATTCGAGTTTGATGTCCACGCAGGCACAGGAAGGCTTAATGTTAATGTGGCCTCTGTGGTACCGGGAAAGACAAAGTCAGCCTGAATGACTATCACGGGGCATGCCGGAAGACACTCGATTTTAAACATCTCCAAAGGGCGGTAGAGCAGTCCTTCTCACCATTGCTGTACCTGACCTGAATTCTTCACCTTACAAATGGCCACACAAGCAGAGAGAGGCAGTGAGTCACACCGCAGGAAGAGAAGGGTCTGGGAGAGGAGCCCAGGGTTTCTCCGCGCCAGACCAATGTGCTTTCACCTCCCTGCGGCTGCTGGGATCTTGGGTCACCCCTTTTCAAATAGCAGATTTCAGCGCTGCAACTCCCATTCCCCAGTGAGGCCTAGTAAATCACACGTCCTGGGGGCACCTCGCTTCAAGGACCCTAATTTAAAACTTACAAATATGCTTTAGTTTTAAAGTGGCTATAAATTATATACCATAAGATTAAAAAATATGTTTTTACACCCAACTCTTCCATTCAGCTGTTATTGACAGTGCTGGTCAATTTCTCATTTCTGCTTTATTTAAAAATGGCATCAGTGTTTAAGGATCCAATCTGGGTCACTAATTTTACAGAAATTGCCATCAGTGCTGAAATGACTTTAAACAGTAACTTGCACGACTACTTAATAATGTAGTTATACACATACCTGTGTATGTAGGATAACTGGAAGTCAAGGATTAATGCCTAACAGTGGTTATCTTTGGATGGTAAGATTACCAATTATTTTTACATTGGTTTATGTGAGTTTTCCATTTTTCTATAATAAATATACATTGAGTTTCATAAAATAAAGAAGTTTCCCTTATACTACTTGAAAAAAAATTACTACGTGTTTCTCTGAAGCCATTTTTGCCTGGAAAGCATTTTCTTTTTTAAAATAAGCAGTATTTTCCTACATCTGTGCACTCCGTGGGAACTACATTCTTTATTTCGGGTCAAGTTAAGTTCTCCCCAAATGCTAGGGAAAGGTTTTATTTGTTGTTTGTTTTCCCCGCCTACTCAATTTTGAGGGGCAACCTGTATTATTGCCTGTCTTTACCTGGTTTGATTTATGATCTTGGAAGTCAGGTCATTCTTTTCTAGGTCAAAGAAGGAAAAAAAAAAAAAGGACTCCCCCACCTAATACCTGATAAAATATCTGAAAAGGTCATTGCAGACCTTGACGGAGACACAATTTCAACCCAAGCTGATAAAACAACAACTAGCAAACTTTTATCAGAATAAAATGTAACTTTGCCATTTCCCAGCTCAATTGATGAACTCTTTTTTATCTAAAATGACAGATATCATAAGATAGGAAAACCTCTAGATAAGCAACCAAATTGAGTTGTTTGAATCAGATCTGATTGTCTGCCCCTGGTTCAAACTCCCACACCTGCTCGGAATGGGTCAATGAGCGCCTCCTGGCATGGTCCCGAGGGGTTTGGAAACATTGCAAAAGTGGTGAACTTTGAGACTTCAGCGTTTATTCTGCGATTATAATTAACCTGCTCACCAGTTGCTATCGATCAGTTCTAAATGGAGGCGATAAGGTTTGACTGGATTTCTAGAAGTAGAAATGGAGATTTCAACTGGGGAGTAGAAAGGAAGATTTAAAAAATAACTTAAGGACTGATTAGATTTTAAGAAGCAAAACTGGATTTGCGATTAGGGGATCCCAAAACCCATGGCTTTGATCTGCCTGGAAGAATCGTGAGGAAGCTTGAGTACAAAGGAAAACTCCAAAATTCAAAATTCCCACCAAATTGTGGTAGTAACTTCTTGATTTTTTATCCTCCAAAATAAAATATATCTGTAACTATTCAATGTGGGTTACAGACAGCCTCAAATTTTACTTGCAGAGGCTTTTCAATGACTTTAAACACACAGAATGGCCCACCTGTCTGGATTTTACTCCTCCTTTGGAGGGAAAATATATTTTAAAACATCAGGTCAATTCTTGGGCTCCTGCAAAATGCAGAAGGCCAGAAAACCAAATTCCCATCATTCAGATAAGAAACTTGAATATCGTGGCTCAATTCTGATTACAGAGCAGTAATAGATAAAAGCATAGGCCACCTGCCAGAAACAAGAAAACTTCCACTGATGGGCTGCTACATTCAGTTCAGACCAATTCCACGGGGCTTTTCCTGCCTGGGGTTTTAGTCATTGTCTTGATCCATGCCCCATTCTTATCTTTACTAAAATCATCATTATTGTGCTTTTATTATGATTTTCTCCTCTTCTTTCTCTGCTTTTACCACAAATATATTTGAAATCTTCAGAGAAAAGGGAACACAGAGGGTCAGTTATAGATTTCTCTCAGGAAAGGGATTTTTGAGTGAGCCATATGGTTTTGCTCTTAAGCAGCCAACAGTTCCCCTAGAGTTAGGAGAATCCTCCCATTGGAAGGGTCTGAATCCTGGGAAGTCTCTTTAGTTCTCTGCACACCAGAATCCAACGGCTAGAAAGGAAGTTTGTGCAACACTGGGATTCCTAACATTGCATTCCTGAACTGCAGAGCTTACAGTTGAGGAATGATACGGAAGATTCCGTAGGACGACATTGCTCCTAGAGAGACAGTGATTGGTGGGAAGCAAACGGAAACTCAGACAAGAAGCTACCCTGGGGAGAGGAAGCGGATGGGAGCGACAAGTCATGGAAAATCCTAAGGTTTAATAGAGCCCTTCAATCACACATAGCTTCTGGTTCTGAAGAGCCAAGTGCCCTCATATCAGATTTGGCAAATACAAAGTGTGGGGAAAGGGGGAAAGTACAATCCTGCAGGTTGGACTTACCTGGGTTCCAAACCAGGGCTGTTTACTACCCACGGGGACCTGAGATTACAGGCTCTTTCTGGGTATCAGCTTTCTTTCCAGCAAAACAGAGATCATCGTATCTACCTCTTGGAGAAAGACTTCAAAGTCCCTGGCATCAGATGATTTCTTCATTGACAGGGATCCACCTTACTGTTCAATGGAATGACATGCAAGATACAGGCTACTCTCGCTAAAAAGTTGTTAGCCAGTATCCAAACGTCAATGTGCCAAAACTTATAAATGTATTTTGTATAAATTAAAACAGATTCAAGATTATTCCTATTATAACCCCATTTATATTTTCTTCCCTGCCTTCTTTAGAAGGTAACAAAAGAGTAGCTCTAGAGATAGCCATTAAATTACTCTTAGTAACCAGTTTATGTTGTATGGCATATGGGGCCATGTCATGGTCTACCAGAGGTCAATATAGCAGAGCGATACTCCTTCCCAACAGAGCCTTAACAGCTGGTTCTGCAGGCAGGCTAGGACAAATAAGTTCCCAAAAGACAAATAGTTTCAGATGTCAGAAAAGTTGCTTCAAGTTCTTAAAGCAGCAGCTCGCGTTGGCAAGAACTGCCCTCTTCTGGAACAAGGAAAGGAAAACTAGCATACTTCCTCTTTCTTATGCAGACACAAGCAGCTACATTTGCAACTGGCTTCAGCTCTAAATTCAGTACAACTAAATTGTCTTAAAATTTGTTTAAAAGAATCACCTTGCCCTGGAGGAAGGTAACTTGTTCTTCACACAATCCCACCGCTGCAGCCGGTTAGTGGTTTTCAGGCAGGTTCTAACTCCAATATAACCTGAGGGAAAACTGCCTACCTGGAGAGGTCACCATTGCCTAGTACGTGACTGTTTGTGCCCACAAGTGGGGAAGCCACAGTAGTGTGGGGCTGGGGTGTCCGCCCATTGCTGATTTAGATCCACTACCAGCACTGAGACCAGGAGTAGAGATTTCCCCCTCTCAGTAAAGCAACCTCCTGTGAAATAAGCAAAATCAAAAGCCAAATACAGGATTGCCACTGAGGATGGTTTTGATCTGCCTTGAAGAATCTTGAGGAAGCTTGAGCATAAAGGAAAACCCCCAAAATTGTAAAAGAATAGGTAAAAGACAAATTTAATAAAAAACAACTTATGCCTTAAAGCAGTTTTCCTGTGCATCCATAAACACTAAATAGAGAATCTTCTTTAAAAAAAAAAGAAAAAGATGCTACTTTCAGGTTGATTCATGAATATCATGTATCTGTTTTTTAAAACTTAATTAGTTTAATATGTTTTTAAAATTAGGTAATATAGTCACATTCTCCAAATTCAAAAGGTTTCATTTGCATACCCATGTTCATAGCAGCATTATTCACAGTAGCCAAGACGGAGAAGCAACTCAGGTGTCCATCCATGGATGAATGGATAAACAAAACGTGGTCTACACATACAATGGAACATTATTCAGCTTTAAAAAGGAAGGAAATTCTGGCACATGCTACAACATGGATGAATCATGAAGACATTATGTTAAATGAAATTAGCCAGAAACAAAACGACAAACACTGTACGATTCTACTTGTGTGAGGTCCCTAGAGTGGTCAAATTCATAAGAAAAAGAAAATAGAATGGGGGTTACCAGGGGCTGGTGTGGAGAGGAATGGGAGTGGTATTTTAATGGGCAGAGTTTAAGTTCTAAAGATCTGATACACAGCAATGCAAAGGTATTTAACACTACTGAACTGTATACTTAAAAGTGGCTAAGATGATTTGAGTTGTTTTTTTTTTCTGAGATGGAGTCTTGCTCTGTCGCCCAGGCTGGAATGCAGTGGTGTGATCTCGGCTCACTGCAACCTCCAACTCCCGGGTTCAAGCAATTCTCCTGCCTCAGCCTCCTGAATAGCTGGGATTACAGGCACGTGCCACCATGCCCAGCTAATTTTTGTATTTTTAGTAGAGACAGGGTTTCACCACATTGGCCAGGCTGGTCTCCTGATCTCACGATCCGCCCGCCTCAGCCTCCCAAAGTGCTAGGATTACAGGTGTGAGCCACTGCACCCAGCCGATGATTTGAAATTTTTACATTAAACTTAACTTTAACTTCCCTGTATGTTAAATGTATTTTCTTGTTATTAAATGGATTAATAAGGCACAGAAATGAGTATAAAAATGATTAAGGTGGTTAAAAAATTCAAAAAGTTCCAAGGCATGCATAGTGAAAGTCCCTTTTCTACCATTATCCCTCACCTACCCGCTTTCCTCCCCACAGGCAAATCTGTGTTACAAATTTTTTGTGAGATTTTGTATTTTCAAGTGAATATAATCTTTTTCTTTCTTTTTTTTAACACAAACAGTAAAGTGCTATATACACTTCCTGCATTTATAAATGTCTTTGTGAGGATTCCATACATTAGATAATGAACTTCATTATTTCTTGCCTACATAGCTTATGGTTTGTATGTGCCACGTGCATAAAAACATTCCCCTAAGGATGCACATTTAGATTATTTCCAATTTTGTTATTACGAGCAATGCTGAAATTAATATGTGCCGGTGTGCTTGTGGAACAAATCCCTAGAAGTGAAAATTCCGGAGTCCAGGCTGTCTACTTTGCAATTTTATGGCTACTACACCTAAGACTCTCCATAAAGGTCAGAGCGATTTACACTCCCACCCACAGGTATCAGAGTTCCTGTTTCCCCACACCTCAGTGTGTTTGTTTTCTTAGTGCATTTAAGTTAGAAAAGAAATGGGGAGGGATACAGAATAAAGCGTTATCTAGAACTGTCTCCCGGGCATCATTCCACCTGAGTGCTTAGAAAGTGCCTAGCAAATGTGGCCTGACCTTTTGATGGGACACAACTGGGCAAGTGACAGGGCTCACTAGAGGTAGTGACACACCCCTGGCCACCCCAACACACCTTTCTTATTTAATTCGTTCTCAGCTTAGCACCACAGACCAACCCCAACTCTGACTGACCTGCTCAGGGTGGTAACCGGAAAGTTAAACAACTTTGGTTTTCCTGAAGATCGACAAATCATTCTCCAGTCTCACAAAGTTCCCTGCACAAATGAACCGGCTTTGAAAGCCACTAGCGTACTTGATAAGCAGGTCCCAAAAGATCCAGAAAACACTTCGGGGTTTTTCACTGACCTGCACCATAAAAAAACTCTGAGAACACCTTGAATGCCCCCACTCCATCCCTAATGGGGCAAAACTTCTTTTAAATAAATTGTTTGAATAACACAGTGATATACTGTACATGTATTTCATTGTGTTGTTATTTTTATCGACTCTAAAAATGATTCAAACTTTTTGAAATCCTTGGAGAATATCATAATTGCTTATGTCTCCATTACACAAAATAATTGTTATTCCATACTTAAATATATTTTCCTAGCCTTTCCAGTAACACCTACCACCATATATCCGTCAAGGCATATTTACAATCTATTTCCATTTCGGTCTCCTTTTCAGCCTTAAGTACTCACAAGCATTAACTGGTATAAAAATCAGCTTCACTGAGGTGTAATGTACATGCAATAAAAGACTCCCATTTTAAGAGCACAGCTCCACAATTTTGCCATATGGAGATACACGTGTAACCACCGTGACTGGGTTCTTTAAAAGGAAACAGCTACGTTCTCCGGCTACGTCCGTTTCACAGGCACATGCAGATCCTATCCTAGCCCTGCAAGGCAAGAACTATCCGCAGAGCTCCACCACAAGTGCTTCCAGCGCCCAGGAGTTTATGATGAAGACAAGCCATATTCTATACTGCATTTCCACACAACCACAATTGTCTAGGAGTGTTCTTCTCACATCTAATATCTGCTCACCTTCACTAACACAGAGTTAAAAGGTCATGGTCTTTTTTTTCTTTTTTTTTTTTGCTTTTCAGAAATTTGGACACAGTCATACTCCATCTTGCTTTCATCCACTCAGTGACTTCTCCAGCCTAAAAGCCCTGCTTTCCTCCAGTGGTTCCCTGAAGTTTCCAGAACCCTCTTCCATCCTGCCCACCGTTCCCCTAGGGCTCTCCAGTTTGCTTCTTAAAGGACACACGCAGCCATTCTGTGTGGTTGGACCCAGGCAGGGCAGAGTCCTGGGGCAATTACCACCAAGATCCCTACGCAAATATTTGCTAAGTGCCCAACATGTGCCAGGCACTTAAAAATGAGTAAGACTCTGTACCTGCCCTCAGTAAGGTCACATAATTCCATTCATGCAGCCTAATTAATGATTTTAACATTTGTCTTAGGGTCGTAGCTCATATGGAACTTGGAGTGAATTAAAGTTCACATACATTGCAGTCAGGCCACACTTATTTCTTCCAACCTAAGTTCAGGGCTTTACAGAGGCCCCTGTTAACTTTTATTATTTATTATTGTTTTGATTTTTGCCCTATTCACATAACCAACATAAGAACTATGGCAAGATATTGTTAAAACTACAGCAGTTACATAGAAAAAAAAAGTGTTCTCTTGTTTCTCCTCATTGAAATTAAAAACAGTTTCTGAGTTAAGGTTAATTAGTCTGTATAGTTTTACCTATTGTGACAAATATATTATTTAAATCAAAGGCCAGGTTGCATTGTATTATTTCATGGTACTACACAACATATTAGTAAAGCAGAGTATATCCTTTCTTTTTCTTTTTCTTTTTTTGAGACAGGGTCTTTGCTCTGTTCTCCAGGTAGGAGTACAGTGGTGCAATCACGGCTCACTGCAGCCTCAACCTCCCTGACTCAAGCGATCCTCCCACCTCAGCCTCCTGAGTTGCTGGAGTTATAGGCATGCATTACCATGCCCAGTTAATTTTTTTTTTTTTTTTTTTTTAGAGATGTGGTCTCACTATGTTGTCCAGGTTGGTCTCAAACTCCCGAGCTCAAGCAATCCTCCCACCTCAGCCTCCCAAAGGGTGGGATTACAGGTGTGAGCCACTGCACCTGGCCTCTTTTTCTTTGTCTTTCTTTTTTTTCCTATAAAATGGTCAATATTTCTTTTTTTAAAAAATTGCTGGTTCTTTTCCTGACAAACTCCTACTCACCCTTCAAGACCAAATGAAGCTGGCAGCACTTAAATGACTACTTCCAGAATCTCAGCAGAGGGAAGAATGATGCTGCTTCTCCTTTGCTCTCAGCTGCTTCTCCTCTGCTGTTTCTTCTTTGTTCTCAGCTCATTACCAAACCACAACGATGGGTAATGCACCCATTTTCACATTGAGTGTCCAACAATCTGCGTTCACTGGGGACTGTCCCAGGTTTACCACGAACAATCCCACATTCTGGGAAAACCCTCAGTCCTGGGCACACCAGCAAAATTGGTAACTCTACATGACAGTGAGTGGCTATTCAATAAAATAACCATCATTTATGAAGGGCTAAAGCCAAATTCTTCAAAAGTATTACCTTACTTTTCTAATTTAAGGCAACACTAAAAATTGTTATGATGATCCCATTTTACAGAAAAAGAGGTGAGACCGAGAGAGGTAAGTAACTTGCCCAAGATGACACGAGGCTCCTGGAACTGAATCTAGGTTTGCCCAACTTTAAAACCCTGTGCTCCTCCCACCACACTGTCTGGCCATCTTAGGGCTCAGTGGCAACTCCTCAGAAAGCTGGGGTCAGTTCTCATCTTCCCTCCATGACTCAGGGTCAGCTACTATGTGATGCTGGTCCTCACTAAAGCTGCCAGGCAGGTAGGAGAGCCCAAGTGATGGGAAGAACATATAAAAAGCACATTCACATGCACTGGTTTTTTTTTTTTTTTTTTTTTTTTTTGAGAGAGGGTCTCACTCTGTCACCCAGGCTGGAGTGCAGTGGCCTCGGGCTCATGTGAGCCTCCTACCTCAGCTTCCAAAGCTGGGACTACAGGCATGCCACCCCAAGCCTGGCTAATTTTTTAAAATGATTTGTAGGGATGGGGTCTCACTATGTTGCCCAGGCTGACCTCGAACTCCTGGCCTCAAATGATCCTCCTGCCTCAGCCTCCCAAAGTGCTGGGATTACAGGCATGAGCCTCTGCGCCTGGCCACATGCACTGCTTTTAATTTCAGTTGCTTTTATGTAAGTGCCACCTGCATAACACGCTGAAGCTATGAATGCCAACAAGTTCAACATGCCCTGTGTTCCCTCACAGAGAGCCGCACCTCTCCTAAAACACTTGGCTGGGTGCAGAAGAGAAAAACCACCCTCTAGGCCAGATTCAAAGGCTGTGGACTTCATAAGCTATCCGGGAAGAGCCCAGAGAAGGCAGGTGGCAGTTCTTGGCAGAGAGACGCACAGGGAGGTCAGCTTGCCATTTGCTGACATGGGAATTTGGGAAACATCACTTCATCAGCAACCTCTACATGGCATGGCTGACATTTCAAAATCTGAATACTGTGTGCATTCACATGGTATTTCGGTTTTTTGTTTGTTTGTTTTGAGACATACTCCCTCTGTCGCCAGGCCTGGAGTGCAGTGGAGCAATCTCACTCAACCTCCGCCTCCCGGGTTCAACCGATTCTCCTGCCTCAGCCTCCCAAGTAACTGGGACTATAAGCACACACCACCAAACCCAGCTAATTTTTGTATTTTTAGTAGAGATGCGGTTTCACCATGTTGGCCAGGAACTCCTGACCTTGTGATCCGCCTGCCTCGGCCTCCCAAAGTGCTGGGATTACAGGCGTGAGACACCGCGCCCGGCGGGTATTTCGTTTTTACACTGCTGGATGTAACTCATGACTTTTAACTTCTCTCTTTTCCTTAACCAAACACCAAATTCCCTCCAGGATTGTCGGGGTTACAAAGCAAACTCTCCCTGGACCAGTCCTTTTTTTTTTTTTTTTTTTTTTTTTTTGAGACGTAGTCTTGTTCTGTTACCAGGCTGGAGTGCAGTGGCGCGATCTCGGCTCACTGCAACTTCTGCCTCCCGGGTTCAAGCGATTCTCCTGCCTCAGCTTCCCCAGTAGCTGAGACTACAGGCGCGCGCCACCACGACCGCTAATTTTTTTTTTTTTTTTTGTATTTTAGTAGAGGCGGGGTTTCAACAGGTTGGCCAGGATTGTCTCGATCTCCTGGCCCAGTCCTCCCTATTTTAAGTCAGAGGCCCCAGAGGGCCCTGGAGAGGACCCCGTAAGCGCGCAAGGCCAGGGCGCCGCGCCCCGCCCCGCACTCCCGCCTGCGGGCTCCATTGTGTGGCCATGTCGCCGCGCTATCTCGCAAAAGTCGCGGCGAGGCTCGGCCGGGCCCCTCCTCCCCTGGGGGTGGCCGTCTGGCTCCCCCAAGAGGGGTGAGGGGGAGGGGAACACCAAGAGCCACAGACCGGGCCTCGGCGCCACTTTCAGGGTTAATCAGTTTGCCGGCGATGTGTATTTGGCTGCACCCCCGGGAACCTTCCCTGGCCACCCAGGGCCAGAGGACAATTTAAAAGCGCTTCAAAGCCTAGGCCCTTCTCGGAGCCAGCCCAAGACTGGAAACCTGGCAGGGGTAGCCTTTACTCTTCAAAGTGAGAACAAATGCAGAAGGATTTAGCACTTAGTAGGTGGTCAATAAACGCGAGCTTTGCTTCTCAAGCCTGGGCTTCCCCTCCCCCACAGGGTGGGCTCAATCCAAACTCACTCCTCCGTCTCTTCCCGAAATTCCAGAGGTCGTTTGCATTTTGAACTAGGGGTTGCCACTTCCCTTTCTCCCCCGGCCCGAGTACTCAGGCCCCTTCTCAGATCCCGCTGCGTTTATTTGTGAATCAGTGGAGGTTGAGACAGGTTTGCCGTCCCTCCCCGTCTGACATCCGATGGAAACACTGCATGGAACCTACCACAACGGTTATTTCCAACCCTGGCCCACGCGAGAAGAGGAGGCTCCACGCGTGCAAGCGACTGCAAAGTCTCCATTTAACTCGGGTGTCATGAACAAGCCCGTTTGAGGTCCCTATGTTCCCGGACACTGACCGGGCGTGTGCGCCCCCCCCCCCCGCTGCCCGCATGATGCGCCCACGCGCTCGGCCGGGTGGCACCCGCACAGTGCCGGCTCCTGTTCCGCGCATCTCCCCGGCGTCTCCTTTGTCCATCCCTCCTTTGTTCTCGGTGTGAGACCCCCGACGGGAAAATCATCAGCTACCCCGAGGGATCCTCCAGCTGGGCCGCCAAATGGCCCAGAAGGTCTGCGGTCCAAACCATTGTAATCAGTTCCCTGCGGAGGCCCGAGGGCGGGCGGGGAGGAAAGGGGCGCAGAAACTCAGCAATCTCCAGCACCTTCCACGAGGAAATCCCAGGCCGCTGCCCCCGGCTCTCCAGGGAGCCCGCTGTCCTCCCGCGTCACCCACAGCGCAGCGCGGCCACGGTCGATGTCTGGGATGGCGGGGAGGCCGCACTCCGACCCTGACACCATCTCAGAAGAGGCCCCGGCGGGCAGGCCCGGCCCCTTCCACAGAAGCCGGTCTTCTGGGGCTGTGATGTCGCCAGCCCCGCACTGGCTTCTGCCTTCCCTAGAAACTCGAGGTAGTGAAGCACCATCCCCAGCCCAACGAAGGCGTTGGTGGAAAAACAAGAGGCCCTCGACAGGGCTCAAGACGGCCCCTGCCCCGGCCCTCACGCGCCCCAGCCCTCGCGCTCCTACTCACCGAGATTGGGGTGTCGGGCGGCCGGGTTGGCCCGGCCGGGCAGGCTGTGCAGGACCGGGCTGTCGAAGGGGCCGGCGGAGGCGGCGGCGGCTGCGGCCCAGGACGCGCCCACGTCGGCCATGTAAGCCGGGTAGGGGCTGGAGTAGGAGCCCGCGAAGCCGGCGCGCCCGTACTGCTCGCGGCCCGCCAGGCCCGCACCCGCCGCTCCGCCGCCACTGCTGTAGGCCGCAGCTTCCCGGGCCGCGGCAGCGGCGGCGGCGGCCGCCAGGGACCCGGTGGTCCCCGGGAAGGAGAAGCGCGGCGACACCGGCGGCGGGGTGTAAGCGGCTCCGTCGGCTCCCGCCTGGCTCCATCCCGGGCTGCCCTGCTGGGTCCCGGGCCCCGCACCAGACGCGGCCCCACCGGAGCTGCCGCCCGAGGCGCCTCCGGACGCAGAGCCCGCGCCTCCGCCCTGGAGGTAGGACAGGCCCAGCACGGAGGAGGGCACCCGCGGTGTGGGCACGTAGACTGGCGAGGACGCGGCGCCCGCGCCGTGCATGAAGGCGCCGGGGCCGCCCGCCTCGTAGGCACCGGGGGGCGGCCCGTGGTTGGCGGCCATGGCCAAGCTCTGATACATGGTCCCTGCGAGCTCCCGGCTTCGGTGTCCTCTCTCTCCCTCGCAGGTCAAGGAGCCACGCGGGGAGAGAAAACGACGGCAACAACGATAATATGCGTGGGAGGAACTGTCGCGAAGATCAAAAATCAAAGGGGAAAAAACCAACTCGCTTAAAAATATATACGTATTAAATCCAGCATTGAGCAAAGGGCTCTAGGCTCTTGTTTACTCCGGAAAATCCCAATTTGAATTTTTGGTGGTTCCGGAAGCTGATGTAGGAGCAGCTGAATTCACCCCAGGGCCTGAAGGTCCGGCGCACCTATTGGGGGCAGAAGACGGAGGGCAGCGTCCAGGCCTGGAGGTGGCGCACGAGCCTTCGGGTCCCCCACTCGTCACACCGAGAGGCCTCCAGGACACCCGCGGCCACAGGCGCAGAAGCTGCTAGGCTGGCTCCTTCCTCCTCGCCGCAGCCGGGGTCCTAAAAGAGGAACGACAGAAAGAGAGAGGGTGGTTCATCCCAGAGCTTTCAGAACCCACTCTCCACTTGCGTGGTTGCTTCTTCCACGCTTCAAATGAAGTCGCCACGGGGATTTGGGGGTGCAGCTCCGGAGGCCGCGCGGTGCCGGGAAGCAGGGGCCTTTGTTTTGTCCAGGCGTTGGGTCAGGCGGCCCAGGCAAGCCTGGGGAGAGGCGCCCCAGGGACCAGGGGCTTCCCGGGTCTTTGGTGTGCAGTTATTGGTTGTGATCTTGGTCAATGATTTTTGTATTGCTTGTCAGGAAGGACTTTAATGTTACCTTATTCTGCAAGCATATTTTTGTAAGTCCAAAAGTTTGGCGTTAATGCAGAGTGCCTGGGACCCAAGAAATCTCTCATCTCCTCTGTTCCCCATCTCTCCCCAAGAAAGATGGGGAGACTGGCCTAGAAAGAACTTTAGATTGTCCTTGGGGGGACAAGGACAAACTTTACACAAAACAACAACCTAACAAAGTTTTGTTTGTAATTAAAAAAAAAAAAAACCAGAAGTAGAGTCCAAATGTTTATAAGTGAACAACGGTGTCTGCTAAGCCTCCTGAAGAGGGTTCTGAAACCCTCATCCATACACTAACCATGTGGACGTCAAATCGGACAAGTTACAGGTTTCTTGCAAATAGTTACAATTTAGACGTTTTGCAAATTGTATATCAGAACCAGAAAAGTGAGAAGAATGTACAATGCCGCTCTACAGAATAACCCACTGGACCATTCTAATTCACTGAATGGGTTCTTCATATAGAATAATAAATCCACCCATAAGCAGAATCATAACACCAAGGTGGGTGCTTGGGGAAAGAGCAGTTTGTGGAACTTGATTATATACTTCCCAGCATCCTGCGTTTTGTTATTATCAGGCAATTTTTCTGATAAAATAAGAGCTCCACTTTTTGAATTACCTGCTGTCTGAATTACCTCCAGGTCCTTTTCTCTACAACTCTACTAAGTACAGGTGTCTCTCCTCATTTTACAAGAGGGAACTGGAGCACTGGAAAGTTTTGAAACTTGTCTAAGATCAAAGTACAATCAGAAGGGGTGGGGGAAGGGAATGGGATCAGTAGGGCTCCAGGGGCTTGAAGCTGTCCACCACACTCCATTTCTCTCTTTAAGAAGAGGCAACTACTCCCGACAAAGTTTTCTTTTTTATTTCAATAGTAGATTTACAAGAATGTTAACTATATATGAATCCAGGCTCTGAGACTTACGGAATAAACACCTTTAGACAAATTACTTAGCCTCTCTGTGCCTTAGTTTCCTCATCTGCAAAATGCAGATATTAAAGGTACTTATTTTGTAGAGTCATCGTGAAGCTTAGGAGTGAGGATTATAAATTAATATTTGTAAAACACTTATAACAGATTTTTATAAAACTGTCCTAACAGGCAAAAAGAAAGTTCTAAATAACAGTTGACTATTACTACAGATTTCTAGTATAATACAAGAAAGTACCTCAAATGTATATACTATAATAAATGATCATCTTTATTACTGTAAAAATCTGGAAATGGAATCTTTAATACACACTACATAATGCTTTTCACCATTTTTTGCAACATCACTAGTAATAATAATGGAATAGTACTGTATTGTATTATATAGTCACATGGTAACTCCTAAAAGCTTATTTGCTTTCAAAATATGCAATAACTTATTGGTTTGGCAAATAGTTCATTCCAGCAAGTTTGGTTAGAGAATAGATTTTTTTAAAAATTGACCTGAGGTCACCAACTTTTCCCTTTGAAAATAAAGTTAAAGAATTATGGGTTTACCTTAATAAAAGATCCAGTATTTGACTTTTAAAATCAAGTAGCTGACCTATTTCATTGCATTTTCTGGAATACTCAACTCCTGCAGTTCTTCAAGATAATGTAATTTTTTTTCTTTCATAACTTTGGAAAAGAAAGGAGATTTAGAATTTTATAATCCAACTTCCAGTATACACACAGGTAGTAACTTGCAGACTTTAAAAGGTAAATGCAAAAAATGTCATCAATCTAATATTTGTCTTTATCACATTCTCTGCCTTTTCAAATGGCTGATATAGTGCCTGAGTTGGATTACTAGAACAACAGAAGGTGGAGAAAATACTCCTCTATAACTTTCTGGAAAAACAAGGAATTAGCTGCTCTTGGAAAACGCCTCTGGCTGGTTGTTGAAATTGAGCCTGGATCCTGCAGTTGGCGGAGAAAGCCCAGCAGCTCCCGAGGCTGCCAAAATCGGGGAGTTTTTGCTCTCCTTCTGATCACTTGTCCCAGTTCACCCCAAATTCGCAGGCCAACAGGAAATGCGCTCCCCTTTCAAGAATCAACCAATAGCCCTCTTCCGATCTATTTTTCAGAATGGGAGAATTGCAAGCGCCGAAAAGTCCCCGTCCCTTTATAGGACACTCCTCGCTGGCCTGGGTTTACGCCTCCGCTCTCGGCCTGCAGCGAGGAGGACGGTCGCACGCTAGCCGGCACAACCAAGCCGGCCGCAGCAGGGGAGGAGACACAGACGTGTGCGGAGCATCACCTCCACACCCCAGGCTTTCTTTAAAAGCCTGAAACCTGCTCTCGGTTGTCTTCCTTTTCTGGGAACACAGGAAACACTTCCCCGAGGCGCTTCCCCAACCTCCACGGTGCGGGCCGCGCTGCCCCAGGGATTCCATCGGCCGCGGGTCCCCCACCACGCTCTTTCCCCAGCCAAAAGGCCCCTCCTTTCCTCAACCTGGTGGCAGTCCGCGACCCCGGCACCCCCCTCTGCCCACGGTGACCCCTGAGCCCAAAGCCAAGCGACATAACCCGGCGGATCCGGGCAGCCCCGTGGCCGGCGGAGGGAAGTCACGGCTCCGGTCCGGGCTCGGGCCCTTGGCCAGTTTCAGGTAGAAGCAGCGCGGGCAGGTGGGGTGGTGAGCTTCCAGAGGAGCATTCAGTCCCTGGACCCCAGCCCCGAGGGCGAGGAGGCCGGCCAGAAAGGGCATGAATAGTTCCGCCACTCAGCAGCCTCTCCGCACCTCAGAGCGGCTCCCGGGGGCCCCTGAGGCCCAGCGGCGCTGCCTGGCACTGCCACCCTGCGTCCCCGGAGTCGCTGGTGGGCGACAAGCCTCCGTCTACTTCCCTCCATGTGCGAGCTGCCGTGCAGCCTGTCCCGGGCCCGTCAGTCCCGGTAACTTCACGCGGCCACCATCACCACCCAGGCCCCGGCCTGCGATATGCAAACAAGGGTTGGAGAATGTGCACACGGGGACAGGGATTGAAAGCGTTCAAGTTCACACGGAAAGAATCCAAAGGCGCTTCCAATATTTCTCTGTTTTGCCCCCAAGTCTTACTTTGACTTAAAGAAGTTGCTAAGGCAAAGTCAAAAGCAGAGCAGGGGTTGGGCAATTTCGGTGAAGTGAGTAGCGCACGTCTCTTTTCCTCCCACTAGCTACCTCTCTACCTCCAGACAAGCAAAGGCGGAGAAGCTCCGAGTTTGGGGGACCGCGGGAAGGAGCAAAGAAAGGGAAGAAAAAAGCCCTACCTGCTGGGCCTGGAGGTTCCGCGCACGCTCCCCTGGGAGCCCCCGGAGCTGCAGCGGCGACGAAGCCTCTCGCGGCCCCTGCGCCGGCCGCCTCCAAGTCCCCAGCTCGCGGCTCGGGTCCCCGGCCCAGCAACTCGGCCCTAGGGCGCTGACTGGCCTGTGGGAGTCACGTGCAAGGGCGGGGCGGGGGTGCGCGGCCCCGGCTACACCTCCGCTGGGCGCAGGCTGCGGGACTGTGCGGAAAGCTCCCCCAGCAGGCAAAGTCCAGGCTCTGGGGTCTCCGCGGAAAATGCCCAAGTGCTACCGCCAGGGAGCGGGGAATCACCCGCAACCCAGCCGGAGGTCGATTGGGTTCGCTGTGGTGCCCAGGGTCAGCTTTATTAATGAGTTCCCTTTCTCCCTCCCCGCCCCCCCTTCCTGTGGTCCTCATCCCGCAGCGGCGGGCGAGGGGCGGGGCCAGTAGAGAAGAAGGTGACCTCTTGGGCTCAACTCTCGATCTTGTGTGGGGCACTGGGTCACCCGGGGTGCCCGGCTGGATGCTAGTTCCTGGGCAGGGGTAGTGGGGATCCTCCCAGCCCCGGATTCCTTGGAGGTTCAGGAGACACCCAGACTGCCTCCTAAAATCAGAGCGTAGAGACCGAAGCCTCCCTTTTGCCTTCCCAAAATCCCAGGGAGATGGTCGGGAGCCCAGGCCTCAGCCTCAATTTTATGTATTTATGCAATCTGCATCCCTTCCTGGCGACACTTCCCATCTCCTGTGGCCTCCTCTCTTCTAATCTTTCCCCCTTTTTTCTGCAGCCTGCGGCGGCTCTGCACCAATCCAAGGGACGTGGCAAGGGCTGGGGAGCCAGGCGGTCCAGGGGAGCTTCTTCATGGAGGGGGCTCTTCCAGGGTATGGGGGAGGGGAATGTGTCAGGCCTGAGTTGGGAGTCGGCGTCAGAGCCTGGAGGCCCCAGCGCAGCGGGGCTGCGAGCCGGAGAGTCCCTCAGACAGGTCTAAAGGTTAATAGAGCAATCACAGGGCCCTATTACCGCGTAAAAATAACCCATCGATTACCGCAGCCTTCAGCCCCAGATAACAGCCGGCGGGTGGCTCTCACGCTTTCGGTTAAACTTTTTTTTTTTTTTAAGGCCGCGTTTTTCTCTCCAGCACGGGCTTCTCAAGCCAGATTAGAGGGATGGGGGAAGGGGTCGGGATAACACCCTGCACGAAACCCGTGCTGCTCCGAAAGCAGGCTGGGAACGCCACCCGCTTCCGTAGTAGGAAATCAATCGTGGATTCCCAGCCTGAGTGAAGGCAACCCGGGGGTTAAGGACGAGGCCAGGACGCGGGGCTGGGTAGAAGGAAACCCCCCATGGGATCGTGGCCAACTCCTGGGGATTCTCAGGAAAATCCCAGAGGAAGAAACGAGCGCGGCTGCGCGGGGAATTCTCTTCCCTGAATGAGAGGTGCGGAGGTTCACTGGGGCGCAAACAGAGGAAAGGAAACTGAGGCTGCCTGGGGCGCCGAGCGGCGAAAGGCCTGCGCACAGGCTGGACGCACGGCAGCCGCCCCTCTAGACCCCGGCGGGCCTGCATCCCGGAAGCTGGGGGCGACACACTTAGGGTTTCTTCTCCGACTTCCCCCAATTCCTAGCCTGCTACTTAGCAGAATTGGCGCCACGGACCCGAAACGTGGGAACTTAAGGCTGAAGGGGTGCTGGGGATCTCGGAGGCCGGCGCTGCGGAAAAGCGGTCTCCGGAGCACGCTCCAATCTGCGATCCTTCGGACTCAGCGGAGAAGGAAGCAGACTCCCTGCTCCCGGTTTGAAACCGGCAATCATCTTCGTGGGGGGCGAGCGAGAGAGGCGCGAAGCCAAGGCCTGCGGCAGGGACCTGCAAGGCCTTCCTGGAGAGTGGAAAATCTGGGCTTGGGCGAGCGGGAAGCTATCCCGGCCTTTCTTTTCTCGGAGGAAATCTGTGGCTCCAGCGCTACCCGGGGTCTCAGAGCTGCCTCCCACGCGCGACCCTTAAAGGGCGAAAAGGGCTGAGTCTGGACCGGGCAGTGAATTTTCTTAGCAACAAGCCAGGGGCTTGGGGCTTAGTGTCTGGCGGGGTGCCATCTGACGTCCTCCCCACAGCCAAGGACACAGGCGGCGCTCCTACGCCGGCTTCTCCTAGTAGTGCGGGATGGGCTGCAGCGGGAGGTGCGGTGCCTTGCGGCGATCCTTCACCCTCGCCCTCCCCATCCTCCCTAAACTTCAACCCCCTGCTCTGTACACTGGTGGGGCTATAACAGGCTGTGCTGTGGATGGTGGGGCTATAACAGGCTGTACTGTGGATGGCCGCTGCCACACCGCTGGGTGGGAACGCCTGCTTTTGCTGGGTGCTTGCTTGCAAGGAACCCCAGATTACCTGAGCCGCCGCTTTCTGCCAACCCTGGGCCACCCCTACCACCTCCCACCACCCCCACCACCCCGGTCCTTTACCCACACCTTCCGCTGGCACTCCTAGTGGACTGAAACCTGGGATCCCCTGACCCAGGAATATTCGCTGTCTCTGGAAGTCGCCTGGGACAGAGAAAATTATGTTTCTTGTGGCTTTTTCCTCTAGGTCCAGCGCCCCAACTTTCTCCCCAAGGCCTCAGCTCAAGGACAAACCAGGGGTGGTTGGCAAACGGCCTGCTTTTTTGGGGGTGTTTCCTTTTCCCTCCTTTCCTCCTTCGCTCTCCGCTCGCCCCCTCCCTCCCTTGGGCCAAGCGGGAGCCTGCAGGTTGGCTGTGCGTTGCCAGGAGCGGGGAGCATTTCAAGGCCTCGCTGGGCCGCCGGCTGGAGGAGGTTTATCGGCGCCTCTCTAGGTTCCCAGGCTTCTCTCTCGCTCCAGAGGCCGCTGGGAAGGGGGGCAGCGGGTGGGTGCTCTGAGGTCCGGCCTCTTGGCTATTTTTAAGGAAGATATGCCTGGGCTGGCCTGGGTAGACAGGCCCAATCCCCATTCAAGTCCTCTCTCGGGTTTCCTTTCCCGTAGTCTAGGAGGAGAATTTAACACTGTGAACGTCTTTGACTTTTTTTTTTTTTTTTCTAAGAACCTGGGTCTAATGACCCAGTGTCAGGTCGTCAGATTTTAGACAAACAAGAATTACTTAGGTGTACTGTACTCTTTTAAAAAATATCTCCAAGGCAAGAATAAATTGCTTTACCCTGTTCCATTAAGGCTCTTGGGACTTGAGCTGGTCCATACCCCAGAAGAGGCAAATTGTACGCTGCGTATTGTGTACAGAGCAATCTAAACACTGGTTCCCCCCAAAAATAAAAATAAACGGTGGATGCTGGAATTCACAGTGAAGCCACTGATGGTTTTCCAGCGCCGAGTTTCTGCGAGTTTTTGGTGGGACCTGTCCAAGTTTGTTTTAAACCAAGTGCCACGCCTGGGTCCATGATCTTGGCCGCTACACCCGGAACAAAAGCAACATCTGAAAAAATCTGGCGCCACCAAGGTCGCCAGAGTCTTATAATGGAAAACAAGAAACCCCAGAGAGAATCAAACCTCATTCTATGGAACGAATTCCTCCAAGATATGGACGCGCCTCTGCGGCCCTGCCGCGAGGGATCCGGACAGACATTCAAGGTGACCCGCGCAGAACGAATGCCGAGTCCTGCAACACGGCCCTTGGATTCCCCCGCTGGGCCTGGGCGCCGGTCTGCGATACTCCTTCCCTGCGCGGCACTCGGTCCTCACCCGCACGGGCAGCCTGCCCTGCACGAGCCTCCGCGGGCGCAGCGCCGAGAACCAGGGTGCAGAGCAGGATGCGTCCCTGCTGAAGGAAAAATGGAGAACGAATTCAGCTGCAAGGCCACGTCGACCTACCTTCCTTCACTTGCTATGGTCCGTGCCTCGGACACTCTTTCTTGGGGATACGGAGTGGACGTAGAGCCTCCGCCCTGTTCGCCCGGAACCGTGCTCTGCAGCCGGTTACAGACGAGAGGAGAGGAAGGAGCAATCCTTGTTAATGGTCTTGCTTTCGAAATTACTACTCTGGGTTGCAAAGCGAATACATCTTCTCCCTCGTAGACCTCCTCAAATGCTTCCTGGTGCTTCCAGCCCTGAGGACCAGAGTTTCTGGCACACCCTCTCATATTTTATAGTCACTTCCAGATTACAGAACACTTTCAAATCTCATTTTTCTCTAGGGAACAACAATATCATTAGCAAGAGGAAGGGAAAGACGGTGTTATCGCCCTCACCTTAGAAACCAGCACATGGAGGCTCAGAGAGGTTAAGGTACTTGTCTGAGGTGGCAAAGCAAGGGCGAAACTGCAGGTCTAGAACCTGGATTCCTGAATCTTAGTTCTTTTTTTTCCATTCTATTTAATATCGACTTTCTACCATGAAAACGTATTTTTAAAAACTGTCTTTTAAAAATTGTTCTGAGTTTCCTTTAATGAGCATGTTTAACATTTAAAAAATAAAATCAATGTTTAAAAAAGTTTATATCTCATAATCTGAGAGCCCACAGGAAGAGGGAAAAAAGTGGAAAGGAATCTCTGAACATTTTTGCTGAGTTCAGGACGGACACCATAGCCTTTTTGAATAGGGAGGGGCTCTTCAGGTCCAGCGTAGCTGAGGCTAGGACTGAAGCCTGGTCCAGTGCCTGCAAGTCCAGGCAGGGGCCCCAGCAGGTTGAGGAGCGCCAGCGCTGGAGGCGCAGTGGCCACGCAGGCGCCGCCATGTATGTTTCTTTTCCTGCTGCCAACCTGGCTCCCTCTCTCCCTCCCCATCCAAGGACCTGGAGACAATGGCAGCCTGAAAGAGCTGCTAACACCTACTGCCCAGGCCACCCACCACCCAGAACATAGGGAGTCTGGTTCCCAGACTGGAGGTTCTTTGAGTCTGTAAGGGGCCCTTTCTTCGGGGATTGCCTCCTCTGAGATCTCTCTTGGTGACACAGGCCCCAATTCTTTCACATATGGGGCTTTGCTACTCCCCAGTTAGAGACTTTTGAAGTCACAGTGTTGTTTGTGCTGAGCCCAGAGCAAGACCAGGGTTAACATCCCTGGACTAGTAAAATGATCTTGTGCTTTATTCACTTGTCCATGCCCCCTGAAGTTATAAAGTAATTTATATGGGGTTGGCTGTCCACACACATGCACCGATCACCTCCCTTCTACACCCCCAAAAGGTATGCTCTGTGAATGCAGTGATCAAAATCCTGGTCTGCCCAAAGCAAGGATTACAGTAGGTGCTCAATAAGTGTTGGGTGAATGATTAAAATTTTAAAAAGGGCTGTTAATAACATCCATCAAAGTTGCTCGGAGATGGAGAATGAAACATTCCCCTCAAGGGACCTGGTGCACTGGTGGGCAGGACTGCCATTTCTCAGAGTAGAATACTGGCCAGAAGTGGAGGGAGGGGCCCAGCCTGGGTGGCACAAATCTCCCTGGTGGCTTCATCTGCCTGTGGAGCTGCTATCGCCTACAAACCACCAGCTCAAATCTAGGCTGCTCCTAAGGACACCCCGGGGTCCCCAGGTCCTGGGGACTGCAGGAAGAAGGGACTTCCCTGTGCACAGCCAGGATTTGGGAAGTTGAGCTGGGAACCTGGCCAGATGCTTAGGCTGTTAGACTGGCGAGGGAGTCCCCGGGCCTCCGGGGATGAAGGCTGACCAGAAGCCAGGGGCACCCTTTCTGAGGCATAGGGAGCCCAACCCATAAATCCTGGAAGGATGGAGAGACCAAGTCAGCCGGATAGAGGAAAAAATGCAGGGTGAGGAGTGGAGGAGGAGAAACAAGAGAAGGGAGAGAAAAGCGAGAGAGACAGAGGAGGACAGGCAGAGACCAGGGCAGAGAGAAATGACTGGCCAGCAGCAGAGAGGGAGAGATGGGGATTCATTCACTCATGCATTCACTCACTCACCCACTCATTCATTTCCCATTGACTGAGCACCTTCTCTGTGCCAGGAATACTACAGGCATGAGTACTCAGCATGGAACAAAGTAGAGAAGAATTCTATCCTAAGCAGCTTACATGCTGTAAGAGAAAAACGGACAATAAGTAAGTCAAATACAGTGTTGAATGATGAAATATTATGGAAAAACCAAAGCAGGCAATGGACGGGCAGAGAGAGCAGAGACAGAGAAAGGAGAGAGACCACAGACCCTGGGAAGTTAAGGCGAGCTGGGAGTCAAGAGACTTGGCGACGCAGAGAGAGGCCAGGACCTCCTGGGAGAGGACGGACGCCAGAAAGCGGCCGGGCCTGGGTGGGAGGAGAGAGAACCCGACCGGGACGAGGTCAACCCAGAGTCCAGGGCTCCTCTTGCCCAGCTCCCGGGGAGGACAGTGGTTATGGTAGGGACACCCGCGGCTGGAGCGCCGCCAGGCCCAAGACCTCAACGCGCACATCAGGGGACTGGTGGGTCCCCCAGAGATCTGGCATTCCCTGAGCCAGCTCGGCCCGTTTCCGCAAAGGCCGCTCCCTCCTCCGCCCCGTGGTGGCCGGAACGCCCCACCGGCCCGGCACCCTTGCCCTCGCCCCGAGGTGACCCGGAGTTGGAGAAGACGCCCAGGCAGGCGCCGCGACCTGGCGCGGCGAGCAGAGACAGGAAAGTGTCAAGGAAGCGCGAAGCCCAAGTGCGAAAACAGCCTCTGGTCCGCAGGCGCGAAGACCCGGGGTCCTCTGAAAGGGGGGCTGTGCTGGGGCCGGAGGCCCGGCCGTCCGGCCATCCTCGGCGCAGGCGAGGACCCCTTCAGACAGACCAGGCTTCCCTGGCGGTGGAGGGGAAAGTGGCCTCCACGACCACCTCTCCCTCCCCAACTGCAGCAGGTGCCCACCGAGAGCGCTGCTCCCCTCCGAACACCGCTTCCCCAGCTGGGAGGTTCCTATTGTTAGAAATCATCGGTTTCTTGTAACAACAGTCTCAAGAAAGGGGAGGCACGGAGCTTGGAATAGCTAGATAGTCCTTGTTCTGTCAAAGGGTGTTCACTGTGTTCTGAACGGAATGGATTTTAAAGAAGAACCTCCCACTCCATTTCTTTGCGGCTGGTTTCCACTCATCCCCCTCGTTAGTCCTGTGCGTGTGTTTGACAGAAGGACAGGGGCTCTCCGGTTAGAGTGGGACTTCTGGTGCTGCCCCCTGTTCTGCAGCAGAGGTGCTAATGAACAGCAAGTTGCCAAAGGGCAAGGAAGTGAAGAGAGAAAATCCAAGGTGCAAAGGGGCGCAGTGAAATGGAGCCCTCCGCACCTAGGTGGAGGGCACTGGCAGGATGTCACTCAGGAAGGTGCAGAGCTATCCCGACCTCATCGCCTCCTCCCTCCCCTATTTCACACCATCTCCCCGGGGGGCCTCCGCCAGTGAGGGGCAAAGTCCACCCCTCCCCCAGGAAGTCTCTGCAGATGCCCAGTTCCAGGGGCCCACACTCTCCCTGAGCAGATGGGTAGGCTCAGGGGCTGGTGGGCTCAGAACAGGTAGAGTAAATGAAAGACTTACTTGCCACCTCAGTTTCTCAATCACCCTGTGAGCACTCTGTCTTTGCTGCACCTCTGAAGCTCTGAATTCATATCTTTCTTTCCACACGTCCAATGCAGATGCACACACCCCTCCATACACCACTTTTTGTCAGGGATTGTGACGTCCTCACCCCAGTCTTTGAACATGCCCCAGCAGATATACTATTTGCAATGAGCTTCAGGACAAGAAGAGCTAAATATAAGTTGTGTTTTAAACTTTAAACTCTAAAGTAGTATTGTTGTTATTTTCAAAACCTACAGCTTTATTCATAATTGCCCCAAACGGGAAACCACTCAAATGATCCTTAAGCAGGGGAATAGGTAAACTGAGGTACATCCATACAATGGAATACTACTCAGTAACAAACAGGAATGAACAACAAACACCCAGCAACACTAATGAATCTCGAATGCATTCAGCTAAGTAAAAGAATATTCAAAAGATGATAGACAAAATCCATTTTCTATGACATTCTGAAGAAGACAGAACAATAGGGGCTGAAAACAGATCAGAGGTTGCCAGGGGCTGAGGAGGGGGAAGAGTTGACTGTAGAGGGGGAGGAAGAAATTTGGAGGGGCGCTGGGACTATTCTCATATCTTGTGATGGTGGTCACACAATTTGTGTGTATGTCAAGACTCTGAAAACTGTACACTAAAAGGAGTGAATTTACTGTATATAAGTTGCACTTCAATAAATCTGGCTTTGAAAAAAGCAGAAGGAAAAAGAGCACAGGTGGAGCAGGATAAGACTCTTCAGCTCCCATTCTCTCCAGCCCCATCCTGTCTTTAGTGCGAGTCCACATCCCTGGTACACGTTTGACTCCCATCTAAAATATGTTAGAAAAGTGATTTCTATACAAAAGAAAGCCTTGCATTTCTTTTTAAAGGATCATTTTTCAAGGTTGGTCCTCCCTATTGCTCATCCTCAGTCCACAGGAATGGCCACAGTGGTCCATCCTGGGTACAGCTCCAGTGCCTATCTTGAGCATGTATGGCACAAACATACGAGCGCCGGTGCACTCATGTTTTTGGGCAGGCTGCAGGAAGGGTGACGTCAGAGTGAGGGTTATCCTCCTCTCACATCCTGAAGGTCTTGAAGCCAAACAGCAGAAGCTCAGGGATTGCTAAGTCCCTTTCAACAACCTGATGGCTGCCTGGGAGAGGGTGATGGGAAGCGGAGAGAACCAGTCAGTCCTTGGAAACTGAGTTTGGTCCAGGTGTTCCCCTGAGGCAAGGGTAAGCCAAGGACTGGCCTTGAAAGAGAAACGCTTTGGCCCCTTGAGCGTAGGACTGTATTTCTGAATGGACTAAGGGAAAAGCAGTCAGTGAAACATGGCCTTTTCTGTACAAGATGATATCGTTCTGCAGAACCCATTACTCTGGCTCTTATTTATTTTATTTATTTTTTTTTTGAGATGGAGTTTCACTCTTGGTGCCCAGGCTGGAGTGCAAAGGCGCGATCTTGGCTCACCGCAACCTCTGCCTCCCGGGTTCAAGCCATTCTCCTGCCTCAGCCTCCCAAGTTGCTGGGATTACAGGCATGTGCCACCATGCCCGGCTAATTTTTGTATTTTTAATAGAGACGGGGTTTCTCCATGTTGGTCAGGCTGGTCTCGAACTCCCAGCCTCAGGTGATCCACCCCTCTCGGCCTCCCAAAGTGCTGGGATTAAAGGAGTGAGCCACCGCGCCCCCAGCCTCTGGCTGTCATTCTTAAGTCAATTTCCATTACGCTCAGTTGCAGGTCACGATGTTCACATGGATGGGCTACCATCAGGGCGCAAGGTAGCAGGATGAAAGTGCTCTGTGCCAGATAAAACCACACTCTGGACTTGTATATACAGCAATTATAGTCTAGTGGACATCACACAAGAGCCCAAAGCCACTGACTGCCTGGGCCACAGGATGTCTTTGCTACCCTTGCTCTTCAATAAAAGTGAGGTGTGTGTGTGAGTGAGAGAGAGACAGAGAGAGAGAGAGGAGAGAGATTGTTTCTACCTCTTCCCAGAGTTCTTGATAATATGATTGTTTCTAACTCCAGTCATACCTCTGTGATCATGGAAGAAAAATGGATGTTAAGACTGGCAGACACCCACTGGTCACTGATTTTAATTTCGTCATTTGAATTTGAATTTAAAATCCAACACCACCAACACTAAGAAAACAACACCATGAACAAAAACAAAACAATCCCCCACAAAATATTGTGTTTCCTCTTAGGAACAAAGCAGACAGTTTGGCTTCCATGATCTTCTCTGTCCCTCACCCTGGGAGAGCTTGCTAATTAAGCAGCAGAGGAACCAAAAGGTGGCAAGGGAAAGAAGTGATGAGGATGCAGTCCACGGCTCGGAGAGCTGGTGGCAGCGCAATGTTCTGGGGGAAGAAAAGAAAGGATCCCTGAGGGCCACGCCAGCTCTGACCTTACAGAGGAAGGCCTTGAGTGAAACAGGCAACGGTTCAATGGGGCAATGCTGGGAGCCTCAGTCTCCCTCTTATGAAATGAGATTGGACACCTGATCTGTGAGTTCTTTCAGCCTACAAGCCCTCTGATCCAGAATTATTCGAATTCCCTCATAAGAGCTACAATTCACAAAGCAAACATTTATTGAATGTTTACTATGTGCCAGGCATCATGCAAACTTGTAGATACAAGGATGAACACAAGTTTCTACCCGCAAACCGGAGAACAAAAGCGTCCTGCAGACAGGAGCAGGAGTGAGCGCTGGCAGACACGAGCAGGAAGGGGGACCCACGGCACCTCCTTGGGGAAAAGGGCAGGTGGGAGACGACCTAAATGAATTCAAGGAACACATTGCTTTTAATGTAGAGGTGTTCCCCCCTCTCTTTTACCTAGTACTCTTTCTGGACCTCAACACACACACACATGCACACACATGCACACACACGCACACACAGGCTGTGGCCTGAGTTGGGGGACAGAATGCCTGCGGACTCTGTGCTGTTCATGCACTGACACCCACACCCATAACCTATGACTTGGCCCTTTTCACACATTCGATGCCAAACACTCATATCGATCCTGGACCTGCGGAGTGCCCATTTGGAGGGCACAAGGGCTGGGAGTGGGGGTAGGGCAAGAGATGCAGGCCCCAGTATAGTTTCCATCACCTCCTCCTGGTGTGGCCTCAGGCACGCCAGCCGCCCACTCTGGCCCTCGGTCTCCTCATCTGTGAAATGCACCGGTTGTGCTGAATCAATCCTCTGTCTCTCTCTCTCTCTCTCTCTCTCTCTCTCTGTGTGTGTGTGTGTGTGTGTGTGTGTGTGTGTGTGTTTGTGCTGAATCAATCCTCTTTTTTTCTCTCTCTCTCTCTCTCTTCTTTCTCCCTTTCTCTCTTTCTCCACAGGGTCTCACTCTGTCACCAGGCTGGACTGCAGTGGTGCGATCTCAGCTCACTGCAGCCTCTACCTCCCCAGGCTCACATCTTCCCACCTCAGCCTCCCCAGCAGGACCACAGGCGCGCGCCACGACGCCTGGCTAATTTTATTTTTTCGTAGAGATGGAGTTTCGCCATGGTGCCCAGGCTGGTCTCTAACTGCTGGGCTCAAGCGATCCTGCCGCCTCTGCCTCACTAAGTGCTGGGATTACAAATATGCGCCACCGCGCCCAGCTTGCCGAATCATTTCTAAGCTTCCTTACAGCTCTTTAGGAACAAATGAACACCACATCGTTAACAGACACTGGGATTAAGAAGTGGAATAAAGCCATGTATTTGTTGCCGGGTAGAAAAACGCTGCCGGCCCACTCCACGCAGAGGCCCCGCAGGCGCTGGCAGAAGCCTCGGTGCGCGGCCGGGGGTGCAGCCCGGGTGATGGATGGCCGCGGGGCCGGCGCCTGGCAGGCCTTATTGATGAGGTGCGCGCTGACGGCCGCCGCGGAACCCCAGGCGGCTGGAGGCGAGCGCGGGGCGGCGGGCGGCGCAGACTCGGCGGCGCTCGGGGTCAGCCCCGGCCGGCCGCCCCCGCCTCTGCCCGGCCTGGCGCCCGCTGCGCCGGCCCCGCTTCCTCCCCTCGGCAGCCTCGCTTCCCGCCCCCCGTCCGTCCGCGCCCTCGCGTGGGTCCCGGCGCCTGCTCTCCCTCCCAGCCTCCCGACGGAGCAGCCCCGCACCCCTCACCCCCGCACCCCCGCACGCACCCGCGGTGGAGGTCGGCTGAGGCGCAGAGGCCGCGGGTCCCCAGAAGCCGGTTCCCGCCCCAGCGCGGGGGCCACGCCCTCCCAGGCGGAGCCGCCGCGGCCCGAAGGATCAGATTCAATCTAGATCCGCATGAGCATAGTTTCACGGGAATTACTCACGCTGTGCACGGGAGGAGAAAATTCAGGACACCGGTCAATATTCTATTAGGGTTCATTCGAATTATATAGTGATAGATAAGATAGGTAGAGAAATCAACGTAAATACACCTGCGTATAAAGACGGCGAGGTCTTGCGTGAAATTTTTTGTACGTTTCTAATGTTCTCATGGAGCAAGTGTTCTTTTATAACAGCACACACTGTCATTGCTGTGCTTGAAAAGGTGTGATGGAGCTTAGTTCATTCTCCACCCCTGCGCTCAGTTTCCCCCAGTTCCACCTTCCTCCCTCTGGTTGTTGCCTCGTTTTTCTTCTCTTGCCTTTGGGGAAGTAGGAGTGAGGCTGCTGGGCTGTTACCTGAGGCCATTAGGCTGGAGAACAGGTGGCCCGAGCTCCTGCCTGCCTCACCTGTCACCTTCCCTTTCTACGGAAAGCACCCACGGCCACCTCTGTTGGTGACACTAAGGTGAGGATCATGAACAGATCCCCTGCGAAGCAGTCTCCCTGAATGAGAATTAAAGGAGAAAGTCAACATTGTAAGCAACATGGAGCATTTATGGTCTGAAGTGGTTTTTGATTTTTTTTTTTTCTTCCCTCTTTGAGTTGAGAGCTAGCCCTGGACTGGGAAAGGTCCTAAATTCTTCCTTAGATGTGCCGTAAGTACTGGGAAACAGGTAGTCTTTTGTTTGGGGCGCCATAGAAAGAGGAGGGAGGGACCCCAGGTTGCTGTGGCCTGAGTGTCAGTGTAGAGCGAAGCTTAGGCCTCGAGGATCTGGATCTAGTTGAGGCTGGAGGGAGCTCCTTGGTCTGGGAGTCAGGATTCCCGGATTCTAATCCCACGACTGCCACCAGAGGACTGCCATGCCCACAGGCGAGTCACTTAACTTTCTAAGCCTTAGTTTTCTGTCCATAAAATGAAGAGACTACTAAACTGTCTCCCAGGTTCCTTCCTATCCCAACATTTTGTGACTTTAAGCTCTCGAAATCCAGCCTGGACAACATGGAGAAACCTCATCTTTAATAAGGAATAGAAAAACATAGCGGGTTGTGGTGGCACGTGCCTGTAGTCCCAGTTACCAGGAGGACTGAGGTGGGAAGATCATTTGAACCTGGGAGGTTGAGGCTGCAGTGAGCAGTGATGGCACCACTGCACGCCAGCCTGGGCAACAGAGTGAGGCCTTATCTCTTAGGGTGGGAACACCAGGATCCTAAGTCTGAACTCAATCTTAGCCATTCATAATGAATATGTTCAGTGAGGAACTAAAAATGGGAGGCCCATCTGAATATGCAAAATAAAAGGCTTGGATTGCAGATGAAAACTGGGATCCATTTACTAGGCAAACATTTACTGAGTAACACTGGACATTGCTATATGCCAGGCACAGCGCCAAGTATGCTGCGTGGATTGATTATCCACACAATCATTTATCCACACAGTCACTCTATTTCCTCCATTTTATAGATGAAGAAACCAAGGCACAAACTATTAAGTAACTTGCCCCGCTTATAAGGTGGTGGAGCCAAGACTTAAATTCAAGTAGGTTGACTGCAGAACTCAAAAACTGCTCCTCTGGGCAAGGCATTGGTATTGTGCAGGGTATCTTCTTACATAACCTTTTTTGTTTGAAGAGAGACAGACAGGGTGTTTCTCTTTCACCCAGGTTGGAGTGCAGTAGTGCAATCATAGTTCACTAGAGCCTCCAATTCCTGGGCTCAAGCGATCCTCCCACCTCGGCCTCCGGAGTAGCGAGGAGTACAGGTGCGCACCACCAGATCTGGCTATTTTGTTTGTTTGTTTGTAAAGACGGGGTCTCACTATGTTGACCAGGCTGTTCTGGAATTCCTGGCTGGAGTGACCCTCTCACTGCCCTCTTGCTTAACCTCCAGAAGTGCTGGGATTACAGCCCTGAGCCAGAGCCACCACACCAGGCCAGCTTTTTTTTGTTTTTTTAATTTCCATCCTTATTCCAGAATCAGTCTCTTTCCCCTTCTGTTTCTACAGCCTTTATCACACTGTATTTTAGTTTAACCTGTCTATACATATGCCTCTCTATATACCTCTCTCTCCAAAATTTTAGTCTCCTTGAAGGCAGAAATCTTATATTTGACATCTTTGTATTTTCCAGTTTCTAACATATAGTAGACATTTTTTAAAAAAGTTTGCTGAATTGAATTTTAAAAAGTGGAGTTTCCACTTTGTCCTATTACAGTGTAAATCCCCATGCTTGATGACTGAAGATGTGGTATCAGGGCTGTGGCTGAGACACGGGCGCCATGGTCTCTTCCACTGTGTGCAAACACAGAGGCTCATGTGCGGAAGATGCCACGTGGCACCTCTTCACACCTTCATCCTCCATTGGTGGGTGATTATGGCACCAGGTACCTTTGGCCCGCTTATCAGTCCTGAGACAGCCTCTCTCTGACACTGATGTGGAGCCCTGGTATTGCAAGGGACTTCAAGGATTCTGGTCCAATCCACTCATTTTGCAGAAGAGGCAAGTAGTATCCAGACAGGGCTATAGAGCCACACACCTATTTACCAGCACAGCCAGGACAAGGTTCCCTGGCACCCTGGTTATATTCTGTTATCCATTTCAACATGCTACTATAGGAATTGATACCTCCCCTCTATACATTGACTCCTAAGGCCAAACTTCCCTCGCCCTGATGTAATCAGTAGGGTGAGAGGATCAGAGATAAGGCAGCCCTGGGCTCTCGGGCAGAGCCTAGAAGTCTGGCAGCCTGGTTAGAGCTGCTGCCCACACCCCTTGCAGGGCACTGGAAACAGTGACCCTGGCCCAGCCAAGGGTGGGGGTGGGTGAGGGCTTGAGGATGAGGTAAAGGGAGGTCATAGACATTCAAAGCCGCAGTCATTCCATGCACTACTTAGAGTGGGGATAAACCAAGCCAAAATGGGCACCAGGCACATATTGCACCTCTAGGCTGAATATCTTCCTAATGGTCTTGTGGACTCAGCCTTCAAAATAAACAAAAGAAGGTAGCCAAGTGTGTGTGGGGCATAATGGGTGGGTCCTTGTTCTGATTCTCATTGTTTATTGGGGGTGATCCAATGTCCTGGATGCCTGAAACAGGTCAGGTGCATGCTGCTGTTCTGGGTAATCATCAGTGATATACACATTCACTTATAATTTTGCATAAATTATGTGGTCACTCTATGTATAAGTCATTTGAATTTGCTGAGCCTCAGTTTCCCAATATCCCAAGTAAAGGATTTTGAGTGAATGTCTTCCCATTTCTTTTTACACTGGAAAATGCTTCAGTTTCACAGATGCAGGGCCCAGAAATAAGTGGTTACTGGCCTGAAGAAACAGGCCCCATCCCTGGGGAGGGACAGTGAATTGACCCATGGGAGGTTCCAGAAGTCGTCTTGCAGCTTCTTGTCTGGGCAGCTAAGAGCAAAGTCGCTTATTGGATTTGCCGCTGCTTTGTTATTTATATTGAACTTTGGGTCTCAGGTCCACCACTGGAAGACTGGGAGTGATAAAAATATAAGGTAAACCGACCTTTCTGAATAACACATGAGAATTCATTAGTGCTCACCTCCCAAATAAATCATCTGTTGATTTTATTCATTTTCTGCAGACATTACAAATATTATAACTGCTATTGCCCCCATTGTTCCCTCACCCATCTCTCCACCAGTTTGTGCTTCAGGGGATTTGGGGATTAGGTTCTTAATTGGGGCCATCAATTCTTTGTCTTATTTTCTGCCTATGAATTTTCCTAACACTATTCTCATGAGAAAGATATGTCACTGGGGAGAAGGTTGAGGCAAGGCCACCTCCTCAATGTGTTCCTAGTTGTGGCTCCCCTAGTCACACCAGGCAATCTTTCCATTCCCTCCTGTCCCCATGCACACACTCCCCTGACACCCACTGACTCTGGGCATCATATAACGTCCCCACACAAAGATTTATAGGGTTGAGATTCAAGTGTGTGTGTGTGTGTGTGTGTGTGTGTGCATGCGCGCACGCGCATGCATGCATGTGTGCTTTATTTTGTCACCTCAGTAGGTTTAAAAAGTTCTTGATGGCTGGAATATCCTTTAGTAATTCTATAATCCCCTACAGTGGTCTGCACAGAGTAGGTACACAGTACATACTCAAAAGAATGAATTAATGATTGAATATGTCTGAAGGTCAAATATAGAGCTCTGTATAAGAAATGTGCCTATTTCTGAAATGCAAAAAATGTTCCCAAGTATTATTCTTTTTCATATTTCAGGAGACCTCAGGCATAGACGCATTATAAATGTATAGCTTTGAAAATCAATTTGTTTTTCACTGTTTTGATCTCACGTGTGTGGGGGGCTCTTGAACTGCTATTTGCTTCACTTTATAACTTGCACCTTGGAAAGGCTGGATGATAAATGAGAGATGAATAATTCCTTATTGCTACTTATCTGCTGAATCTATAAACTGGTGTCAGCATTTACTCAGTTGGGTTTAAGCTGTGCCTGGTATACTTATTAACCTGCTTAAAATAAGCCATAAAAATGGGCTTGGTAGAAGGTACTTTTAACTAATTTTTAAAAATGACATTGGTCATTTTCCATGAACTCATGGAGTGACCTTTGGCAAATCACTCAACCTCATTGGGCAACACCTGCCAAATGAAACGGGGGCAGGGCTTGATCAGTTCTAGGAGCCTTGTAGCTGTGTAATTTTTTGATTTTTGGATGAGTAAGGGATCCCAATAAAACCTGTCAGAGCCATTACATATCAGCTCATGTAGACAATCTCCTGTATTCTTGGCTTTTCTCTGGAGGGTGAGGGAGGCAGCACTTGGTAGTTAGAGCAAGGCATTTTGAGTTCAATTCTGTTACTTATTAGTACTGTGACCTTTGGCTTTACAACATCTCTGAATCTCAGTTTTCTCATCTATAAAAAGGGGGAAATGGTCTAATAATACACCAGAGAGTTGCTGTGAGGTTCAAATGTGATGTATGTGATACCACTTTGATAAACCACAACAATTATTCATTGCCCCCAACTCACAGATGAGGGCACAGAGCTCTGTTTGGTTCAGCAGTTTGAAGCAGGGCCAAGAGGAGGATTGCTTGACCTCCCGGATTCTATTTTGATTACAGGTGGAGATTATTACAAAACTGTACAAAGATGGAGCACCTTGGATACTTCTCTGGATAATTCTCTGCGGGGGGAGGGTGGTCTATGGATGCCTAAAAAAAACTGTGCCTGAGGAGCCATTTCTGGGGATGCTAAATGGTACAGCGATAAGAAAAGCAGTCAACAACATACTGACCCACCCATCCCAGAATGCCTAGCTAGCAGAGAATGAAGCGTTTTTCAAAGGCAAGGGAAATCTCTTCCCTCCCAGCTGTGTCCTCCTCACTTCTCACATCTCTTGCTTTGGAAGGCATCCTCTGCACATCAAGAACACAGATGTCTGCTCAGGCTTTGGAGTTAATCCCCTTCCTAGAAAAGGGGCAGATTAAACAACTGTGGTTGAGGATTTTTTTTTTTTTTTTGAAACGGATTCTCACTCTGTCACCCAGGCCGGAGTGCAATGGCGCAATCTCGCTTCACTGCAACCTCCGCCTCCCGGGTTCAAGTGGTTTTCCTGCCTCAGCCTCCTGAGTAGCTGGGATTACAGGCGCGCCCCACCATGCCCAGGTAATTTTTGTATTTTTAGTAGAAACGGGGTTTCATCATGTTGGTCAGGCTGGTCTCGAACTCCTGACCTCGTGATCTGACCGCCTCGGCCTCCCAAAGTGCTGGGATTAGAGGCATGAGCTACTGCGCCCAGCCTGAGGATTTTGTTTGTAGAGAATTAAGTCAACAAGGGTGTCTGGAACTCACCCCTGCAAGAATCATCCTTCAGGAAAGTTCCTACCACTATGCCTGTGCAGTGTAGGGGGCTGGAAAATTACATGAAGATGGCTATGGTGCCTGTCTCGGCCTTGCTTGCCTTGTAGATGAAGAAGGGAAGAGATGAGCTTAGGAGGAGCTGCCTCCAGTCTTCAGAAAATTCTGTGATTTGCAAAAATTCTATTCACACTCCATTATCAACAAACACACCCACCCAACCAACGAAGGCCAACCTCAAAAATTTTTTTTAAATGTAGGACTTAGAGAAAGAAAATACCATTATTAAATGGTATTTTAAGTTTATATTTCATGCTATACTCAGAATGCAATTTATTTGCTATTTATTTGCTAATTAATAAAAGTGAAATTGGTCTTTATCTCGATGTTACTTTTATCTTCTGTTGACTGGGATGTGCTACATTAAGATTAAAAAAAAAAAAACAGACCCAGTACAAGATCTTTTGAAGGTCTCCTAAGTTTATGGTGGGATCTCACTTCTACTTGCTTTTGTGACCACTCTCCCCCAGCTCCATCCCACACCCTTCTTGTAAAGCAGGAGGAAGGCATCTGCTACTTGTTTCTCTACAAGTGCAAACTATTTCAGTTTCAAAACCGGAACCTGACATTTATTAAGAGCTGTCTTGTGATTCATTCAGTCTGCAGTCCTGTCCTCCGCTTTGGCTCTCTTGCCTTCAAACGGCCTTCCTTTCTGAACACCTGGCTTCTTGGCCACCAACAAAGCTCTGACTTTCCTCCCCACCAAGTCTCCTCCTTTTCTCCCTCCCTGAGGTCTGAATAATCAGCTTCTATTTGCAGCATCCCCCATCACTACCCCACACCTGGCCTCACATCCCACCACATCCTCCTGCCAGAAAAGGGAGTCGTGGAAGAGGGAAAAGTTACAAGAACTTAGATGATTGTTTTCAATTTCAGAAACACTCAAGGTTGCAAGTGAAATTCTGAGAAAATTTGGACCTGAAAACATTTTCTAAATGGGGAGGGGAATCTCTTCCTTGTGGAAAAATCACTCCTACCAACTGTGAACATCTCTAGCCTGGAATCAGGAGTCCAGGGCTGTTCTTGGAGTTTTGAGTCCATTGAGTTTTGGGGACCCTAAAACTGAATTCTCTGGAACAAATGATTTGCTACGAAAGCGCACCAGTCATAAACGTCGTAGGAAGCCTGAAGAAGGCTGACATGTCTTGGATCTGGCCAATCTTCCTCACCTCTCTCAAAATATTTGTTTATTCTGCTTTCAAATAAACACGAGTTTGTCATAGTCCATTTGGAAATACAGAAAAGTATAACGGGGACAACCAAATCCATCCTTAGCCACATTAGGCAGAAAGAATTGGAAACATTAGTCTTCTCTCTTCTCTTTCTCGACTGTGGTAGAAGTGTTTCACAATCTACTTTTTCTTTCTTAAGAATCGAGACTTCCCATGTCATTGAATATCTTAAGAAAACATAATTTAATGATCGTGTAATGGATTTAGTATAGTTCATGTAAGTAAACTCTTATTGTTTAGAGTTTAGGTTATTTTCTGTTTTTCACCTCAATTCATAATGTTTGGTGCGTCCTTGTCAAATTATAAACTTTGCTAAGTAAAGCATCTTGTGAATCTCTGATTATTTCCTGAGGGTAAATTTCTATTACCAGAAAAAGTGGGTCAAAGAATATGACCACTTTTTGGGTTTTGAATATCTATTGCCAAATTGCCTTTCGGAAAGGTTAACTCACACAATTTCCACAACCACCAGCAGCAGTCAATTTTGGCTAAGCTAAATAAAAAATATATTTATCAGTGTGTCAGATAAATTTCTACCTCTTAGTAGATGTATTTAATTTCTGAAGAGTTTTGAAGTAATAGGTTAAGAAACAAAACACACAAAGCCAAACAAAAACAAGGAGAACATTAGCATCCAGCTGAACACATGATTATGTCAGGGATTAGGGCAGTCTTTCCGTCCTCTAAGGTTTATAAAGATTTTAAAATATAAGAAACTGAAACACAGAAGCGTTAAGTAATTTGACCAAGAAAACACAGCCAGTGAGTGGAGGAGATGGAATTCAAATCACAACATTCTAATACTGGAGTCTAAACTCTTACACTGACCTAGGGACGATGTACATTTAGGATCTAAACAAATCTAAAAGGTTTCCAGAACATTCTTTGTAATGAGTTTATGGTTCAGAAATTGGCTTTTGTGAACACAGACTATAAGGAGAAATTTTATCTTTGAAAAAGATGTCATTTTCAACTTTTGAGAAGCACATTCCTGCACCTTATTTTTAGACTATGCTAGAAATAGAAGTGAAATAACTTACTCAAGGTCACCCAGCTTGTAGGTGTTTGTGTGGGAACTAGAATCTAGAATCTAGGCTCTGGCAATTCTTTGGCTACTCCCTGTAGTGTTTTCTCTCACCTGGCAGCAAATATCCACCATAACATCAGAGGAAGGTTGGCTTGACTAAGGCCCACAGCGTCTTCAGGTTTCAGGGGCTTTAGTTTCTAGCAGCTCAGGGATCTCCATCACCAGGGCAAGGCTGAAGGGAGCCATGGCACAGCCCAGGTCGTGGCCAGCCAGTTATGGCTGAGGACATGGGTTGCCCTGGGCAGGGGAACTCTTACTTTTGGGGCATAAACCCGGAGACTTGGGAGTCACAGTAGCATTAAGGGCTCAGCAGTCCAAGTTTAGGTGTGGGCAGGCTAAGACCATTTTCTCCCAGGGAAATTCTTTCCCGTTCACAGAGCCAGTTTCAAATGGGAAGCCCACCCGGGAGCTGTAGTTTCCTGAGCTGGCAGAGAGTACAGGTAGGGGCCTGGCCCAGGCATTGTGGGGAGGGATTCCTGCACTGAATGGAAGGCTGGCTAGATAACCTCTGGGGCCCTTCCAACGCCAAACATCTCCGATTTGTGTGTCTTGGGGCAAACAAGTGAGCAGTTGCGGGACTGAAATAGTTGATTTAGGGTCCCGCCCCAGTCTCCGGCTTTAGTCCTCATCTTGGGCAAATAATTTAACCTGTCAGTACAAGGCATAACGCCCAGCGCAGAGGAAAGCTTGGTAAATGTTTGCCGAATGAATGAATGAAAGAATGGGGGGATGGATTTAGTCTACCTAGTCTCAAGGAATACGGTGAAAGTTGGAATCGAACCGCGCCCCTTGATGGGTGAGTTTGAATGAGACAATGTAAAGCTCATTGAACTTCTTAAAAGAAAAAAAACGATACCTCCAACCCAAAAGGATTCTGCTACTTCCTAACAGTCACAATGGGTAGAATTACTATTTACCGGCATCAGCAAGCATAATACGCAGTGGTGAGTTTTGATTTAGCACAAAACTCTCTGATTAATCCCCCTGCCACCTGTGGGGCAGCTCTGCGCCTCCCAGGGCCAGGTGGAGCACGCCAGCCCCGTCCCTCCGTCCTCCCCCGCTCCGGTTAAATGCTGAGGTCTAATGGATTGTTCCTGCTGCTGTCCAGATTAGATAGCGAGCCCCTCCATTATCTCTGCTGGAGCAAACCCCAGTGGCCACCACACCAAGAGCTTTCCAAGGCAATCCGGCGAGAAGGCTGGGAAAACCTAGGGGGTAAGAGACACCAGAGAGCTGTCGAGAAACCCCCGCGCACCGAGGCTGTTTCCACCTCAAGACTCTTCCCAGAACTTTCTCTGAACCCAGTATCTTGTCCCCACACCCATAGCATTTAACAAAGCAGGTCCCCGGTGTGGAAACTAGCTACTACCTACCGAATTCTCCGGAGTAGTTCTAAGAGGGTAACTGTTAGATTCTGTGTCAACCTCTGAGAAGTGAGAAGGACTATTGGACCACACTCCCTCCCCACATCGCCACGGCCAAGAGGTGTTTTTGCACAAACGGGGACTACTACGTCTGACCAGTAGGATAGTAACTTTCCAAATTTTTGTTGTTCTGCAATCACTGCAGAGGAGACATAGCTGACTTTCACATCTTCCTTCTGAATTTCTCATGGTCAAGTTTTTCCCCGTTAAAAATTTTGTTTCTTCAAGGAAAGTTTTGTTAGAATTTTTTTTAAGAGTTAAAGCTTTCTTTAAGTTTCTTGAAGGGAAAAAAACTTCTTACAAGCAAAATCTTGTCTCTGTTTTGTTGGAAATGAAAAGCATCTACTATCTATCAGCACTATTCTATGAAATAAAATTCTCATGTATGATCTAACAACAAATTCTACCTAAAACAAATAATAAGCACTCGAAATCATTATTTATCTACAAAAAAGACGAATTGTTCTATCATTATTATGATAGCACTACTGTGATCTAACAGAAAGCAAATAAAATCTTAGCTAGTGAACAAGGCAAAGTTATCTATTTCTACCATATCAGTTTCCTGTTCAATCTTTAGAGTTAGTGGAAGCTACAAATAAACGATGTAGCAGGAGAAGCCATCCGACACCGTTTTAAAAGATTCTACAGTTAAGAAATTCTGCATCGTTTTTGAGTGAATCAATCTTGTCAGACACCACCTAGTGCTTGGAAAATTATTTAAAATGTGCCATTAGTTAGAGGTAAAAACCTAAGAAATTTATTAAAGGCAAATAAAATAGCTACTGTGCAGTTTAATATCCAGAAATTAAAATAATTCACAGACAAGAAGCCTTTTGATTCATGAAACAAAACATCTTTATCGAGTAACTTCTGTAGACAAACATCAGAATGAATAAAAACGAATTTATTGTGAGGGGCAAGGATCTCAGATTGAGGTGGGAAGAGACCCAGGCAGACGCAGACCACATCTGAAGGCGCATAGTATGCCAGGGAAAAGCTGCAGTCCTTACATCAGCCGGGTCTGCCCACGGCCAAGAACAGCGGGAAAGAAGACAGGCAGGCAAGGAGAAAAGAAGAACGAATGCTGTGGGCAAAGAACAAAGTAAGCGGGGAGAATTTTGATTAAGCAAGAAAAGGAAACTTTGCAACAGAATTAAGGAAAAAGAGAGAAATGAAGAGAGAAAGGGGATGAAAAAAGGCAAGGAGGAGACAAGAAACGTTCACAAGACAATAGTAAACCAATAAATAAAATTGTTAAGAACAGCGAGTGGGGTGGAGGAGGGAGAAATTATATTCAGTATCTAAAGAAACAACAGCAGCCGTTCCCGAGAGGGACCGACCCCATCCACCCCCCCGCGAGCGCCGCACCCCGCGCGGGGACCGGGCCCCGGATTCCGGCGTCTGCGCGGGGATCGTAGCTACGGCCCCCGAGTTGAGCCACGCGTGATCCCGGAAGGGTCTGCCAGGAGTTTTTATGAGACCTAGGGGGACGAGTGCTGGAAATTTGATGGGTTGGGGCGCAGGTCGAGAAGTGGTGAAGACAGTGCTCTTCCCCGGAACCTCAGCGTGCGGAGGCCTGGGAATCCAGTCGCTCCCAGACGAGCTGTAAGTCCCCAAACGTCGAGAAATCTCTGCCTCCAGATCCCGCGCGGGCCAGGGCCTGTGACTAACCCCCGAAGGTTCTGCGAACAGAACGGAGCTGGAGATTCCCTGGGCTCGGTTTTCCGGACCACGAACCCTGCGAGCCTGGGGCGCCACCCATGCCCCTCAATGTCCCTCCAAATCCGGCCAGAGAAGGAAGGCATTAGATCTGTGCTTTGCAGCCTGGGGTATGGGATTCGGGGGTGCGGGGTCTCTCTGCAGGGGGATATTGAGATACCAGCAGCCTAACCTGGGGGACACAGTGACCATTTTGATGAAACACCTACTGTGATCCTTGGCCTCTTTAGGGGTCTCACACAGGGGGTCGCAACTGAGAAGAAATGGGTCAGGGGCTTCGCTATGTGTCTTGCTGCCCAGAGCGTGGGGACCGAGGCGTCGGGGTGAGCAGGGCGAGGGGCGGGTGAGCACCTCGCATCTGGAGAGGGGTGCGCAGAAGCCGGGCTCTCCTCGCCGCCCAGGGTATCCGTGCGCAGCGGCTGGAGGATTCCGGTCTCCCCAAGGGGGGGGTCTCTGACGCAAAGGGCGACCCGAGACACGTTCCCAGCAGCGCCAGGCGTGGCAAGAGGTCACGCCACCGACCGCCGCTCGGACCCGGCTGGGCATGGCCTGGGCTTCCTGGCCCACCAGCGTGCGACCACGAAGGACGTCGGCGCGACACCCGTCCGAGGTGACCTGGCCCATGTGGCGCCAGATTGATCGAAATGCATCCAAAGCAAACCGGCTTCGGCCTTGCCAGGAACGGAGAGGCGATGAGAGGGAGCTCCTCAGCCTCGTGGGCCGAGGGCGGGAAAGTGGCAATGAATCCGAGGGGCCTGGTTAGTTACTTGCAGAGATTCCCCGGCTCCAGGGCCCGTTGTCGCGCCTGTCCGCGGGGATCTTCCGAGCCTCGCGCTGCTGAAGTAGCCCGCTCCACCGGCACCGCCTGGTCTCCCGCCTGCCCACTCAGGCTTTGCACCAAAGATTGAGCCGGGGGTCGGGACATTCCGGACGTTAAGCGGCCCCAGAGCGGCCTAGGTGGGAGCGGCGTCATTTACAGGCGCGCGTTATGTTTTCCCCGCGGGCTGCGCGCTCTGGGTGGGAATCTCTCTTGGGAAGACCTTCTCCGGCGGGAAGTCCTTTAGCAACTGGTCCAAGCCCCCTGGCAGGAGACCCCGGCGATGTGACTTTGAGCTGATTAACTTCTCCCAATCTTTCTTTCTTCTCATCATGCGGGGAGTGGGAGAAACAAAACCCCAGTGCAAAAAGAGTTTGTAAACTATTCGGCGACACACAACAGGGATTAAAATTCATGGCCAGTTAACAATACTGTTACCCTCTTCCTCATTTTCCCCTCTTAGGGACACTTCTCTATCTGTTGCTGGTGTCTCTGAGGCTTCTGCGTTTCCATTATTCGGGGGTCACCATCTCCCTCCCGATCCCAACCTCGCCCCTGTAAAAATGTCACTTTCCGTTCGCTTTTCCAACCTCAGTGCAGGGCTAGGACTGTTCGCCCAGGACCCGGCCCCCTCAGGGCTCGCCGGGATACTTTTAAGGCCGCGGGTGCTTGGCTGCCCTGGGGTCGGGCAGGTGGGGGGCCCAGGCCGCGCGCCCAGCTCCTCTCCCCGGCTGCGCGCCCCGCAAGCGGCCCAGGGCTCGGACCCCAGCAGTCGGGGTTCCTTTTCATTCCGCCGCCAGCCTGAGAGGGCTCCACTCTCCTCTCCTCCCGGCCCTCGGCCCAAGCCTGACGCCGCCTGGTTTATTGACCTTAGATCGGCTTCGGGGCTTTATCAGACTCGGCTGGGGCGTCCCGCGGCGCACGCCCTCCACCTACAGTCGTGCGGCGCGAGCCCCCTTTAAGTTTCTTCTAGAAACGTCCCCTTCCTCCCCCATCCCCGAGTCTGAGAACCTTCAGAAAAATTGCCCGAATTCGCGCGACCGTGGAGATCCGAGGCAGGGCCTTCAGGGCCACTGACATTCTCCTGTGTCGCTCTTTTATCTAGATAATTCAGGCGAAAGTGCCCCCCCCCCCCAATTATTCGGATAATTGCCTCGAATCTCCACTTCGTGTAGTGTTTAGACAATTGGAGATTGATGGCTTGAATTTAACCCTAAAACCTCTCCTCTCCTCTGCTCCAAGCTCTAAAATATCTCTGAACTTTACACACGCAAACTATAATTTTCTGTCCTATAAATCACTTGGCAAATATAACAAGACATTAGAAAGCTATTTGAAATGGATATTTTATTATACTTGAGACTAGACCAGGGAGAAAGAGTAATTTATAAACACTTCCTCAATACTAAGCACACAAAATTGTTTTTAAGGCTCCCCCCTAATCGAACTTGAGAATGCAAAATCACTTTCAGAGACAAATTCTTAGAAGGAAAAGGAAATTTGTGGCAATGATTATGTCACTAAAAATGAACTCTGAAAAAAAATAGTTCATAAAGTGGGACTTTCAAGTATCCTTTACTGTAGACCGATTTATCAAAATGAGACCAGCAGAAACAAAACATTTGCTAGTACTACAAATACTACAACAACTACTGCTACTACTACTTAAAAAGCCAATCCAATTTTGTGATGATAAATCACAGGATTCTAGCCACCTTACATAATACGGCTTTCCCTTAACTCAGATTGGCCCGTCCCTGCTTTTCCCACTAAAACCCTTTCAATTTCCCTTATTTTTGGACAGCGTACAGAAGAGCAGGAATATCAGCCCTGGGAAAACATTAGCAAGGGTAAGCAAGCCAGAGAGTTGGGCAGGGGAAAGATAAGCAATGCAGATGATTGTAAGTTTTGTGACAGCTTTTCAAATCACCCCCTGGAAGCCGGTGGGGCTGCTGGAGATGGAAAGATAGTCAAAGGGAACAATTTTCTGTTCTCTGCTTCACAAAGCTAATATTTGTAATAGGTACACCAGGACTGAGAGGCTTTGCCCTCAATCCTACCCAATTCCAGAAGAGCGCTTGCTGGGTCCTCCTGAGGCTACAGAGTGAACAAATGGTGTTGTCTGCTTTCAACCTGCGAGCATGTGGACTAGGCACAGGAAACTTGGTAGGTTTCAAACTCTCAGAGCCTTGGTTATGACACTGACCCGTGCCTTCTCAAAGCTGCACTCCTTCTCAAAGCTGTCACTCCTATTTATTATTATTATTATTATTATTATTATTATTATTATTATTATTATTTTGACTCAGCCCTTTTCTCAGCTACAAATCAGATTTAAGGCTCATTTGCCCAGACTTTGGCTTTGTAGGAAGTAGAGGTAATTTCGACTTGTATGCAAAAGCGTGTGCAACCAAAAGCATTAGCCACCAAGCTCTGCAACGCACGCAGTGGGCCTGGGGAAGAAAACTACGAGCTCTGTGGTCCACCTGCAAAACCCACCCCCACGCCTCCTTCCCATCTCAGGTCTGGCTCCAGAATAATCGGAAATTAAACCCTATACCAAGCCTGGCTGACCCTTGATCTGCGAATAGGCAAAGAAAAGTATCCGACTCTGAGAGCTCTGAGACCTAGCTACTAACTAATGAAGCCAAGCGATGGGAAACAGCACAGACTTTCTGACCCCAAAAGCAAAGTGGGCTGGGTCTGACATGGGCCAGGTTTGCCTGAAGTTTCCAAGGGCGTTCTTAAGAGGACACCAAGGGCTGCGGGGGACCCCAGGGGATTTGGGTGTTCTGGAGGAAGCAGAGGCCAGATGGTCCTGGGATACCTGGTCAGATCCATTTGATTTCTGGTGTGTATGTATTTATTTAGGTTTTTCCTGAGACACCAGGCACCCCTCTCCATTTCCAGTTGTTGGAGTGGGAAGCTGAATCGGGAAATAGAGAAACTAAAATGCCACCTCAGTGGAAGAAGGAGGGACACAGAAAGAAAGTGGGAAGGAAGCCCGGCGTCTGCGGCCTGGCCTTCACAGAGCCTCATCCTTCCTTCCTGTCCGCAAAGGCCTCAAAGCCTCTCCACAGCCTCCGCCTCGGCCCCACGCTGGGGAAGCCTTCCCCTCCCCTCCCCCACCTCCCTCTCCCCACAGCTGGAGATTGTGGTGAGCAAGGAGACTCCCCAAGCCTTCCATTCCCCCAGCATCCCAGCCTCCCACGGCAGAGGGGTCACCAGGAGGGCCAGGAGGGGACTCACCCGCGGTGGGGAGCGGCGTCCCTGCGGCTGCTCAAGGCCTGGTGTGAGGCAAACTCTGCACAGGGATTCCAGGCTGTTCTCAGCCGGGTGGGAGGGAGACGTTGTGAGCCGTGTCTCCCAGCTCCCTCTGAGCTCCCAGCTTCCTTCTCAGAATTAGATAACAGGAAAAATAGATAAGAGAAGTGGTTCATTAATTCAGCAAGCCTCTTTTTTTTTTTTGGTGTGTGTAAAAGTGGAAGGAAACTCTGCTAGGGAATGAAGTTCTGGCTGGACAGTTTTAAAAAAGTCAGTGTTCACAAGGTTACAGAGATGCTTCTGGAAGGTCACTCAGAAGGACCCAAGGAATCGCCGTTCATGGGGAGAAATGCTCAGTTCACCGTATGTGCTTCCTGCACCCCAAGACTCCTCTCAGACTCTAGTCTTGCCTTTAGATTGAGGTAGGGAGGGCTGCTTTGTGGCATTTGCTTATGTTGTGCGATCGCCCTCTGGGCATGGGATAATAGTAACAGCAGCGCAGCTCCTCCTAGCATGCCAATTACAAATTACAATTTTTTCCAAGTACTGCTATAACAGCATTTCTGAGCTCCTTACAATAGGGTCAAGCAGGCAGATGCTATATTATTAACCTAGATGAGGTAACCGGCTCAGAGAGGTTAGGAATCTGCCTGTGGTCAAGTCACACAGCAAGAAAGAAATGGAGCCGGTACTGAACTTCAAATTAAAGAAATCCATGGCTTCTTAGAATAGGAAGAGACCTCAGAATTCCAAGCTCCTGCTTAAATCAGGAATTCCCTCCAAGGCGATTATCCGTACTCTACTTGAATACTCTTGGTGATGGGGAGCTCATTCTCTGCGTGCCATGGGCGTGCAGCTCTGCTGACCACCACACTTTCCTGCTTCCCAAATGACCCAGCATTGCAGGGCTGGGAACACAGGCACAGGGAGCTGCCGCTGTCATGTGATTTGAGGAACCGGGCAAACAGATCTCCCTTGACAGGTCTGCTGCGGAATTCCCTGCTCTCCTGCCTGGTTTTATTTTGGGAAGTTGTCCCTGTTGGGAGTTGGTATCTCGCAAAGGCAGTTTGGAGGAAAGGAAGAAACACAATACCTTTCTATTTTAACATATTTCCCAGTTCACAGTCTCACGGGATCCTTAGAACTATCTCTGCAAGGTAGGGAGAAACCGAATAAGTTAATATTTTTTTCCAAATGTAGGCCAGGATGCTGAGCTTGGTGGCTCACACCTGTGGTTCCAGCACTCTGGGAGACTAAGGCAGGCAGATCACTTGAGGTCGGGAGTTCGACACCAGACTGGCCAACGTGGCAAAACCCTATCTCTACTAAAAATGCAAAAAATTAGCCGAGTGTGGTGGCGGGTGCCTGTAATCCCATCTACTGAGGAGGCTGAGGCAGGAGAATAGCTTGAACCTGGGAGGCAGAGGTTGCAGTGAGCTGAGATCGAGATCATGCCACTGCACTTCAGCCTGGGTGACAGAGTGAGATCCCATCTCAAAACAAACAAACAAACAAACAACAAAAACAAAAAACAAATGTAGGCCAGGAAACTGAAACAGAAAAGGTAAGTGAACTGCCAGAAATCAAAGAGTAAAGGTAAGGTCATATGGTGGGAACAGAACTAGAGAGGTGAATCAGGCTGGGAAGAGAGAGGAAAAATATGAAGGAAACATGAATATTTTTTCCCTTCCAAGAATTTTTGGTTTTGAATATTTTTGCAAATGATGAATAAAGTGTCCTTTATTGTTATCTGTCTTTATACTCTTCCCCTGCCAAATGACTCGTAGAAACTAGGCTTCAGGAAGATTTTAGTGTAAAGCTCCCTGTGGTGTCAGATCATTAAAATTCCTGACGCATGAGCCCAACAGTACAAGGCACAGATGCAGAGGCCAGGGCCAGGCCTTGTCTTTCCAGGGGCCCTGTCATTTACACCAGGGAGGAGCCTTGTTCACTTGTAGCTTTCCCTTATGGAGTTGTTTTTTTTTGTTTGTTTGTTTGTTTGTTTTTCTAGACAGAGTCTCGCACTCTCGCCCAGGCTGGAGTGCAGCGGCAGGATCTCGGCTCACTGCAAGCTCCGCCTCCCGGATTCATGCCATTCTCCTGCCTCAGCCTCCCAAGTAGGTGGGACCACAGGCGCCCGCCACCACGCCCGGCTAATTTTTTTGTATTGTTAGTAGAGACAGGGTTTCACCGTGTTAGCCAGGATGGTCTCAATCTCCTGACCTTGTAATGCGCCCGCCTCGGCCTCCCAAAGTGCTGGGATTACAGGCATGAGCCACCGCGCCCGGCCTTATGGAGTTATTTTTATTACTTATGATTATTATGGTAAAATACGCATACTACAAAATTTGCCACATGAACCTTTTTAATTTTATTTCATTTTATTTTTTTGAGTCAGAGTTTCGCTCTTCTCACCCAGGCTGGAGTGCAGTGGCCTGATGTCCGCTCACTGCAACCTCTTCTGCCTCCCAGTTTCAAGCAGTTCTCTTGTCTCAGCCTTCCAACACTTTAACCGTGGTTTTTTTTTTTTTTAAACTTGCTCTGTAGCCCAGGCTGGAGTGCAGTGGTGTGATCTTGGCTCACTGCAACCTCTGCCTCCCAAGTCCCGGTTCAAGCAATTCTCCTGCTTCAGCCTCTCCAGTAGCTGGGATTATAGGCACGCACCACTATCTCCAGCTAATTTTTGTATTTTTCTTGTTAGCCAGGATGGTCTCAATCCCCTGACTTAGTGATTCGCCTGCCTCGGCCTCCCAAAGTGCTGGGATTACTGGAGTGAGCCACCGCGCCCGGCCCCACTGTAACCGTTTTTAAGGGTACACGTCCATAGTATTAGGTACATTCACATTGTTGTACAACTACCACCACTTCCATCTCCGGAACATTTTCAGCTTTCCAAACAGAAACCCTGCACCTATTAGCACTAATTCTCCATTCCCCTCTTTCCCATAACCTCTGGTAACCGCCCTCAACTTTCTGTCTCCATGAATGTGACTCCTCTAGGTACCTCCTATAAGTGGAATCATACAGTACGTACTCCTTTGTGGCTGGCTTATTTCACTTGGCATCCTGTCCTCAAGCTTCATCCATGTTGTAGCAGGGGCCAGAATTTCCCTCCTTTTTAAGACCAAGTGATACTCCATTGCACACAAAGACTGTATTTTGTTTATCCATTCATCTGTTGATGGGCATTTGGGTTGTTTTCACCTTTTGGTTACTGTGAATATTTCTGCCATAAACACAGGCGTGCGAATGTCTGTTTTAGTTGCTGCTTTCAATTCTTCTGGGTATATCCTTAGAAGGGGGATTGCCAGCTCACATGGACCTATCTATGTGCAAGTTTTTTGAGGAATTGCCATACCATTTTCTACCTGTTATGGAGTTTTGACCCAAAATTTAGAGAGGAGGTCTCCATCATCCTCTTTATGTAGCAGGTAACTGGGAGCAGCAGCATCCACTTATCCCAGTTTGGGTCATATTCACGGGCAGATTGCCCTGCCTGCTGCAAAGTTCTGTGAGAGAGTGATGTGCAGTAAGGAAGAAGGTGAAACATGAAGTTCTCTTGAGAATTGCACTGGAGCAGAGAGAACACTCACTTCTTTATTAAAAAATTAGGAAGCATAACTTCCAGCGTTGTGGTACAGTAACAAGAGCACCTGTGTTTGACCTTCACCTCTGACATCCCACTGCCTCCCTCCTCCACATGTGCCTACAAGAATCTGGGGACCTCATGGCATTATTATTGAGGCCAGCAATGTCCAGGAAAAGTATTCAAGTCCTAGAGAACACACTTTTGTGTTCCAAAATTGAAAAAATAAAAGGAATCATGGGAGTGTTAGAGAACCGTCAGGTATTTTTATTTCTCCCTACTTTTCTGAATTGTTTCTTGTGAGGTGAAAGGAAGCCCATTTTTGTCCCCCATGGTTTCAGATTTTCCAGGGGTTTTATATATTTTGGGGAACCTAAAACTCCACTGTTCTGAGGCCTAGCTCAGGGCGTTATGCCAGCCCAGGGCAGCATGAGTCTTTCCCTGGGAAAAATTCTAATGAAGCCCAGTGGCCACTACTGCCCGGGATGGTGGAGAATGGGGCCAGGACACAGGACCCAGGGAACCCAGGCGTCATGAGCGAAGCCACCTGCTGTGACTCCTGAGTGTCCTTGTCCTGGGCAGAGGCTGGTGTGCCTCTGTGCTCCCACGTTTGTCCTGTTGAGTCAGGGGGGCCACCAGAGATGATGAGGATGATGTGACTGCTGATAACACCAGCCCAAACTCCAAAAATCACTTGGAATCCAGACCAGGGAGAGGGCCAGAGAGAGACTTTCTGGGGAGCACCTCGGCCTTGAGGCCTGCTGTCCCTGTTCTTTAAACTGAGTGTTTACACACACACACATACATGCGGGCATGCACGTGCACAAAATTTTTATTAGTTTTTCTTATCAAGGTGTTACATATTTATTGCTGAACTTAAAACTACTGTATTTTATTTTTTATTTTTAGAGAAAGTCTCTCTCTGTTGCCCAGGCTGGAGTGCAGTGGCATGATCATAGCTCACTGAAGCCTTGAACCCCTGGCCTCAAGCAGTCGTCCCCCTCGGCCTCCCAAACTCCTGGGATTATAGGCATGAGCCATTGCGTCCTGCCCAAAAGTACTGCAGAAGGTAGAGAACAACAGTCTTCTGACCATCTGCCATTTCCCCGTCCGCAGCCAACTCTTCTATTCCGACTTCGCATCTGAGGACTGTCCTTTTCCTGAGGTGTTTGACATTAAGCATGTGATTACGAGACAGTCTCCAGAAATTACATTTCTTTCTCTAGTGTAGCAAATGAATGAACATCTTTAATCCTCAGTTTTCAAATCTGTAAAGTGAGTGCAATAATAATACTTATCTCATAGGGTCCTTGCCAAGGTTAAAATGAGATAACCATATGAGAATCACTTAGTGTGATGCCTGGTGCTGAAAACAACTAGCTATTACTACCACTGCTAATATTATTAGTAGCTGTGGGCAAAAGGATTCTTGCATTCAGCCTGGTGACGCTGCTCTAGCCACCTAGACTGACTTGTGTTTAAGGCAGAAAACCAAAACCTGTGGACAGCTGCCTGCTGAGTGTTCACGAGCTGTGGCTGCTCCAGGCCCAGGAGCTGAGGGCTATGCAGTGCTCAGTAGGCAGCTTCTCCCATCGTGGCGACAGAACTGCTGGAAAGAGTGTCCCCTTGGGACTAGGAAGCCCTAAGTGATGAACTGCCGGTGAGTGGCACTTTATTTGCACCTGAGTCTCCAGAAGAGCTAAGGGACCCTGGAGTTACCTGAAGTCCCCACAGCATGGGCAGAAGTGAGAATAATTTGAAACCAAGTGGACTGATGGACCAGGCTCCGACTGAACCTCTACATTTCCTTCCTGCAATGAGTGATGCTCCCTGTTCCAGCCTGTTAGGCTTCCACTGTTACAAAATGAGATAGAATTCACATAGCATCAATTTACCCTTCAAAAATGTATGAGTCAGTGGTTTTTAGTATCGCACAAGGTTATGCAACCATCTGTTATGCAATGGTTATGCAATACTGATGTATTGAAATCTTAACATTTTCATCCCCCAAGTCTGCAATTTGATTGGATTCAGTAAATGTTTACTGGAAGTTTCTTGTGTAAAATCCCACGTATTGTAGTTAGTGTGCTCCTTGGAGTTTGGCTGGCCCAGCTCCATGCTGGCTCACTTTTTTTGGTCCACGTCTGCAACTGAGCCACACTCCCTCCCTCTGGCTTGACACATTAACATTGAACTGGGACATTGGTGAACTGGGACTGTCTTGATCAATGACCACCATTTCTTGGGCTCTCCCAGTAGCAGGCACTGTGCTAAGCCCTCTGTGTGCATTCTCTCTTATTATCTAATTTTACAAGAAAGCCTAGAACTGAGGTCTTCTGGCTTCCACTCTCATATTCTTGTGGCTGGGCACAGTGACTCAAGCCTGTAATCCCAGCACTTTGGGAGGCCAGAGTAGAAGGATCACTTGAGCCCAGGACTTCAAGACCAGCCTGGGCAACATAGTGAGATCCTGTGTCTACAAAAAATAAAAAAATTAGCTGGGCATGATGGCACACACCTATAGTCCTAGCTACTCAGAAGGCTGAGGCAGGAGGATCACTTGAGCCCAAGAGTTTGAGGTTACAGTGACCTATGATCACACCATTGCACTCCATCCTGGGTGGCAGAGCAAGACCTTATCTCAAAAAAAAAATTATTTCATTCTTGCTGTGCCAGGCTGACTCTGACCTACTCATTAGACCCGCCCTCAAGCTCACACTCCTAGCTAAGTAATACCAACAATAATTTGTGTAGCAGTTTGCAGTTTACAAAGCATTCTCTTCTGTTGCTTCATTTGATTCTCCCATCCACCTTGTGTGTATGAGGGGAGAATGTTTTCATACTTTGCCTCCTTTGACCCTGCTCCTTGGAGTCTCTCTGCACCAGGTTCATCTGATCCCAGACCCTCCAGTCACTTGGGAGTCCAGCTCAACATTTGATTATTCAGCCTTTAACATCCTAGTCAGATCAATGTCTTTTCATAGGTTGAGTGTGTGCATATTTGCAATCTCCCATCTCTGGTGTTTATGTATTAATTATGTATTTGGATTCATCTTGTTGCTCTTCTTGGGACATAAGGACATAAGGTCTACAGGACCAAGGGCCATCTGGTAATTTCATTTTTAAGGGCCAAGAGGGTTTTTTGGGGGGCTGGTCCGATCATATGGCTTCTCTCATCCCTTCTTCAAGGGACAGATCCTCTTTCCTATGCGACATCCACTCCCTGAGGCTGAGGTGCAACAGATGTCCCAAGTTTGGCCAATTTGAAGATCCACTAAGAATTTTCCTGGGACTTTTTAGCCAGGGCTAATAATGAAAAAGCTATCTGTCCAAAAATAATTCTAAAATTTGTATAGAACAACAATAACAACAAAAAACCCTGAATAACCAATGCAATCTTAAGCAAAAAGAACAAAGGTAAAGGCATCACACTACTTGTCTTCCAAATACACTACAAAGCTATAGTAACCAAAACAGCATGATACTGGTATAAAAACAGACACATAGACCGATGGAACAGAATAGAAAGCCCAGAAATGAATTCACACATCTGCAGCCAACTGATTTTTGACAAAGAGACCAAACACATGGGGAAAAGGATATTTTCTTCAATAAGTGGTGCTGGAAAAATTGGATAGCTACATGAAGAAGAATGACACTAGACCTCTATCTCTTACCAAATACAAAAATCAACTCAAAATGGATTACAGACTTGAAGATTAGGCTCAAAACTATGAAACTACTAGAATAAGTCGTAGGGAAAATGTTTCATGATGTTGGTCTGGGCAAGGATTTTTTGGATAAGATCTCAAAATCACAGGCAACAAAAGCAAAAAATAGACACATGGAATTACATCAAACTAAGAAGAGTCTGCACAGCAAAGGTAACAATCAACAAAGTGAAGAGACAACCCACAGAATGGGAGAAGATATTTGCAAACTCTATATCTAACAAAGGGTTAATATCCAGACTACGTCAGGAATTCAAATAATTCAATACCAAAAAAAAATTTGATTTAAAAGTGAGCAAAATAACTGAATAGATGGAATAAATATTTCTCAAAAGAAGGCATACAAATAGCAAACAGGTATGTGAAAAAATGCTCAACATCAGTAATCATCAGGGAAATGCAACTCAAAATGACAATGAGATATCACTTCACTCCATTTAGAACGGCTATGGTCAGACAGACAAAAGATAGCAAGTGTTGGCAAGGATGTGGAGAAAGGGAAACCCTTATACACTGTTGATGGAAATGTAAATTTAGTATAGCCACTGAGAAAACAGTACAGAGGTTTCAAAAAAAATTTAAAACTAGAATTACCTATGTAATCCGGTAATCTCACTACTGAGTAGTGGGAAAGAAAAGGAAATCAGTATGTAGAAATGACATCTGCACTCCCATGTATATAGCCACACTCTTCACAATAGTGAAGACATGGATTCAACCCAAGTGTCCATTAACAGATGAATAAAGAAAATGTGGCACATATACACAATGGAAGACTATTCAGCCATAAAAAGAAGGAAATTCTCTCCTTTGATGAAAGGATTTACAACAGAAGATGTAAATCCTTTGATAAAAAGACATCCTCCTCATGTCTTTTGCCCATTGTCTGGGTAATTAGGTTTTACTATTGTTATTATAATTATTATTTTACTATTGAGCTTTGAGGGTTCTTTATATATTCTAGATGTGAATCCTTGGTTTGCAAGTATTTTCTCCCCATCTGTAACTTATCTTTTCAGTTACTTAAAAGGGTCTTTCACAAAGCAGACATTTTCAGTTTGAAGAAGTTCAATTTTTTAATGAATTGTACTTTTATTGTCATGTCTAAGCAGTTTTCATCAAACCTTAGGTTATGAAGATTTTCTCCTATGTTTTCTTCTAAAAGTTTTATACTTATACATTTTACATTCAAATCTATGCTCCACTTTGAGTTATTTTTGTATAAAGTATGAGTTGAGTTCAAAGTTTGTTTGTTTATTTAGTTTCAAGATATCCAGTTGTTCCAGCATCATTTGTTGAAAGGACTATCTATTCTCCATTGAATTTCTTTTGCACCTTTGTCAAAAATCAGTCGGCCATACTTGTGTGGGTCTATTTCTGGGTTCTCTACTCTGTTCTACTGATGTAGTGCCTATTTCTCTATCAATGCTACATAGTCTTGATTACTATAGCTATAAAATCCCACTTTGTCCTTCTTTTCCAAAATTGTTTCAGCTCTTCTAGTTGGGTGGGTTTTTTAATGCTTTCTACATAATTTTTTCACCTTTTTACATAAATTTTAGAATAACCTTGTCTCTATATGAAAATCTTGCTGAGATTTTTCACAGGAATTGCATTAAAACTATATATGAACTTTGAAAGAACTGACATATTTACTATGTTGAATCTTCCAATCCATGAACGTGGTATGTCTCTCCATTTATTTAAATCTTAATTTCTTTCACCAGTGTTTTGTAACATTCAGTATACAAGTCCTATACATGTTTTGTTGGATTTACACTTAAGAATCTAATTATTTGAGCAATTGCAACTAATATTATATGGTTAATTTCATTTTCCACATGTTCATTGCTAGTATATAGAATTATAGTTTGTTTTTGTATGTTGATTTTGTTTTCTGCAGCCTTGCTGAACTCATTTGTTAGTTCCAGGAGGTTTTTTTTTTCTTTTCTGGTATATTTCTTGGAGGTTTTCTATGTAGATGATCACTTTATCTCCGAACAGACATACTTTAATTTCTTCCCTTCTGACCTGTATTCATTGTATTTTTATTTTTGTTACTATCTTTTAAAAAGACAGGGTCTTGCTGTGTTGCCCAGGCTGGAGGTCAGTGGCTATTCACAGGTGCAGTTATGGTGTACTACAGCCTGAGCTCCTGGGCTCAAGTGATCCTGTTGCCTCAGCCTCCCTAGTAGATTGGACTACTACTGGTACATACTACTGCACCCAGCCCTTTTATTATTATTTTCTTTACTTGCCTTATTTTCTGGCTAAAACTTCCATTACTATGCTGAATAGAAGTAGTGAGAGTGGAAATTCTTGTCTTATTCTCAGCCTTTGTGGAAAGGCTTTAGTCTTTTACCATTAATTATGTTAGCTGTTGGTCTTTTGTAAGTGCTCTTTATCAAGTTGAGGAAGTTCCCTTTATTCCTAATTTTCAGAGTTTTTATCATGAATGGGTATCAAATTTCATCGAAAGCTTTTTTCTGTACCAATTGGTATGATCATATGATTTGTTTTCCTTAGCATGTTAAACTGGTGGATTGCATTGATTTTAAATTAGTGAGTCAGTTATGCATCTCTGAAATAAATCTCACTAGTCATGATGTGTAATTCTTGCATGTTGCTGCATTCTATTTGCTGATATTTTGTTAAGGATTTGCATCTATGTCAATGAGGGATATTGGGCTGTAGTGTTTTCTTTGTATGTTAGTCTGGTTTTAGTGTTACTGTAATACTGGCCTTACAAAATGCATTGGAAAATGTTTTTTTTTTCTTGGAAAAAATGTGTTGAATTGGTGTGTTTTCTGAGTTTTAATTACTGTTTCAATTTTAAAAAGAGTTATAGGGCTATTCAAATGGCTGATTTCATATTAAGTAAGTGGTTGTACTTTATACTTTTTGAAGAATTGGTATTTTTAGTAGAGATGAGATTTCATTCACCATGTTGGTCAGGCTGGTCTCGAACTCCTGACCTCAGATCCACCTGCCTCGGCCTCCCAAAGTGCTGGAATTATAGGCATGAGCTACCACGCCCAGTCTTTTCAGCTTTTTGTTTTATTGTTTTTTTTCTGTTATTTTTCTATTTTCTATTTCATTGATATCCGCTCCTGTCTTTATTACTTCCTTCCTTTTATTTGCTTTGGACTTATTTTGCTCTTATTTTTCCAGTTTCTTGAGGCGAGAGCTTAGATAGCTGATTTGAAACTTTTCCTCTTTTTTTTTTTTTTTTTTTTTTTTTTTAATTGAGACAGGGTCTCACTCTGTCACCCAGGCTGGAGTGCAGTGGTGTGTGATCACAGCTTACTGCAGCCTCAACTTCCCTGGCTCAAGTGATCCTCGCACCTCAACCTCCCTTCCTGAGTAGCTGGGACTACAGATGTGTGCCACCATGCCTGGCTAATTCTTTAAAATTTTTGTAGAGACAGAGTCACACTGTTTTGCCCAGGTTGGTCTCAAACTTCTGGTTTCAGGTTATCCTCCTGCCTTGGCCTCCCAAAATGATGGGATTATAGGCACGAGCTGCTCCACCCAGCCTGATATTTTTAGGATAAATGAAGGATAAAACTGGTATAAATTTGGAGTCATTTTAATGAAATTATTATTCTTAATATTGATGTAACTATTCTAAATGAATAAAATATTAGCAAGCTGAATCCAGCAGTATATTAAAAGAAAATATCAATGTTCAATAGGGTTTTCCCTTAGGGAGCCAGGTCATTAATATTAGGAAACAGACAGGCACTGTGGCTTATGCCTGTAATCCCAGCTACTTGGGAGGCTGAGGCAGGAGGACTTCTTGAGCCCAGGAGTTCAAGGCTGCAGTGAGCTATGATTGTACCAGTGCACTCTAGCCTGGGTGATAGAGTAAGACTCTCATCTCTAAAAAAATAAAACAAAATATTAGGAAACAATAAAATTTATTACAGTATTCAGTCAAAGGAAGAAAAACTATACAACTATACCAATAGGAGTGAAAAGGCATTTAACCAAATGTAGCATCCTTTCTTGATTAAAACAAATAAAACTCTCACTAAAAAATTAGAACAGAAGGATATTCCCATAATATAATAAAAATATCTGACTCAAACACAATAAAGAAATGGGACCTTATTAAACTAAAAGCTTCTGTACAGCAAAAGAAATAATCATCAGAGTAAACAGACAACTCACAGAGTGGGAGAAAATATTTGCAAACTATTCATTTGACAAAGGACTAATTTCCAGACTCTACAAGGAATTCAAACAAATCAGCAAGAAAGAAACAAATAATCCCATCAAAAAGTGGGCAAATGACATGAGTAGACATTCTCAAAAGAAGGTATACAAATGGCCAACCAACATATGAAAAAATGCTCAACATCACTAATTATCAGGGAAATGCAAATTAAAACCACAATGAGATACAACCTTACCCCTGCAAGAATGGCCACTATTTAACAAATTAAAAAACAATAGGTGCTGGCTGCATGTGGTGAAAAGGGACCATTATACACTGCTGGTGAAAATGTAAATGAGTACAACCTCTATGGAAAACAGTGTGGAGATTTCTCAAAGAAGTAAAAGTAGATCTATCATTTGATCCAGTAATCTCACTACCAGGTAACTACCCAAAGGAAAAGAAGTAATATCAAAAAGACACCCACATGCATATGTTTATTACAATGCAATTCTCAATTGCAAAGATGTAGAACCAATCTAAGTGCCCACTGACTAATGAGTAGCGAAAGCAAATATATATGTCATGGAATACTACTCACCCATAAAAAAGGAAATGATATCTTTTGCAGCAACTTGACTGGAGCTGGAGGCCATTATTCTAAGTGAAATAACTCAAGGATGGAAAACCAAACACGGTATGTTCTCACTTATAAGTGAGAGCTAAGCTACGGGTATGCAAGGGCAGACAGAGTGGTATAATGGACTTTAGAGACTCAGAAGAAAGAGGGAGGTAGGGAGGGAGGTGAGGGATAAAAAATTACTTATTGGGTACAATGTATACTACTTGGGTGACAGGTGCATAAAGATCTGACTTTGCCACTGTACAATTCATCCATGTAACCAAAAAACCACTTGTACTCAAAAAGCTATTGAAATAAAAAAAGTTTGAAATCTGACTCAAGCCAACCACTAGCATTATTTAATTGTGAAAAACCAGAAGAGATGTTCTCATGCTTGTTAGGAACAAAAGCAAGATGCCCAACATCAGTATTCCGGAAATGCTAGCCAATGCAATAATATAAGAAAAATAAGAGACAGAAGAATTGGAAGGGAAGAAGCAAAATCATTTTTACCTACACACTGCAGAAGTCTAAGCTGTAGTCCCTGCCTCAAACCCACCTTTCTGCCTTTCTGTTTTCTGTCTTGTGCTTGTGGGGTTGAGATTCTATAAGCCACCATTCTGTCTTTCTGGCTGGCTCTGTATCAGGTTCTGCCCACAGACAACAATGAAGGGAGACTACAAGGCTTGTGGAGGTGAAGGAAATACACCTTTCGTTTGCTTCCTAGTCATAAATGCTTTTCTCTAGCCTCTCTATCATGGCAGCAACAGTTCATTCTTGTAGCAGCAGCTGAATCCAGTTTTCAGTTTTGTCTTTTTTTTTTTTTTTTGAGATGGAATCTCACTCTGTAGCCCAGGCTAGAGTGCAGTGGTACGATACTTGCTCACTGTAACCTCCGCCTCCTAGCTTCAACTGATTTTCCTGCCTCAGCCTCCTGAGTAGCTGAGATTACAGGCATGTGCCACCACGCCCAGCTAATTTTTGCATTTTTGGTAAAGATGGGGTTTCACCATGTTGGCCAGGCTGGTCTGGAGCTCCTGAGCTCAAGTGTTCCCTCCATCTCCACCTCCCAAAGTGCTAGAATTACAGGTATGAGCCACCACGCCCAGCCCAGTTTTTCTTATTCTTGCAGAAACAAACTCTTCAAGATGCTGTCAGAGATGCCAGTACTGTCTGTCACTCACCCCCTCCTCAGACATATGTTTCCAGCCCCATGGGCCTCTCCTCCAAGTGTCTAAATGTTAATAATTTCAACCTTTTTCTTCTGATTGCCCAACTTTACAAGTAATATCTGCCTCTGCAGTCTCTACCTTCATCATACGTTAGGATTATCTTTCTGCTTTAGTGGTTTTTCCATGCCTAGTTAACAATTCCTTTTATTATATTATCTGTTAAAAATACTGATATAGTTTCTGTCTCCTCACTGGTCCCTGGCTGGTACCCCAGCTCATAAGATAGTTTTATACGGTAGCTGGTTATAAAAGAAGTTTCTGAAGAAATTAACTTTCATACCAACACTAACTAGTTAAGAAACATAATTGGGTGTTTATCTGAAATTCACTTGTGACTGGGTATCCTGCATTTTTATCTGCTAAAGCTAGAAACCCTCAATATGGAGAGCCTGCTCCAAGTGTTTTGGGATCAAGGGATGGGATAAGTGTTGATGGGGATGCTGTGTCAATGGTGGGATCCTACACAGGGCTACTGGCATTATGATAGCGTCCTGTTCCAAAGCTTGGATTAGCACACTAGGACAACCCAGGGTTGAAGATAAGTGAATGCTTTACAAAGATGGTGTCTGAAGGGTGGTGAATTTCCCAGGAATATTATCCACACACATTACAATATATTGGACATAATGTCAGCTCTACCTACTCTCTCCAGAATTCTTGTCTTATTATTCGTTTTTGTCAAGTCACTCAAATACACCAATTCGCTGCTGTCTCAGAGCCACCTCCCATTAAACTGACCTCTGACTACAATGGTACTAGTTGAGTCCATGAGGCCAATAAACCTGGGGGCCTTGTGGGCTGGGGGGGAAGGAGCCAGGCCACCCGGAGCTGGCCTGAATCAGTCTTTCTGGGAGTAAAGTCTCTCCTGAGGGAGGTGAATGAACTCTGTTCTCACCCAGCTCACAAGCCACGTTTTCCTGGTGGCGCTAACAGTGCATTCGCCTCCCTTGAATGGCTTGGGTCACAGAACGGTTTGTTCTTGTTTGTTGAATAATAGTACCAGGGAACTACCACCACCACCACCACCATCCCCTTTACATACAAAACACAGAAATTCAAACATTTAGGTTCAAATTTGTATCCAAGAAAGGTCTGGAAAGACCCTGCAAATGTAAAAATAGTTACTCTGGGAGAATGAGATTAGGGGGTTGGGTAGTGGGAGTAAGGCAGTGCTTTTCTTTCTTTCTTTCTTTCTTTTAAAACATTTTATTCACTGCTGCATTGCTTGAAAACAAAAGCTTTACAAACAGAATGTAATGTTAATAATTTGTAACAGACCAGTAACAAAGCAATAACAATAGAAACAAAATTTGAAAATAAAACCCACTTCCAAACACAACTATTTTCATGTTTTGAAATACTGTTTCCCCCCCCACACACAATTATTGCAGTTCATAGGATGTGAGCAATTTTTTTTTTATTCTGCTATGTTCCTTAACATTTTACTACAATTTTTCTTTGCATTGCTAAAAATTCTTTCTGAGCACACCCGTTTCAGGGCTAGAAGGGTAGCTTTGAGGACAGCTTGTAGCAAAACTTGTCTTTCCTGAGCCCTGCCTTACCCAGCTAAGGAAGGTGGAGGTGGGGAAGGGGTTAGTTTATCTTGGGCAAGTTCCTTCTTTTCTCTGGGCCTCAATTTTGGTGTTTGTTTTTTTTTTTTTTTTTTTCCATCTGGAAAAAGAGGCACTGGAAGCAGGTTCTCCCAGGGTCTCTTCGAGTTCTCATCTGTTACCCTCACCAAGCACATCATAAATAAGGATCATTTGGACATAATTCTTTGTAAATCTTTATTTAATCCACCAGCCTTCCTGTTCCAAGATCACTTGGCGCAATGCAGTTCATTTATCCTCATGATAAATACCTGGCAGTGGACAGAATTTTCCCTTTCATAGATGGAGAAACTGAGTCCAGAGGTGTGGGATGGAGGTGTGGGATGATTTACCACCGTTTCGGCCTCTTATCAGGGCAGCCCTGGGGTTCGGCTGCCCGTGCTATGGGTGATGCATAGCAGACGGGGTCTCCGTGGTGTGGACATCACGGCGGCTTACGTATGACTATTGCACAGATCCATCATGTGCCTGCGGCCTCCCTTTTTTTCCTCTTTGGACTTCAAGTCACTATTTCTCTGTGACATTTCTTTGGGATCTATTCGTGAATAAACCTTTGGAGCCAACACACACACACACACACACACACACACACACACGCACACACGACAATTTGGTCACACCTAAGAGGCAGATAAAGCTGGAGCGAGCCTGCAAAAGGAGCTGCAGATAAAAAGTCCAGTATCGGGGCAGGTAACACCCAATTACAACTGAGCAGTATTGACTTACACTTTTCCTTATCGGGGGAATCAGGTATTTGTGTAGATTTGTGTAAATCAGAGAAGGATTTGATGGATACCAGTGCATTGGAGTCTCTAGCCAACGGACAGGTTTGGTTAAACAAAATATATATTCTCCTTATCTGCAGTGGCGACTATCACTGCAACTCCCCGTCTCCCCTCTACTCCTCCGAGCTCTATAAAAACGAGGGCCTTATCTAGCATTTGTAATAGGCTCATGTCTAGCAGGGTCTGTGCTAAAATCACTCTGACAATGCCACAGCTCAGGCCCAGCGCAAGCCATTTTGGCAGACAGATGATTTTCCCTTATCTCCAATTGTCTTGGCAATAAATGTCTTTTTCTTAAGATGCTTGTTTAGACTACCCAGGAGAAAAGAACAGGTACCGTCTCTCTCGATGGAAGAAGCCTTTAAGACGCGGAGTCTCACAAACTGATGCACTTGTTCCATGCAGTTTGAGGGCCGTGGTGCAGAGAGAGCACAGACTCCAAGAGGCTGTTGTTCCTGCATCAGGTCGGCTGCAAACGCCTACAGAAAAAAATAATGCCAGTGACAATTGTGTGACACGCGGAGCTTTGGGTAAGGCAGGAAGTCTTCACTTGGATAATAAAGAAATAAGGATGGAGAAGAAAGCAGAAAGGTGATGAAGGTCAAAGGAGGGAAAGTAGTTTACATGAGACATGAGGAAGTTGCTGATATTTGGGGGTCACTTGTTGAAAAATCTGTGAGATGGTTGGTGTCAGGCTGAAAGTCATGAGGGGATGCAGTGTGGTGGAGTGAGAGGCCTGTGCCAGGCTCTGCCCCTAACCCGCTGAGAGACCGTGATCAAGCCCCTCCAACTCCCAGGCTTCAGAGCTGGTCTTCCATGAGTGTGGTCCACCCCGCGTGGTCCCGGAGGTGCATAAAGGCAGCGACATACTCCTTCTCTGCTACTGCTGGAGCAGTGCCTCCCTGGGACCCACCCTGGGCGACCACAAGGTGCTAGTCGGCCTCGAATTTGCCTTTTCTCTCACTCCTAGGTGCTCTCGGTTGAATAACAAGATGGTCAGAGTGAAAATCCTGGGAGTGGCCTTTCAGTCACCCAGTGGAACATCCTGTGTGAACTGGCATGTCACCTCTATCCACCCAGAGGAGTGTCTAATCTTATGCTTCCACCCCAAGCCCCGCAATGAAATGGATGCCTCATTCTCCCTGGGTAACTTCTTCAGAACTGCATGGGCCTGTCCGCCTCTTCCCACCAACTATGTAGTCTAAACTCCCCTTTCTTAGTTTGATTTGCATTTCCCTAACGATTAGTGATGTCGAGCATCTTTTCACGAGTGCTGGCCATCTGTATATCTTCCTTGGAGAAATGTCTGTTCAAGTCCTTTGCCCATTTTAAAAAATTGGTTGTTTTTTTTTTTGTGGTTGAGTTGTTGGACTTCTTTATATATTATGAATATTGACCCCTTATATGTTATATGGTTTGCAAATCTTTTCTCCCATTTCATAAGGTACATGTTTCACTCAGAGAGATGGTGAGGTGGATTCACATGGGTCTTTTGGAGAAGACCAAGTTTGCTGGGGTGGGGACCACAGGTCTGGAAGGCTCCTCAGGGAACCAAGGAGCAGGCTGACCCTGTCACTTCCCCAAAGGTGCCCTGGGGAGAAAGTCCACCGTGCTTTCCACTGGGCAGCAGCAGGGGCAGGCGGCCTATGGTGCCAGCTGGTGCTTCTGGGGAGATGAGGAAGGTGCTTCTGGGAAGTGGGAAAGGACTCTTAGTTTCATTCTCTTTCACTTACAAAGAAGGTGAGAGGTTCTCCTTAGAGGGGAATTCTCAGGAAAGGAGGAAAAGGGTTTTGGTGGAGGGAGAAGGACTTCACCAGTCTGGGATCACAGAGAAGGAAAACAGAGAGGTGCAGGGGATGGTAGCATTCTGGGGATCTAGGGCAGCTCTGCACAGGGACAAGTCACGAAGAGGCTGGGAGTCAGAGGGTGGAGATGGATGAGTGGGGGTTGTAGAGGGCCCTGAAGATGACTTCCCTCAGGTGGCTGCCCTCTGGAAGCAGGCAGGACAGGGCTCGGAGCCCTGTGAGATTGGCAAGACATCTTGGATGCCACTTCTTATGTGGGTGAAAGGTGATATTTCCACTTCTGAACTTGGAAGGTAGGGTCCTGCCCAACCTCTCTCTTGAAAAGGGAGTGCCAACGGCCACTTGGTTATTTATTTCTTTCGAATCCTGTCATTTTATTGGGCTGTAAATGAGGATGGCAGGGAATTAATTAAGAAGGTGGAGTCCAGGCGAATAGCAGAGTCCTTGCCCATGTGGCACTTGCAGTCTAAAGGTGCAGCCAGGACAGTCCGGGGCTGTGGGAGGGACCGTGGCTCTACCCTCAAGGAATGACCAAGAGAGAGATCTTCTCCGACAGCCACCAGGGGACAGGCAGCAGAGTGACGCAGGTGGCCACAGGTCACTGGAGCAGCCAGAGTGAAGCAGGGGAGGGAGGACCCAGATTCCGTCTCCTTTGTTTAGGAGATGTGGGAGTGGCCGTGGTTGAGTGGCTGGAGCAAGTGGGCAGAAGCCTCTGTTTTCTCATCTGGAGAATGGTAGCTGTAGGACATCATTCTCTCCATAATCCCTATAACACAAGTCCTCTGTCTTCCTGTCTTTCGGCATGTGGCTCCACCCCCTGGCTCGATAATCCTCAGGGGGACTTGGTGGGATGCAATCGGATGTGTCCCGGTCTCCAGGGCTTATGCTCCCATCAGTGGATCCAGATTTTCTCTGCGTTTCTCATAAATCCCCTCTTATCCCTCACCTACCCATGCCATGAGGTGCCTCTGCAGCCCATATGGCTGCCACCCTCTTCTGCTCTTTTTTGCCGATGCCATTCCTCTTCCTTTACACCCCGAAGCATCAGGGACATCCCAGCTTTGTGTGAGGCCGGCTTTACTAAGGTCTACGGAGGTAACAGAGAGGGAAGCTCACCTCTCAGGACCACACAGCACGTGGATCTAAATCGAATATTGGACATGATTGTCCTGGGGTTCGTTGGCCACCCCCCAGGCAGATTTTGCTCTGAGAACCTTTCCTCTCAGGCCCCCACTGGCTGCTGTGCTGCCCTCCCTCTCCCCACTCTCCTCCTGTTCTCACCTTTTCTCCTCCCTGGTTGGGGCTGCCTGGAAACCTGGCATTCCTTCCACTTTATCACACATGACAAGGCAGCTCCGAATCAGGCTGCCTGGCCTCTGCAGACCAGGGCTGGGGAGGGAGGGAGCGCCACTCACCTTTCTCTTCCCAGAAGACCCAGGCAGGCATCTTCTGAGAAGGAAAGAAGGTCATGCAGTGAAGACTGGAGAGCGCAGAGCGCAGCTTGGACACATGAGCCATCCTCATGTTTACCTGCCTGTGGGCTGCTCCCAGGGCTGTGTGGGCCTGGAGCTGTAGCCGGATAGCTGTAAGTGGTAACCAAATGTCCCAGGGCATTCTCCTGTCTGTCCTCAGCTCTGCTACTGGACAAGAACTGGACTCATTCTCAAAACCTTGGGTATGGTGCTCCCAGCGCCCAGGCTGAAGTCACGGACTGAGAGCTCCACGGCCAAATGTGCAGATAGACATTGATTTTCCATTTGTTGCACGCTGGTTCTGGTGCCAGAATGCTGCTGGGGTGAAGGACCCAGACTCAGCAGGCAAGCTGTCAGCACATGGCTCCTGGCTCTGCCTCCTATTAGCTGGGTGACTTGGGGGAGTTAGCCCCTCTATGCCTCCTGTGAAGAGTAACAGTAATAATGGCCCACCTTATGGGGTTGTTGTGAACATTAAATGAGATACTCTATGCAAATGAATTCACTATGTAGTGAGTGCTCAACAAAACTTAGCTACTATTATACTGATGGTCCCTGGCTTGGAGAACTCATAGCCAGTGCACAGCTAGATATGTAATGTCATTAAGCAAGAAAAGCCCATTGGTCTTCACTGTGCTCCACTTCTGTCCTCTTCCGGAGAATACTCAGAAAGCAGGTCTGACTCCATTCTCCTCAATCCTGCCTCCCTTCCCTCCCCTGCACCCTCTCCCTACTGGTAGCTGAGGTAGGTGTAGGGTGCTGAGGGGCTGCTGGCCTGACTCCAACAGCACTATGATCAGGAGTCAGGGGAAGTGGGACCAGCTGGAAAGACTGTAGCAAATGACTGGCTGTAGTGGGCAAGGAGGTGGGCATAACTGAGGAGGCTGTTAGGCACTGCCATGGGCATTTATGACTCTTCCTTGGAAGGTTTAAAGAAAAGAAGAGAGACGTCTGTCTTTTGGGGACAGGTTTAGAAATCACAGTTTCTGAGAAGTGGCTGGGAGGATGTCCCAAGTCCTCTGATTTTGTTTAATGCTTGGTAGAAAATGCCCCCCACCACTGGACACCACCTTGGACAAGGCTGTTGGTGGCATGTGGACGAAGGAAGGCTTCCTAGAGGAAGAAGTGAGTTATAAAGGATGAATACGAGTTTGAAAATTGGATGATGCCAAAGGAAGGCATTCTGGGCACAGAGACCAGCACCTTCTCATGCAGGTGATCTGCCCCATCCTTTCTGTTTCTGGTACCCCTGCACTGTGTTTGCTGCAGTCCAAGTTTCTCTAGGGCCTCTTAGTTTATTCCCACTGGCTGAGACCTGGTCTGTTCTAGGCAGTGTCACCAGGGTTGTTTTGGTGGCAGTGCTCACTGGGAAAAGTTACAGCCTTATAATCCACAAATTCAAATACTGAAGATCTTGGGGGAAGGGTGGAGAGTGCATGGATAAAGGGAATGGCAGGAAGGCACAAGATACAAACATCTCTACAGAGGGGCAGGTTGAAACATTTATGGTATTTAATATATTTACCCTTGTGATTGTGGTGATGGTTTCACGGGTTTCTACATGTGTCAAAACTTATCAAATTGTACATTTAAATAGGTGCAGTTTATTGTATATCAGCTTTATTTCCATAAAGCTGTTAAAAAGAATACAGATCCCTCAAAAATTTTAGTTGCTTTAAAGATGTATGTTTCTAAAGCATAAAACTAATACAGGATAATCAGAAATTTAAAAATTTGTGAAAGCAGGAAAAAGAAGATAAATCACTCATTTCATTTTTGTGTATGTTTGGGGGATTGTTTTTTACCATAAAAAAGATATCCCGTGCTCACCAATGACAAGGCTCTAGTCCCAGCTCCAGTGGGCCAAGATGCTTCATTGAACTGAGCAGAGTCCTCTGAGGGACTGTGTCCTGCAAATGTCCAGCTGCTCCCACTCAGTGACTGCAGTGCAGCAGGTCTGAGAAGGAGACTCAGAATCTGATTTAAATCCAGTGACTCATGTTATTCTGTTCCAGCCAATCCACAGCCCACGCTTTGAGAAATGCTGAAGTAGGGAATGAATCACAAATCCCTTGATCTATTTTCCTTTGGCCATAACCATGCTAAAAAAACCCCTGTTTACAGATGTGGGGTTGCCACTCTGTCTTGAGATAGAACTATCTAACTCTAGTCTTAGGAAGTCTTCTAGTAACAGCAGCAGAACTGGTAGAATTATTAATAGTAGTAATGGAGGTAGTGATGTTAATGGTTGTAATAGTAGCAGTAATTTTTAAAAATTTTTAATTTCGTGGGTACATAGTAGGTGTATATATTTATGGGGTACATGAGATATTTTGATACAGGAACGTAAGGCATAATAATCACACCAGGGTAAATGGGGTATCCATCACCTCGAGCATTTAACCTTTCATTGTGTTACAAACAATCCAATTATACTCTTTTAGTTATTTTTATATGTACAATAAGTTATTGTTGACTGTAGTTACCCTGTTGTTGACTGTAGTCACCCTAGATCTTATTCATTCTAATTATACTGTTGTCCCTGCACTGCCCCCCACCACACCCAGCCTCTACTCTCTATCTCATCTCATCATTCTACCTCCATCTCTATGAGTTCAATTGCTTTCATTTTTAGCTCCCACAATTAAATAAGAACATGTGAAGTTTGTCTTTATGTGCCTGGCTTATTTCACTTAACCTAATGACCTCCAGTTTCATCCAGTTGTTGCAAATGACAGTATCTCATTCCTTTTTAGGGCTGAATAGTACTCCACTGTTTCTATGTACCCATTTGGTCTATGCATTTGTCTGTTGATGAACAGTTAGGTTGTTTCCTAATCTTGGCTATTGTGAATAGTGCTGCAATAAACATGAAAGTGCAGATATTTCTTCAATATATTGATTTCCATTCTCTTGAGTATATATCTAGCAGTAGGATTGCTGCATCATATGGTAGTCCTATTTTTAGTTTTTTGAGGAACCTCAAAACTGTTCTCCACAGAGACTGTACTAATTTACTTTCTCATCAACAGTGTACAAGGGTTCCCTTTTCTTCACATTTTTGCCAGCACTTGTTATTGCCTGTCTTTTGAATAAAAGCCATTTTAACTGGAGTAAGATGATATCCCATTGCAGTTTTGATTTGCATTTCTCTGATGATCAATGATGTTGAGCACCTTTTTATATACTTGTTTGCCATTTGTATGTCTTCTTTTGAGAAATGTCTATTCAGATCTTTTGCCCATTTTTAATTGTATTATTAGATTTTTTCCTGTAGAGTTGTTTGAGCTCCCTATATATTCTGGTTATTAATCCTTTGTCAGATAAATAGTTTGCAAATATTTTCTCCCACTCTGCAGGTTGTCTCTTCACTTTGTTGATTGCTTATTTTGCTGTGCAGAAGCTTTTTAACTTGATGTGATCCCATTTGTCTGTTTTTGCTTTGGCTGCCTGTGCTTGTGGGGTATTAGTCGAGAAATCTTTGCCCAGTCCAATGTCCTGGAGAGTTTCTCTAATGTTTTCTTGTAGTAGTTTCATAGTTTGAGGTCTTAGATTTAAGTTTTTTATTAATTTTGATTTGATTTTTGTAAATGCAAAGATAGGGGTCTAATTTCATTATTGTGCATATGAATATTGTTTTCCCAGCACTGTTTATCGAAGACTCTCCTTTCCCCAATGTATGTTATTGGCACCTTTGTTGAAAATGAGTTCACTGTAGATGTATGAATTTGTTTCTGGGTGCTATATTCTGTTTCATTGGTCTATGTGTCTGTTTTTATGCCAGTACCATGCTGTTTTTGTTACTATATCTCTGTAGTATAATTTGAAGTCAGGTAATGTGATTCCTCCAGTTTTGTTCTTTTTGCTCAGGATGGCTTTGGCTATTCTGGGTCTTTTGTGGTTCCACACAAATTTTAGGATTTTTTTTTTCTATTTCTGTGAAGAATTTCATTGGTGTTTTGATAGGGATTGCATTTAATCTGTAGATTGTTTCTGGTAATATGTACATTTTACCAATATTGATTCTTCCAATCCATGAACGTGGAATATCTTTCCATATTTTTTGTCCTCTTCAATTTCTTTTGTTAATGTTTTGTAATTTTCATTGCAGAGATCTTATACTTCTTTGGTTAAGTTTTGTTGCTGTTGTTTCAACTACTCTGTCTCTATGATATCTTTGGTTAATTCCTAGGTATTTAATTTTATTTGTAGCTCTTGCAAGTGGAATTACTTTCTTGTTGTCTTTTTCAGATTATTTGCTGTTGCCATATAGAAATGCTACTGATTTGTGTATGTTGACTTTGTATCCTGCAACTTTACTGTATTTGTTGATCAGTTCTAATAGTTTTTTTGCTGGAGTCTTTAGGTTTTTCTAAATATAAGATCATATCATCTGTAATCAAAGATAATTTGACTTCTTCCTTTCTAATTTGGATGCCTTTTATTTCTTTCTCTTGTCTGATTGCTCTACTAGGACTTCCATAGCAGTAATGTTAGTGGTAGTTGATATGGTTTGGCTCTGTGTTCCCACCCAAATCTCAGGTTGAATTGTAATCCCCATTGTTGGGTGTGGAACCTGGTGGAAGGTGATTGGATTGTTGGGGCAGATTTCCCCCTTGCTGTTCTCATGATAGTGAGTGAGTTCTCATGAGATCTGGTTGTTTAACAATGTGTAGCACTTCCCTTTTCACTCTCTCTCTCCTGCTCCACCATGGTAAGATATGCTTGCTTCCCCTTTGCCTTCTGCCACAATAGTAAGTTTCCTGAGGCCTCCCAACCATGCTTCCTATTCAGCTTGTAGAACTGTAAGCTGAATCAAACTTCTTTTCTTTATAAATTACCCAGTCTCAGGTAGTTCCTTATAGCAGTGTGAGAACAAACTAATACAGTAATAATAGCTCACATTTATTGGACATTTACTAATAAATACATCCATGGCACTGTGTCAAGAGCTCTACATGTGTCATCTTAGTGCTAGTTGTTAGGAGCAAGTTCCTGCAGGTAAATGTTTAGGTATGAATTTGGTCCTGCCACTGCTAGTTCAATAGCCTTGGGCAAGTTACGTAAAAGCCCTAAGTTACACATTTCTCCAAAGAAGATATACGAATGTCCAGCAAGCACATGAAAAGATGCTCAAAATCACAAATCATTAGGGAAATATAAATCACAACCACAATGAGATATTACCTTATGTCCATCTTTGGCTACTATCAACAGAAAATATGTGTTGGTGGGGATGTGGAGAAATCAGAGCCCTTGTGCATTTGGTGGCAGTGTACAATGGTGCAGCCACTGTGAGAAACAGCATGGAGTTTCCTCCAAAAATTAAACATAGCATTACCATATAATTCAGCAATCCCACTTCTGGTATATACCAATAAGAATTGAAAGCAGGGTCTTGAAGAGATATGTGGATACCAGGTTCACAGCTGCATTATTCACAATGGCCAAAAGGTGCAAATGACCCAAGTGTCCATTATGTGTGAATAGATAAAGAAAATGTACATAAATGGAGTATTATTTAGCCTTAAAAGGAAGGAAAATTTGACACATGCTACCACATGGATGCAACTTGAGCACGTTATGCTGAGTGAAGTAAGCAAGACACAAAAGATGAATACTGCTTGAGGCACCTGGAGTAGTCAAATTCATAGAGACAAAGTAGAATGGGGACTGCCAGGGGCTGGGGGGAGGAGACATGGGAGTTAGTGTTTAATGGGTGCAAGAGTTTCAGTTTGGGAACATTGGTTGTATAACAATCGGAAGCCATGTGATGCCACTGAGCTGCACACTTAAAATAGTTAATGTTCTGTGTATTTTACAATAATTTTTAAAAAGTTCCAACTTCCTTATCTCTAAAATTGGGTGAAAAAGCCTTCCCTGCCTCTGAGAGTGATGAGGCTTGAATTTGTGATATGTCCAACACCCTCAGTAAATGATCCAGCCCAAAGTCAGTGATCAGTGACACCAATGAAGAGTGTGATGGTCTTTCCTGTCCTTCTGCTGGCTCGTGCTCAGGGATGGTCAGCCCTTGGGCACAGTCCTTCACCTCTCTGGGCCTCAGTTTCCCCACACAGAACAGATATGGTGCGACCATGGCCAAGGCCCCTCTCCTTTCCTGCAGTGGTGCTCCCCACTGGTTACATGCTGGGAAGGGCATCACCCTTCCCAGGATCTGGAAGCAAGATTACTGGGGGCGGGGCCTGTGGATTTTATTCTGCTTCTCCGGATGATGAGGGGTAAAAGACAGGGGTGACCTGTGCTCCCCCTACTGGAGAAGCCTAACTCTGGCATTTGATGGTCCTGGCGGGTGTGCACATATGTGCATATACGACCAAGTGTGTGTATGTCCACACATGGGTGTATCCATCCACGTGGCGGGGTGTGGAGGCGGGAAGTCCTAGCGGTGTGTGCACAGAGGGAGGGGCTGCTGTGCTGAAGGCCATAGCCCTCATTTTGGTCCTCAGATGACAAATATTGAAGAGTCTTTCCATATTTGTCGATATCAGTGTTTTGTTAATCTTTTCTGCACATTGGAAAACTTTATAAGAATGTGGGTGCCTGAGGCCCACCCCAGAGGCGCTGATTTAATTGATCTGGAGGTGGCCTGGGCCCAGGCTTTCAAAGCTCCCTTGGGATTTTAATGTGCAGCCAGTTGGGAGCTACTGCTCCTTGGGGCAGACAGAGAAGGCTCCAGCCCAGACTTGCTGGGGCTGTTCCCAGTCTGAGGGCTGAGGAAGCTGCTGTGTGTGTGAGGGAGGCTACCTGTAAGCTGTTTATTACCTGCTTGAATTACTGGGTAAATATTGGCCAGAGGCTCCGGTGTCCCAGGAGCTACCTGTGGTCACCACGGGTACATCCCTGGTGTAGCGGGATCGATGTGTCTGGCTGGGGCTCTGGACGGGCCACACAGAGGGAAAGGGTATCCCTGGGGGACGCAGTGGCAGGACCTTCCAGTGGAGAGCTGGGCTCTTCAGACAGGCATGTCCATGTGCAGCGGAAGCCCCGGAGGTGAGGTTGGGCTGAATTTTGCTCATTTGAGCTTTGAGAGTTTTGGCAGGATTTCTAATCTGTCTGAATCTCAGTCTCAACCTGTACAAAGATAACAGTAGCTGCCTGCAGTGTTACCATGTGGATGAAATGACACCACGGTGCACAAAGCACTGTCACACAGCAGTCACTCAATAAACAGGTGTTTCTTTTTTCTGGATGAGAGATCCAGCGGGCTGCCTGGTCTGTGGGAAGGTGTCTCGGTCTTCCTGCCGTGAGTCGCGGCAATCCCACGGCTCCGGGGAAATGTGGGGAAGAGACTGAACTCCTTTCCTTCTGGGTAGGGGCTGAATTGTGCCCGCCCAAAATTCAAAGTTCTAACTCCCTGTGTACTTGGAGGGTCTTTAAAGAGGTAATTAAAGTTAAACGAGGTCATTAGGTTGGGCCCTAATCCAATATGACCGGCATCCTTATAAGAAGAGGAGATTAGGGACATAGTCACACACAGAGGGAAGACCCAGTGAAAACACAGGGAGGAGGCGACGGTATCTACAAGTCACAGAGAGAGGCCTCAGAAGAAACTGATCCTGCCAACCTTAACTTTGGACTTCCAGCCACCAGGCTGTGAGGAATACTTTTTGTCGTTAAAGCTCTTGCGTCTGTGGCACTTTAGGCACCCCTAACTGACAGATACACTTCCCCACCTCAACCCCGCTCCAGCTCTGGAGCACATCAGCCACATCAGCACTCACCCTCTTCCTGCAACGTCTAAATCCTTCATCTCTCCCTTCTCCTTTCCCCCAAGTAACACCAGTCACCAAATCCTAAAGTCTCCCAGCTTTTCCTCCACTGTAACCCTCGGCCTCCCAGGCCTCCTTCTGTGTCATTGCCAGAGCCTGCTCCGCACCATCCTCCACCACAGGCATGTTTGTCAGCTTTGCACACGAGCACACGATGGGGCGGTGTTCAGATCCTGATGCATTAGACTCCAGGAGAGCCCAGATCGCTGGGCTGGACGGCCAGCCCTCCATGACCAGCCATGTCTCTCCTACACCACAGTCTGCATGGACATCTGAACAGGACCCGCATAGTTTCCAGAACATGCCATGTTACTCTCACACCTCTGGGCCTCTGGGCTCCACTGCCTGAGACCTTCCTCCCTTTCCTGCCCATCAAACTCCTATTCATCCTTCAAAGTCCTCTTTCAGTGTTTCTCTGCCGGAAGCTCTTCCCTCTTTCCTTCCAGTGCTGTGCACTGGCCTGTGCCACAAGCACGCAGTGTGGCAACACGTCATCTGTGTGTCTTCCTCCCTGCCAGAGTGTGAGCTGATGACACCAGGGGCCATGCTTTATTTATCCTCACATCCCAAGCATCTAGCCCCGCAACTGGGGGCATAGTTGGTGCTCAATAGAGGCTTCTCAGATGAAGGAAATAAATGAATAGTTTAGGCTAGATTTTTTGGCCAGAGGATTCTTTGCTGGGAAGACACAAAGAAGAGATTCTTTCCTGCTGTGCAGGGTAGGCTGTTTAGCAGCATCTCTGGCCTCTGTCCATTAGACGTAGGTTGCACTCCTGCCCCCACCTCCAAGTTGTAACAACCCAAAACATCTCCAGAGACTGTCAAATGTTGCCTGGGGACAAAATCCCCTGGTTGAGAACCACTGATGTAGGCCTGCAGAGAGTTCAGAATCTTTTGAAATTCACTGTCGGTAGATCCAAGTTTAGTAGGACACACATATTGATTTTATTAGAGCACGAATAAGAGATAAACAGCAATTCCGGAGGCCTCGTCCTGAAGAGGGTTCTATTACAAATGGTGGGAGGGAGGGGTCTTCTTCTAGTAATAAGGCTAGGAGGCTTTTTTTCCCCCTGATATTTCGACTTGAATTTCCTGTTAAATGGTGTGCAAAGCCAGTGGGAGAAGATACACTTTCCGTACCAGGCAGTGGCTCTGAGAGCAGTAGGGATTACAATTTTCAGAAATCAAGTTGGCACCTCTTCTGCCTCCCTCCAATTAAATCCCCTCTTTAAAAATCTTTAACTGATTTTCTCCAAAATCACTTTGTCCCTGAAGCTTCCCGGATGCATAAGCATCATAAAACACTTTGCACAAGCCTCCTTTCGCTGGGACCATCCACGAAGTGTCGGGAACACCAGGCATCCCTCTGCATCCTTGCTGTCCATCTGTGTCTCTCCGTGCCCAGGGCAGCAGCTTAAGGTAACGTTCCCTCTCTCCCACGTTGGTCCCCAACCACTCAAGTGACCGCTTCCCATGGGGTGAACTGGACACGTTTCTAACCTCCCTGCACTCAGTTTACCCTTTTGTAAAAGCGGATGATAATATCCCCCTCATCATGACTGTAAAGCAGTGGGCACCCAGCAATGCCACCATCCTCACAGGCCACGACACAGAGTTTGTTTAGGGACCAGATGGCCAGATAAGCTGCCCCTTCTGACACGAAGCAAATTCTTAGGTGAGGAAGCTCCTCTTATCTGGGGAACTCTCCCAGGCCCATAAGCCCTCCTTCCTAATCACAACGTTGGCTATTATTGTCTCCTGTTAGACATCAAGTTCCTTTAAAAGGTAGCACATTGGGCCTTAGCAGTAGGGCTGCCAGATAAAATACAAGATGCCCAACGAAATTTCAATTTCAGATAAACAACAAGTAATAAATTAGCTTACGTATGTTTCAAACATTGCACAGGACATACTATACTTAAAATTATTCATCATTTGTCTCAAATACAAATTCAACTGTGGAGTTTGTATTTTATGTGCGAAATCTGGCAACTCTACTTACCAACCATTTACACCTCAGGTAAGTACGCCCATTGGATCCATTTCAGAGAGGGAGTTTAGATAGAAAGAGAATAAATATGAAGTTCATGGAACTACCTCTTGGGTGGTAACAAGTACGGTGGCCCTGGTGGGTCATTTGGTATGGATTGGCTTACCAGCTGAGTTTTATCTGTCATGAAACAGCTTAAAAAAAAAATAAGGAAGCCTAGTTTCCATTGACCCTGTGGCTTCTATATGAAACATGCATGTAAGGCTTCTGTGCTGGACCCCTTCCTCAAGATTTTTGGCAAAGAGGACCAAAAAGTAGCTTCTGTGGATATTACTTATTTAGTATTAATGTGGCAAAGCTAGGTCTCAGCTAGACATTTCAAGTAAACAGGATCACGCCACATACAGTTGTTTGAAACCAGAGATTTCCTGTGACCCTCAGAGCTTTAACGAGAACCAGAGAAGTGATTCTTTATAGAAACCCGTTAATTTTCCCTCCTCCCCCGTTTAACCCCAAATACAACAAATCCCAGAACGTCTGCAGACAGTGGCTTGTTTGATAGATGAAGCCAGGAGGCCATCCCCCGATGCAGTTGTGCTGATGACTGGAGGCTGAGGCGGGTGCCAGTCCATATACAATAATTTCAAGAAGCTACAAACACAACTAATGAAGAAAAACATTAACCCCCAGCACACGATGTCTTTCGGTAAAGTCTCTTGGAGGGCTTTGCAAATCTCTTCTGACCTCAGCAGCTTAAAAGAGTTCCCAGGCAGATATGGAATCACGGTGGCTCCTTCATATTTCTCCTGGAGCAATCTACTGTCTCCAGACCCTGAACATTTGCTCGTGCTTTGCGGAGCAGACTTTGGCGGAATTCCCTATTGGAGGGACAACGATTGTTGTAAGATGACCATAAGAAACTTTCCCTCTGTTAAACAAGAAAATCACATCAGTTATTTTGCTAGGTTGAGCATTTTCTCTTTTCTTTTTCTTTTTCTTTTTTTCTTTTTTTTTTTTGAGATAGAGTCACCTCAGACTCCCAAGTGCCTGGGATTCTAGGTGTCCACCACCACACCTGGCTATTTTTTTTTTTTTTTTTTTTTTTTTTTTTTGGTATTTTCAGTAGAGACAGGATTTCATCATGTTGGCCAGGCTGGTCTCAAACACCTGACCTCAGGTGATTCACCCGCCTCTGCCTCCCAAAGTGTTGGGATTACAGGTGTGAGCCATGATGCTTGGCCTAATTTTTGTATTTTTAGTAGAGACGGGGGTTTCACCATGTTGGCCATGCTGGTCTCGAACTGGCCTCAAGTGATTCCCCCCACCTCGGCGTCCCAAAGTGCTGAGATTACTGGCATGAGCCACTGTACCTGGCCATTCTGAGCATTTTCTATTGGGATAATATACGCAAGTGAAGTATAAATGATTGTTGCTGTAGTCAAAAGCTGTAAGAGTATCTGAGTTAAGGCATGTCCCTTGGACTTAGAATACGAGTGTTTTAGTGGAGTGGACTGACCCATGGTCTACAGGGTCCACATAATTCCATATAACCTCACTAATGACCTGCTACCTCTTTAGGGGAATCTGTGGAGGCCACCAAGTGCCCCTGGGTCACCAGAGTTGTGATCTTTCAGCTAGTGCTTGTCCAATTACAAGCGCATTTTTCTTTTTAAGAATGGTAGAGAAAGGACAAGAAGAGACAGGAAAAGAAAATACTAGATGCATAGCAAATCTTCAGGGTGAGTATTGTCTTGTGACACTTTTGTTTCAGGTACTTGATACACACATTTGTGTACTGGACTGCAGGTAAAGATATGTTTGCTACTGTGAGTTGTGCTGAAAACAATTTAAAAGAGCTGTCTTAAGCAAAGACAAATCTGATGTCATTACTTGGGCAGCTTTGAGTCCAAAATCCAGCCAAGGAAGTGAGTGCTGAGAGAGTCATCAGGCGAGTGCAGGAATGCCTTCTTGATTAGAGTCACAGGACAGAGTCAGGGCACCAACATGGTGCCCTCAGGCAGGTCTAACCCCAGCTCTTCACTTAGTACCTTTCAGTCTCTCCAAGCCCCACTTCCTAACCCTCAGCAAGTGGACTGAGTACCAAAAGGGCCAGGCTTTGTTCAGTGCTAACTTCCAGGGCTCTTTACCTCCTTGACTGTTTTAAGACAGCCTTTGGCTTCCTCAGCATAGGGAGGGGCTGAGGCTAGTGCCGAGCCTGTCTTCCTTGCCCTCCACAGGACCCCTGCTCTGACTGATCTGGGGTCCCTCCTCCTGGGGCTCCCACACAATGAATGTCCCCAACATCCTTGGCATGAGTGGAGATAGGAAAGTTTTCCAAATGTTTCCCTCTCCTCCTCTGAGAGATAAGATTCCCCCTCCATGTTTTTACCCATCAGGATGACGTGGGGCACATCTTGGGCACTTCAGGCTGGGACTTTTGTCAGTAGCAGGGTTGGCAAACCCATACATCTCCCTGCTTCATCCTCCGAAGGGGATCTCCAGCCACAGAGCCAATGATCCTTCCCTTTCCCAAATGCACATCATTTGAATTTGCCAACTCACAGACAGAGTGGACACTCTTCCCTCATTCTTCCCTTCTGGGTTTCCTTCCCGGCTCTTCCCTTAATTTTGTCTTTCCCCCTTTCCCTCTAAATCGTGCTGTTTCTGATGCAGCTTCCTAGTTTGTAAATAGGCACACCTACACATATATTTTTATGTTGGAGAAAGCATTTGCGGAAATTAAGCAAAGCCAACGAAAAACTGTATGGCTTTGACAATTGCATATTGCAAATATGCATTATGTGACTCTTGTTGAAATAGAGGTTCAATCAATCTAATGAGCTTCCACTGTGCTTTCTGACTTGATCCCTAATTCTGAGGCTTATTCATCTGAAATATTCCTCACTTTTTGGGGGGCAGAGGTAGAGGATCATGTTTTTCCTTATAAATTGCCTTTAGTAATTGTTCAACAAAACATTTAAAGACATTGGCACTAAGTAGCACAAAAGTGATATCACTGCAACTGATAGGAAGGTATCTAACTAGAAATCAACAGTTTGACGGTTATTTTTCCCCCAGGATGTATACTTTACCACCTCCTCTTATAATCATAGTAAAGGTCGTATACCTGGAATTTAACTATTTAAAAAGCACTATGAAAATATCTTCCTCCCAAAGCCTTGCTGCACCTCGAGGGTGATCTTTGAGGAGGGAAGCATCTTGGGAAGAGCACACACGAAGCAGACCAGCCTTTTCCCACACTGCCTGGTCAGTCTTGATCCTCCCAGAAACAGATGCTAACATGGTATTAAACGTGCAAAGATTTTATTAGGGGAAATGCATGTGTGAGAGAAAATGAGGAAGGAGCAAGAGAATCTGGAAATGTCAGTCTGCAAAGCAAGTTTAAATTCGATGAAGGAAAGAGGGAGAGACAGTTGGGTGGAAATTTCTTGACCAAGATGCCATCAAAGGCAAGTCTGGCAAAGCAGTCACGGTGTCACTGCACTCACGCTGGCCACCGGAGGAGCCCGCCCGCTCTCCCTGCTGCACTCAGTTGTGGCTGGGAGCAGCCTGTGCATGGTGGGAAGGGAGACCTCCCTGGAAAAGCTGCCCTGGATTTCAGAGCAGCGGTGCGGCCTGGTCCATTAGCGCTGCCCTAGTGGGCAGGTGGGGTGGGAGGGTGTCTGTAAGGTGCATTCTTAAGGCCACGCTGCCTAACCTGGCCATTTTCCTACCTACCTGATAGGGATCATCTGGCCTCTTTACATCCATGCTTGCTTAAAGATACTTTTGCAGTATGCAAGACTTCTCTGTTTTGTGATTAGTTACTATTCATAGGTAATCCACAGATGGATCATGCTGCTTACAGCACACAAATGTGCCTCCTCCAGAGTTTGGTTAGCAGGTTCTACAGCTGGAGAAAGCAAACAACTCAGGGAGTGCACTGAGTTCTGATGGAGTGACTGCTGGTGCCCAGCTTAGGCTCCATATCAGCCTCGGCTGTGTGTTCTCAAGGGAGCAGAAGCGGTAAGCTCCCTTGCAAAAAGTAATGCCCGTTGTGGGTTCCGTAGTGCATGAGAGGTTAACCCTGCACTTGGAGCCTCTCTGCCCCTTGGCAGTTGAGGTGCACCTCGCTCTGATCCTGTGGCACAGCCTGGGGAAGCCCCGAGGCCTCCTGGGACTGCTGTGAAGGGCCAGCCTCTCTTCCTTATGGCCCTTGCCTTGGCTCCTACATCCAGATCTGTTACCTCTGGTCAGCCTCCTGCCAGCTGGCACGATGTTGGACCCTTCACCTCTTCAAGCAGAAATCTTGCCACTCTTGTATGTCGTCTGGTTAGTGAATTCACTGCAGCTTTAAGGATCACTTCAGGTACATCCTTCTGCCACCTTGCCTCGTCTCCCTCCTCACTCTATGTCCTTTCCAAAAGCCCATGTTCCCCGGAGCCCTGGGTTCCCCCCGACTCCACGCCCCCGACACTCTAGCTCTCTGGGAGTAACTGCATCTGCTCTGAGAACTTCTTTCCCAGACCCCTCCCCACCAAACCCACCTTTCCCAGGCTCCAAGAATTCTGGGGAGTAAGAATGTCCTCTCCTTATGATCATTTTTTAAAGATTTCTTTTCTGAAATAATTTCAAACTTAACAAAAAAGTTGCAAAAACAGTACAAAGAATCACCACATACCCAGATTTCCCAAAGGTTAACAGCTCACAGAACCACAGCAAAACGAGTGAAATCAAGAAACTGACCTTGAGGCACTCTATTGTCTAATCTGCAGGTCCCTTTCAAATTGCACCAGTTTCCCTTCAAATGTCCTTTTTCTGGTCTAGGATCCAATTCGAGACAGGCTCACACATTGCATTTCATTGTCACATCGTTTTAGTCTCTTTTAATCCAAATTCTGGCGGCTGGGAGGGCGAGGGTTGGCAACATTTTTCTGTAAAAGACCAGATACGAAATGTTTTAGGCTCTGCAGGTCATGTAGTCACCCTTACAGTTATTTTTATTGTTTCTAAATGAATGTCTGGCAAATCTAGGCCAATAGATTCTGTAGATTAAAAAAACACAGTCTCTGATTTTTCTATCATTTCCTCATTATTCCTCTAATATTCCTCTAATATTTCCTCATTAAAAGCGTCTGACAGCCATCCGCATTTATCCAGTGTGTTTTAAGCAGTGCTCGGATGGAGTGAGACAGTGCCCATGAGCACAGGCTCGAGGGGCTCCATCCTCGTTTGGACCAGGAGGAGTGGGCGTGTCCTGAGGTTGAGCCCTGAGCTGGGCAGATGGGCTTGCAGAGCAGCTGTGTCTGGGTTGCCGGCTCTTCCACATCATTTAGAATGGAGGCTGCTCACGTCTCAGGGGGCTGGGACCCACCCAGCCTTCCCCTCAGTGCCCTCCTTCCCTCCCCCAATCGGAATGCCTGGGGAACGGGCTTCACTTCAGATTCCTTCCCAACCCAGACTCTTCTTCCCCAGTGTGAGATGCTTGGAATCCCAGACAGGCAGAGTCAGCTGAGGACGGTGGGAGAAGAGGGCGGGGGCGGGGGGGGGGGCGGTGCGGAGAGGAATAAGCCTCTTCAGCAATCAAAGCTGGCATTGTTCTCAAAGAGTTAGCCTGCATACCAGGCTTGCAATTAGCAGGGAATAATGGGGTGTGATGGCTGCAGAACAGCGGCTGGAACTGATTTTCAGCCTCACGGTGACAAACTGCCCTGCTGACTTCCCTGCCGTGTTTCCTGGTAACTTGCTGTGGGCAAGCTCAGTAGAGCAGAAATCCTCAGGGTAGGGGGAGGGAGCAATCTGTCTTCGAATAATTTAAACAATGCAGCTCAGCCAAGCTAAATGGAGCTTATCAAATGTTACACCTCTTAAAGCTGCAATCAGAGGCGGCAGGATATTAACTGTAAAGCCTGGGTTCATGCTCGGAAAGAAGGAAAGACCAGACTTGCTACTTAACAGAAAAGAAGGAGGAGTTTGAGAGGTGACTGGAGAGAGAATGGGATCAGCTTTGAAGCCCAGATCAAGAAGCAGATATTTGAGGACGGGGCAGGGAGACAGCCTTCACGGAGCACCTACTGTGTACGGGCCTGGCAGCTCGTTTACATAGATCGCTTTCTCTAACCTTTGCCCCAGCTCTGTAGAGACATGCTGTTATTCATACGCATTTTTAAATTTCTCTAACCTCTGCCCCAGCTCGGTACACACATGCCGTCATCATATGCATTTTTAAACAGTAGAGCGAATCACTTGAGACTTGTTCGCTTGCAAAAATATTAGAAAACCCTGACTCCAACTGACCTGAGCAAAGGGATTTTGTTTTCCTCTCTGTCTCTTGTAGTTAAGAATCTAGTGAACAAGCTTGATTCAGGGCTGCAAGGATGTCACCTGCAGCTGATCTCTCTCCACCTCCTGGGTCTGCCTTTTGCTGTGTTGGCTTTAGATTCAGGCTCCTTGAAGAGGTAAAATGGCAAGAGCCACTCGGATCCCTGGCGTCCTCTGAGGTCCAGGCCCAGGGAAGAAGAAGAGCTCTCTGCTCTAAAAGTTTAAGCAGGACTGACCTCCAGCTCCAGCCAACATGGAGTGAAAGGCCATGTTCACTCTCACCTTAAACACTCAAAACCAGTATATGAAGCAATGGTTTTTGGACAAGAAATAGCATTCAGCTGGGGACAGGGACCCTCAAGGGAAGCAAAGGAATGAGTTGAGACTCCCATTGCCCCTGCTCTCTGCCTGGGGAGTTTCTTTTCTTTTCTTTTCTTTTCTTTTTCTTGAGATGTAGTCTCACTGTGTCGCCCAGGCTGGAGTGCAGTAGGGCGATCTCGGCTCACTGCAAGCTCCGCCTCCCGGGTTCACGCCATTCTCCTGCCTCAGCCTCCGGAATAGCTGTGACTACAGGTGCCTGCCACCACGCCCGGCTAATTTTTTTTTTTACTTTTAGTGGAGATGGAGATGGGGTTTCACCGCTTTAGCCAGGATGGTCTTGATCTCCTGACCTCGTGATCCGCCCGCCTCGGCCTCCCAAAGTGCTCGGATTACAGGCATGAGCCACTCCGCCCGGCCTGCCTGGGGAGTTTCTACGCTGCAGGACTGGGACGGGAGAGTCAGGTGGAGCCTGGTGGTCTCCACGAGCAGAGGCGGACCCGGGAATCTGGGGAGGACAGGCAGCTGCAGGTCCCTGGAGAGAGCTGCACAGAGAGAGAGCTCTGGAGACCTGCAGAAGGTCCCCGCTGAACATTCAGCAGACGATGGACTGGACCAGACCGTGGCATTCACACAAGGAAACTACTGGAGGCTGGGGAAACAGCCCCTTGAAGGAACGGGCATACCAATTCCCAGAGCTCACGCTATCAGGAACCTGGTCCTGCTAGCCAGAGTGGAGACAGCTTGTAAGACACAGGGCATCAGGAGGAGCATTTAGAAAGCTGCCGCCTCAGTAGTGACAATTAGTCCAATTAGCCCTTGACTTAAGGCTGTTCTGGTGCTAGCAGATCTCATGCAAGTCTTGAAAGGAATAAACTGTTTCCAAGTGACTGAACGAGATCCCAGAATAAAAACTCGAGAACATCTGAAGAACATGTAAAAATACCCATCACTCAAGAAGGTAGAATTCACAGTGTCTGTCAGCCAAGTAGAAATTACCAAGAACACAAAGAATACAACCCGTCATGAACAGAACTAGAAATCAATAGAAATAGAGCTAGAAGTGATACCAATGATAGTAAACAAAGACACTAAAACTGTTATTATAAGTATTTTTTTATATGTTCAAAAAGGTCGAGAAAAACATGAACACTTAAAATAGAGATATGAAACATAGAAAAAGACCCAAATATAACTTCTAGAGATGGAAAAACAAACCTAGTTGTTATCTCAATGTCTGAGGTAACAACTAGACAGAATGGGACAGTTTTGACATTGTAGAAGAAAACATTACTTGGCTGGGAGCAGTGGCTCACGCCTGTAATCCCAGCACTTTGGGAGGCCAAGGTGGGCGGATCATCTGAGGTCAGGAGTTCAAGACCAGCCTGGCCAGTATGGTGAAACCCCATCTCCATTAAAAATACAAAATTAGCCGGGCGTGGTGGTGCATGCCTGTAATCCCAGCTACTCAGGAGGTTGAGCCAGGAGAATCACTTGAAACCAGGAGGCAGAGGTTGCAGTGAGTCGAGATCGAGCCATTGCACTCCAGCCTGGGCAACAAGAGTGAAACTCCATCTCAAAAAAAAAAAAAAAGAAAAGAAAACATTACTTAACTTGAAGAAATAGCAGGAGGGTGCAAGAGTAATTTGCAAAAACCGCAATTACTTTCGCACCAACCTAATAGCAATAGAAACTATTCAAAATGAGAGTCCAGACAGGCCAGGCATGATGGCTCATGTCTGTAATCCTAGCACTTTGGAAGGCTGAGGCGGGATCACCTGTGGTCAGGAGTTTGAGACCAGCCTGACCAACATGGAGAAACCCCGTCTCTACTAAAAATACAAAAATTAGCTGGACGTGGTGGCACATGCCTGTAATCCCAGCTACTCGGGAGGCTGAGGCTGGAGAATCACTTGAACACGAGGCAGAGCTTGCAGTGAGCTGAGATCGCATCACTGCACTCCAGCCTGGGCGACAGAGTAAGGCTCCATCTCAAAAAAAAGAAACAAGAAAATGAGAGTCTAGGTGAGGGTGGCTGTTGCCTGTCATTCCAGCACTTTGGGCAGCCAAGGCAGGTGGGTTGCTCGAGCCCAGGAGTTTGAGACCAGCCTGGGCAACATGGTGAAACCTTGTCTCTACAAAAAGTTAAAAAATTAACCGGGTGTGGTGGCATGTGCCTGTAGTCCCAGCTACCTGGGAGGCTTGAGGTGGCAGGATCACTTGAGCCTGGGAGGTTGAGGCTGGAGTCAACCATGATTGTCCAGCCTGGGCGATAGAGTGAGACCCTGTGAAAGAAAGAGAGAAAGAGAGAGAGAGAGAAAGAGAGAAAGGAAGGAAGGAAGGAAGGAAGGAAGGAAGGAAGGAAGGAAGGAAGGAAGACAAAATGAAACAGAGAAAAAGACTGGAAAATAAAAGCCCAAATGGAACGTTAGTGAGCTATGACACTGCATGTTGGAGTCCCTGAAGAAGAACAGATGGGCAGAGTCTCTAATTTGCACACTGCCACCCTCAGGGACTTGTGTATGGGGGTGCTCTGTTGTTAAATAAATGAATGGTGCTGTTGCCTTGTGACCTTGCACTCTTCCGCTCTATGGAGTTGGTCTAATAATGAGAGTCATAGTAACGATGGTGATGATGACAGCCCTTCATTCACTGATCACAGGACATGTGAGAATACACAGAATCCTTTCTTTTCCCCTTGCAGCAGTCCTGTGAAATCAGGGTCACTATCCTCACATTACAGATGAGGAAATAAGCATATGAGGCTTCTTTGTCCCATGAAGGTTTAGCCAGCACAAGTATCTTGGGGAATCCAATTTGATTGTATAAATTCACATAGTTTTGTGAGAAGTTGAGCCCCTGGATGTGATTTGAGCTAGAGGAGAGGGGATCGGAGAACAGCCTTGCTTTAATCTTTCATTTAACTTGTGTGCATGGCAAGTCTTTTTCCGTCTCCAGTCCTCATGTTTTCTTCCTATGATAGGAGAACATTTGAATAAATTGGTCTCTAGGAGCCCTTCCACTGTGAGTATTGGTTTCCATCACTTGTGTGTTGGGAATAAATTTGTCCAGGCTACTTAATGCAGTCACTTTCAGTTATGTGGCATTTGTACATGAAACATATGTAGCATTGTCTCATAAATGACACTGAAAACAAAACTTTAACGAATGTTAATAATGTTTGATGACTCAAAAACTGGCGCATAATTCCCTGTTTCCCTAAATAAAGGCTATTATAATGGATTCTTTTTTTTTTTTTTTTTTGAGACGGAGTCTCGCTCTGATGCCCAACCTGGAGTGGAGTAGCACAATCTCAGCTCACTGCAAACTCTGCCTCCTGGGTTCAAGTGATTCTCCTACCTCAGCCTCCCGAGTAGCTGGGATCACAGGTGCGTGCTGCCATACCTGGCTACTTTTTGTATTTTTAGTATAGACGGGGGTCTCATCATGTTGGCCATGTTGGCCATGTTGGTCTTGAGCTCCTGATCTCAAATAATCCACCCTCCTCAGCCTCCCAAAGTGCTTGGATTACAGGCGTGAGCCACGTCTATAGGTGCCCAGCCTATTTTAATCTATTCTTGATGACAAAGAGTAACACAGTGATGCCTCCATGACCACTGAGATGTAGAACACTATCTACCCTGAAACTATATGTCCACATTGGTCTGCTTTAAGTAAGTTAAGTTTACTATCCCATCTTTAGGTTGTCAGCTCTCAGTTTTCACTAATATGAGCATTCCTTCCTCTTCAGGGTCTCCCTCCAGTGTGCCGTGGGCCAGACCCTGTGGCAAACACACACCCTCACATACACACACACTCACATACACACACCCTCACATACACACACCCTCACATACACACACCCTCACATACACACACCCTCACACACACACACACTCACATACACACACCCTCACATACACACACCCTCACATACACACACACCCTCACATACACACACCCTCACATACACACACCCTCACATACACACACCCTCACATACACACACCCTCACATACACACACCCTCACATACACACACACTCACATACACACACCTCACATACACACACCCTCACATACACACACACTCACATACACACACCCTCACATACACACACTCACATACACACACCCTCACATACACACACACTCACATACACACACCCTCACATACACACACACTCACATACACACACACTCACTGCTTTACTGCAGTGTGACCACCCTGAAGCTGCAGAGTCGGTTTTTATAACTCTGATACTAACTGGACGGATGTCACACAAGCCATGAGAAAGGAGGACCACAGCATGCCTACAGCATGGTTTTGTGTGGAGCCTGTCCTAGACATCTCCCTCTGGGCTCCTCATCTTTGCAGAGTCCTTCCTCTGGGCTCATCTTGCCAGCTTTCCCTTGGTTCTGGCTTCTAAATTTCTAGCATAGCCTGGAGTATGGTTTTGGTCTTTGAGTTGGTCTTCATGGGAGTGAGCTTTGCAAGTATGTGGTCTTGGTCATTGCCAAGTACTGTTTGCATATCATCCCACAGTCACTCCTCAGGCATTTGAACCCCCTCCCCCCTCAGATAACTCTCAGACTCCCCAATAATTGCACATGCATGGCCTCAGACATCCAAGGGGCTCCCCTTGTCATGAACACCATTTTGACTGAATACACTGATTTTGCTCACACCTCTACAGCTCTTTGAATGACAAAGTTATGAACAATTTGACCTGTTACACATAACATAGATAACGTGACATGGAGCTATTAGCAGCATGAACTCAGGCAGTTGTAATTACTTTCATAAGATAATTGCTTAAACTCATAGTATTTCTAACTTGCAGTTTCTCACAATTGCATCTTAACCTGTAAATTGACTATATATTTTAAGCTGAAATATTTTAAAGTGAATTGCAGGTATATCCCCCCTAAATATTTCCAAATGTATCTCTAAAACATAGACCATTTTCTTAAACAGTCTGATATAGTTTGGGTATGTGTCCCCTCCCAAATCTCTTGTTGATTTGTAATCCCCAAGGATGGAGGTGGAGCCTGGTGGGAGGTGTTTAAATCTCTCATGGTTTGGTGCTCTCTTCCTGAGAGTGAATTCTTGTGAAATCTGGTTATTTAAAAGTGTATGCTCTCTCTGTCTCTCTCTCTCTGTCTGTCTCCTTTCCTCCTGCTTTGCCATGTGACGTGCCTGCTTCCCCATCACCTTCCGCCATGATCAGAAGCTTCCTGAGCCCTCCCTAGAAGCTGAGCAGATGCCAGCATCATGCTTCCTGTAAAGCCTGCAAAACTGTGAGCCAAGTTGATCTCTTTTCTTTATAAATTACCCAGTCTTAGGTATTTCTTGTTTTTTGTTTGTTTTTGAGACAGAGTCTTGCTCTGTCTCTCAGGCTGGAGTGCCATGGCAAAATATCACCTCACCACAACCTCCGCCTCCCAGGTTCAAACGATTCTCTTGCATCAGCCTCCTGCATAGCTGGGATTACAGGTGCCCACCACCACACCTGGCTATTTTTTTTGTATTTTTAGTAGATAGAGGGTTTCACTACATTGATCAGGCTAGTCTCGAACTCCTGACCTCAGGTAATCCACCTGCAGCCGCCTCCCAAAGTGCTGGGATTACAGGGGTGAGCCACAGCCCCAGGCCAGGTATTTCTTTATAGCGATACAAGAATGACCTAATATATGTCAAAATAACAGTATAATATCAAGAAACTAATAATAATGTATTAGTATTCTCTAACCTCTATTTTGTGTTCAGTTTCTCCTGACATCCCCACCGGAACCCAATCTGTGATCGTGCGTTGCACCTGGCTGTCACTTCCCTTGTGTCTCTTTTAATTGGTGGAAGTCTATGCGCTGTCTCCCCTGCTGGATTTTTCTGGTCACTTCCCTGACAGTGTCTCCTGGCTTGCCGCTGTGTCCCCTGTTTCTTCCATAGCTGGCAGGTCCTGCAGCCCAAGGCTCCAGATGCCTCCACCCTTCCCCATGGCCCAGGCTATTCTGACCTATGGCTGAACACTTCCTTGAAGGGCAAGAGGACACTGGTGAGGAGCACCCCAGGGAGCAGAGGGAAATTTCTCCGTCCCCAACCTGCTAAGTCCCCTACAGCAGGGATACTTCCTGATTTCAGAAGAAAAAAGGAAAGTGCTGACAATTGAACTTCATCACCTACACCTTGGCTCTTGTACCAGGCTCCCCGCTGTCCTCCCTGCTTCCGGGCCAATCCCTTCCAAAGCATCCTGTAGTTTGTTTAGTTCCGTTGGACAGACTGTATTGAGCTTCCCCAATGTGCCAGGCATGGAGCTAGGGGACAGGGTTGCAATGTTGTATAGGAATGAGTTCTGAGTCCCAGTCCTTCAGCCCACAGGCTAGTGGGGAAGGTGAGGCTGTCATCAGGTAACAGCATCGCAGTGCAGTGTATGGGTCTTTATATGGGGTGCACTGAGGACACCTATGATGGACGCTTAGTCCAGTCTGGGGCCAGAAACCTTTCCAGAGGAGATGCTCCCTGAGATTGTCTTGAGGGGCAGATGAGACTCATGCAGCCATAGTGGAGGGAGGGAAGGGCATTCCAGGCAGGGGGAACAGCCCAGCTGCAGGCATTGGGGCAGGGAGCAACATGGGTCTCAGGGCTCTACAAGCAGCTATGGGTTCCCCTGGAGTGTGACTCGGCATGAGGCTGTGCCATGGAGGAGCAGATATGTTCCACCGAGGAACTGGGACTTTACGTTGTGAGTGATGGGGGCTCACTGAGAGGTGTCAAGAAGGGGCAGGCACAGTCAGGTCTGTATGTCAGGAGCTCAGGTGAGTGGAGTGCCCGAGGGCAGGTGGGGTGAAGGGAGGTGGGCACCCAGGTGAGAGCTAGTGCAGGGCTGGGGAGGGGTGCCAAGGCCTTGGCCCAGGTGGGGGCAGTGGGAGAGGAGGGGCAGAGATGGACAGGGTAGAACTGAGGGCACCTGCGATTGGTAGGGGTGCGGATGAGGGAGGGAGAAAAGGCCATTGCCAGGTTTCTGGCCTGGTTGCCACTGCCCATTAACACAGGGAGGTGAAACTGCCTAAGGAAGAACCGTGGTGCTGGAGGATCAGGAAAGATGACTTGGTTCTGGAAAGTGTTGGAGTTAAGGTGCCTGGAGTGCCTGGATCGTGTTCCACTTATTAGGGGGTGGGCCGACCCAGGCGGCGATGCTAAGCAGGTGCTCTGGCGTGCTTGTCTAAGCTCTGAGGAGAAGCCTGGGTGGTGGGTATGGTGTTGTCAGCAGATGCACAGCAGCTGGCATGGTGAGAATGGATGATACCACCCAGGTCATAGACAGAAAATTGCAGTGGGCCGAGGTGGCCGAATGGTCGGAGAAGGGGGAGGAGAAACGAGGAGCATGTGGATGATGCCACAGGAGGGTTCGAAGAACAGCAGAGAAATGTATAGCGTTCCACACCCCAGGTCCAGAGAGACAAAGCCTGGAAAAAGTGCCGTGCGCTGGGAAACAGGGCGGACACGGTGTCCCTTGCCAGTGCAGTTTCAGTGGAGTAGGAGGAGGAGAGGAACAATACAGTGGCTTAACCTTCCATTAATGGGTACAGGCATTTGGACCCCAGGAGGAAAGAGGAGGGAGGATGAGATAAAAATGACAGTCGAAGTACTGGAGTCAAACAGGTGAGGTCCGCATCACCTCTGTTCAAACCCAGCCACATGTTCATCCTGGACTGAAACCCAAGTTCCTCAATCCAGGCCTCGGTGGTCCCAGGAACTGGTCCAAGCCTGCATTTGGAACTTTCTGGAGAGAGATCGCCCTCTACTTCCCCATAAGCCTCCATCCCGGCAGATTAGCCCGAGCATGGACCACTCCCCTGCCTCTGCACTTCTGCTATTCCTCATCCTGGAACCCCCTTCCCAGACTTCTTTGTCCCGCCAAGTCCCGTGTACCTTTCAAGACTGAGACCCTGCCTCACTTCGTTTGGGAGGTCTTCTCTGTCTACTCCAGCAGAAACCATCTCATACCCTCACACCCTCAGTAATGGTGAGCCCAGCCCACTTTTTTCTTCCCCACACAATTGAGATGTCTCCCCAGTCAGACCAGCCTCTTCAGTGCTGGATACTGAATCTTGCATTTTCTTTTTTTTACAGTCCCTAGACTGCCCAGCCTCTGTCCCAGGGTGGGACTTCATTAGCCACAGAGGGGAATCTCAAAGGTAGGCAGTAAGGCCCTGGGGCTGCTTTCCAGGGCCTCGCACACAAAGTTCGGTCTCCTGAACTCACCACATCTCCGCTGTCTTCCCAACACCGAGTTCAGAGAGCAGGAGAGATAGGCAGGTCCAGGCCTTGCCCCCAGTGGCTGGAGAGCCTGACGCACACAGCCCAGGCTTTGCTGCAGCAGAGGAAAGGGCAGGTGCTTCCCGGAGAGCCTAGTTCTCTTTCGAGGGACAACGCCAGAGCCTGTTTGCGGGGAGCAGCCGACACCACGCTGGATGTTTTGTGCACATAATCTCATTTAACCTTCACAATCTGAATTGTTCTTATTCTCAAATTCCTGCTGTGAGAGTGAATTCTCAGGGCTTGACCAGCTTAGTTGCAAACCGCAGAAGCAGCCTTAGCTGATAGTGAAGAGAGGAAAGGCTTTATGAGAGACGTGAGTGAGCTCCAGGCTCACTGAACAGTGGGGGCACAGGCTCTGGGGTGATCTTGCAGGAACGACTTTCTGAGCCTGATGGAACTGGCCTGGTCAGGAGCCAGGCTGCAAGACCCTGGCCCCGCGTGGCCTCTGCTACAATCCAAGTCCCGTGCCTGTGTGCCCTGCAGCCTCAGAGGCTGGGAAACAGCTTTTTTTGTGTGTTTTGCTTTTTTTTGTTTTGTTTTGTTTTAAATTCTACATTGGGAAAGTGGATTTACAATAAGGAAACCATAAAACACGGAGAGAATGTTCCTAGGGGTTTGGGCATCCTTGCACTACCGTCCTATCTGTGCCGTACCTCAGGCAGACCCAGAACGTTTACAGATTTGCCAGCGAAGGAAACTAAAGCTCAGAGAGGCAAACTCACAGCTGGTTTTGGGGCAGCTGGGATCCAGGACTGTGATGGGAAGTTTCCATTCTTTCCACGTGGCTTGGAGGATTAGGCTCTCAAAGCAGAAAAGTGACGGTGGCTTTGACAGAAACAGGAAAAAGGGGGGTGGGTTCTGTGGGGATGGAGATGGCTCACCTTTAAAGATACCAAAGGCGCTGTTGGGATTCAGGTGGCCACATCCGACAAGCAGTTGGAGGTTGAGATTTGGAGCCATTTAGCCTGTCTTCCTGGCCTTGGAGAGAAGTTCTGAACAAAACGCCTCTATGAATTTAGTCTCAAGATCTCTACGTGTTTCTCAACACACATGCATACACAAGGACACACGCAGACACACACATTAGCACACAGACATACACAGACACACAGTGACACATGCATAAACAGGGACACACACATGGACACATGCACATATGTGCACATACACTGACATGCTCTGACACACACTTGACACACACGTGTGCCCACACGCGCGCACACACACACGCACAAACACACACACACAGGTAACATTGACAGCCTGTGGCTGTAGAAGTGCTTCCAAGGGCCTTTCTTTTTTGTCCTTGTCTGGAGTTTACAGCACTTGGAAAATGTCAGGCGTGGGAGGCCTTTTGGTCTTGGGTTAGGGTAAACTCCCTCCACATATTTGGAGAGCCTCCAGGCCCTGCAAACCGCTCACAAAGCAGATAACAGTGACCTTGCTGCTGAGGGAGGACGGCCCTGCCGAGGCCAGGGAGCTGTGCTGGCAGAGCTGAGGTTACCTCTCCTCCCCGCTGCACCTGGGTCGGCTCTGATGTCAAAGACCTCCCCCGCTCCATCCCCGGTTGGGCTCCCGGCCCTCTTTGTGCCGGAAACACAAGGCCCAGCTCTCAGGGAGGAGGGGAGGGCAGAGCACTGCTCTGTAGTTCCAGGTGGAGAACAGCCCAGCTCTCCCCTAGGGGCTGCAGGCTGAGTGTCCGACTCCAACCCCCTTGCCTTTTTGCAGGCCCAAAGCGGCTTCTCCAGGATGGCGACAGATTTTCCAAGACTCATCCCAGGCTGGAGGGGGCCCAGCTGCAACTTCACTGGTGTGTGTATGTGTGGGTGTCCACAGGTTGAGCTGACCCTGAGAGTCCTGGTGCTAGAGGGCTGTGGAGGTCATGTCATCCCAACAGAACCCTCTCTGCTGGCATTCCCTTCAAGGGCTCATCCTGACCCATTCAGGGAGCTCACTGCTACCAGGGGCAGCCTATGGATGGTGGAGCCTCTCCAGGTTTCTGCCTCTCTGTCACTTCCACTTGGTGGCCTTAATTGCACCTCTTGAGCTACTCAGATTAGGACTAGCCCTTCTTCCACATATGTGAAAACAGCTGCATTCATACATTCAGCTACATATAGCTTTGAAGCCCTCCCCAGTCAGCCAGCTCCCTCTCTTTGGCCCCCATTTGCAAGTTAGGGAAAGTTCAAGTCTGACTGGGTGCAAGGCCTGGTGCTGGGAGCTGGGGATAGACACATGGTTTGCTACAAGTAGTTGGTGGCCTAGTGGAGGAGGCAGACGGCAGGCCCTGGTCAGCGTGCTGAGTCTGGGGGAGGGGATAGCAAGCCTGCAGGAGGACATGCAGGAGTTACTCTGCTGGGGAGCTGGGGGCCTTAAGGTGCTCCAGACAGAGGGGACAGGATGCGCAAAGCCTGAATGGTGCAGCACAGTGCCCTGACCTGCAGGTGGTTCAGAATGTGTGGGTCTCAAGCAAGCCTACCGGGTATGCACCCAAAGGAAAATATATCATTCTACCAAAAAGACACCTGCATTTGTATGTTCATTGCAGCATGATTCACAATTGCAAAGATATGGAATCAACTTAGGTGCTTATTAGCAGTGGACTAGATAAAGAAAATGTGGTATATATACACCATGGAATACTATGCAGCCATAAAAAGAAGGAAATCACGTCCCTTGCAGCAACATGGGAATGCAGCTGGAGGCTATTATCCTAAGCCAATTAATGCAGGAACCGGAAACCAAATACTACATGTTCTCACTTGTAAGTGACATAAACCTTGGGTACACGTGGACATAAAGATGGGAACAACAGACATCAGAGACTTCAAAAGAAACAGGAGGGTGAGAGGGGCAAGGGCTGAAAATCTTTCTATATGCTACTATGTTCGCTGTCTGGGTGATGGGATCCATAGAAGCCCAAACGTCAGCATCATCCAATATACCCTTGTAACAAACCTGCACATGTATCCCCAAACCTAAAGTTATAATTAAGTGAAAAAGAAAATATGGGTTGCAAACAGCTGCAGCGCTTGCAGGGCCTCAGGGCATTGCCTTATCCTGAGGACCATGGCAGGGGTGGGAGGGTGGCAGCGTTCTGAAGTGTTTTCAGCAGGAGATGCAGAATTAGGTGCGAATTTAGTTGGAGAAGGGGTTTCAGGGGCTGTCCAGTGGTGTGGGCAGAGAGTCCCGCACAGGGGGCTGCAGTGGCTCTGGCGAGAGGTGGTGGTACCTAAGTGCCAGTTGTGGCAGTGGCCACGGGGCTTGGGAGCTGTAGGTGGAGTTGGGCAGACCAAGCCCTCTCTCCTCTGGCCATGGAGCTCCAGAGTCCACACAGATGTCTACGGATCTAGCTCGAAGCCCTCCCTGATCAGCCAGCTCCCTCTCTTTGGCCCCCATTTGCAAGGTCAAGAAAGTTCAAATGCGGTGCTCAGGATGGAAGCAGACTTCTAAGTGATGTCTGACACTGTGGGCTATTTCGGCACTTTGTTTTCCTCCTTCTCGCCTCTGTCTTCTCTGCCACCAAGGTTGACACTAGTGGCCTGGTAGCCACGGAGCACAGTGGGCTCCTACAGAACTCACAGTGTCTCCTGAAGACCCCAAAACTCCTCCATGCCGTCTGTTTCAAGCCCACACTCCCTCTGCCCTCATTGTGGAACTCGGCAGTTGGTATCTAGTGCTTAATAACAGGAACGCACATTTATGATTATTCTTTGCATTATCCCAATGAGATTCAATTTTCTTCGATTCAAGTCCTCCCACCTGCACCGCTTTCTCCTTTAAAGCAAGAGCCCTGGCTCAGAAGCCTCGAGGCTTGGCCTCTAGATTGATTTGTGACTTTCAACCGTAGTTCCATCTGCTTATAAAAACATAAGTCATGCCCTTTTTCACGCCGAAAAGTGTGAAAAAAGAATTTTATATTTTGCAAAAGTTTTCCCTAGAAGTTGCTGCCTGGGATATTTTTCATTCCATCTTGAAGGGATAACACTGCTAGTTGTATGGAGCAGTGAGGCAGCTGGGCCCAGCTCTGTCCACCTTCCGGCAGCCCCCAGAGGAACCTCGGGCGGCCTCTTGGGGCCCACTGGGCAAACTCAGGGAAAGACAGAGTCCGCCTGGCCGGCTTTCCTGAAGTACCTCCACCTGGGCCTGCGCAGCTGCCAGCTGGCTTGAGGCATGGTGGACACGCTCTTTTCTGGGACCTCTGAAAGACCATGTGAGTGCGATAGGAGTGTGTGTGTGAAGTGGGGGTCAGGTTATTAGGGGTGGAGGGAAGGGAGCTGTTTGATTAATGAGTGTCCTGTGAACCTGCACATTTGCCCAAGGCTGCATTCCTGGGCTTTCAAACCCGGGCAGTTTGATAAGCTGGGACCAAAGTCCTCTTTCCGCCCAGCAAGAAGAGCAAACAGGGCCACTCACTAATCCCAGCCCTGGCCTCTGGGGCTGTCTCTCGGCAACCAGCTAGCCAAGTGGCCTTTCACAAGCTAATCAATGAGCATCCCTGGGACCTCTGGGAGGCCTGGCCAGCTTGCCTCAGTAGGACAGGAGGGAGGCCAGGCTCATCCAACCTCCAGCATGCAGTCTGAAGGCCTGTGCTTAGCCAACTGGGCCCTTCATGACGGCAGTACCTGCAGTCTCTCCCGCTCCTTCCTGCAATCATTCCCACAGGGCAGCTTATCAGCCGGGCCTCCTCCATTCCTCCAGTGCCCGCCTAGAATGCTCTTCCCTACTTCCATAGCTCCTTCCCTAATCTCCCTCCCCCAGGAAGCTGTCCCTGACCAGCCTCCATGGGACACCCCCTTCCCTGCATCCCTACTGCCCCGGAGCCCTGGGTTACGGTTTAGCACCAGATACTTCTTCAGTCTGTTCCTGTGTGTTGGTTTGGTATCGCCAACTAGACTGTAAGCACCTTGAGGGTAGGGCTTCAATCTTCGGATCGTCCACAGTGGGGGGCACACTGGTGACTTTGGGAGGGTAATATTGGCGAGGGGTGGGCTTGTGGGAACAGGGGACAGATCCAGGGGTAGAGGCAGGCAGCTCTGAGGCCGGAGACCTCAATCCCAGTAAGATGTGGAGGGGAGGCTCTGGGAGATAAAAGGCAGCCGTGGAGTCAGGACTGGGGAAATGTTTATTTCTGGGGAGTCGCAGTAGGTACCTGTGGGGCATGGGGGTGTGGGCCCAGCCTGTCTCCATCCTCTACTCTAGCCTCTGAGAACTGCTTCTCTCCTTGGTGGGGCCCAAGCGATGGAACTGCATCTGTGTCTGCACCACTGGCTCCTTGTTCTTGACTACAGATGATTTGTATTGGGATGGACCCCGTAGGGCCCTCCAGATTCTCTTCCCTGGAAACTTGGGCTTAGGACTGAGAGAGACACATCTCCATCTCTGGGTGTTTGCCTCTGACAAGATGCAACCAGCTATGGGCTGTCTGCAGGGGGGAGCAGTGGGAACCAGACCGCGAGACAGAAGGAGGAGGCAGAGGTGCACAGAGGAGCTGAGACCAGGAACTCATAGCCCAGCTTGTGGACGATTTTGCTTCATATATCATCTAAACCAACCCTCACTGCCCTCCTAAGATATAGGTACTGTTAAGATCCTTTTTTATACATGGGGAGAATCAGGCTTAGAGAAGTTAAGTAATTCACCAAAACACACACAGCCGATAAGAGGGAGACTTGAACCCCGTCCTGCTGACTTACAGAGTCCAAGTGTCACATTTCTCCTCCCTTTGCTCCCAGCAGCTTTGTAGATCCAGGCCCCGGTCTCTCATGAGAACTTTCTGTACATCTCACACTTCAGTTCCACAGGATACCAGAAGAACTGTGACCAGCACTACTGTAACAAGGTTTTACTTTATCTATCTATCTATCTATCTATCTATCTATCTATCTATCTATCTATCTATCCATTCATTTATTCACCCACTCATCCATCTATCCATCTAATAATCTATTCATCCATCCATCCATCCATCCATTTATCCATCCATCCAGATATCCATCCATCCATCCATCCATTTATCCATTTATCCATCCATCCATCCATCCATCCATCCATCCATCCATCCATCCATCATCTATCAATCCACCTATCCAACCATCTATCTATCCTTCCATCCATCCATCATCCATCCTTCCATCCATCCATCCATCCATCCATATCTACCTGTATAGCTAGGTAATGAGCAGCAATCACTTATTGAACCCTGCTGTGGACAAAACACTGCAACAGGTGCTGTGATGTTCTCAATCCTGCCTACCAGCACAGATGATGAGGGAAGGCAGATGACTACTTGTCTAACTATGTGGTACAGACAGACAAGCCAGTGTATCTATTAAAGTTCCCATGTAGAAATTACTACAGTTGCAGATTCCTTGACCCTTCCCAGGGATTCTAATTCAGAACAGGAGAGGAGCTCAGGAATCCGCTTTTCCAACAAATTCTTCAAGGGAACCTGATGTAGGTGATCCATAGAGCACACCTTGTAAAACGGCTGCCTGGAGAGTGTTGTTCAAAGCGATAGAGGGTCAGTGAGACCTGAGACAGTCAGGGAAGGCCACCTAGGGTCGAGGCCAGGCAGTCTCATGTCCCCTAGCAGGGCCTGGAAAACCTGGGAAAGAGTGGCGGGGTGAAGGGAGAGAGACCCAGGTCAGTGGGCAGCTTGGGCAAGGGCCTCAGGGTCTTCCCGTGGTGAGGGGCAGCCACCAGGGCAGAGGGCAATCTGTAGGAAGCTAGGTAAGCAGAAAAAGGCCATGGTCAGCTTTTGCTCAGTAACCATGATGTCACAAATGCAACAGCCAAAAAGTGTTCTGCCCACCTAGCCTCCGTGGAATTGGGTGCATTTCCACGCACATTTCTAGGGACTAAATGGACCTTCCATGGTGAAGAGGAAGGAACTTGTGTCTAATGCCTGGTCCAGGACTACAAAATAAAAAAAAACTTAAAGCAATTAGGGTTTCAGTGGGCATGAGAATGGTTGGAAACCCTGGAGATCTTGGGCTGAATGAGGACTGATAGATCATCTCATCATCATCATCATCATCATCATTATTGATTATCAATGTCATCATCATTGTCAATGATTATTAATGTCATTATCATTGTCAATGATTATCAATGTCATCATTATCAATGATTATCCATGTCATCATTATCATCGATGGCATCATTGTCAGTAATGATCAATGTCATCATCATTTGCTGTGGCCCACATGCCACGTGCTTTCCAGGCATGCTCTCTTGCCTCCCCACAGCAGCGCCATTCTGCAGGCAGGAAGCTAGAACAGCAAGGCATCCCACAGCTGTTTTAGGAATGAGTGTCACCTGCTCTCAGGCTGTCTCTTGGCACAGCCTCCAAACCACCCCAAGGGATAGAGATTTATCTGCTTATTACCAAGGAAATCCCCCAGCTTCCTCACAACATATTGCTCTGTTCAACCCACCCCAGGACTCTCTAAGCCTGGACGTGACGCCAGGGGGTGCCCAGTGTGAAGGCACCCACGCTCGGATGATTCTGGGGTCATTTTCCTGAAGAGCAGCCCCTACCCAGCGACGTCTCGGAATCAACCCCCACCTCACTTCGGCCAGCCCCACCTCATCTGGCCTTCCCCAGCCTCCCTCACCGTCTTCAGCAAAACCCTACCCCCTGCCTCACCTCCCCAGCCTGCCCTGGGGGGCCGCTCTCTCCCACTCCTTCCTTATTAGCGTGTATGAAAAGAAAAGGAATTTCTTTTGCAGTTTATCCTCTGAACAGCCTCCGAAAAGAGTTGAAGGACACGCTGCAAAGTGTGAAAAAAACAGGGCCTGAGCTTGCCAAGAGGGCCAAGTGGTTACTTTAATCATGTGGAACAGCCACTTTTTCATGGAAAATTTTCTACTCCAACACCTGTGGCCATTAAAGGCGCCCTCGGCTCTTTTCTACCCTGGGTCCCAGGGGTCACTCTCCAGCCAAGGCTGGCTGCCAGCTCTGGTCATTACTCCTGTGCCCCTCCTCTCTGCCTTCCTCAGCCCTTCCCAGCCCAGCCTTGCTTTGCCCCAGGCCTGCTGGGTGCAGGCATGCAGTCCTGCCTGGCTTCCCTTGCCTCTCTGCAGTTTCTGAAATGAATAATTTAGTGACACCAGGTTCCCCTCCTCCTGCACTGGTTGCTTCTGAGGCTTCTTGGGACAGGTCTGTCCTGTCCCTCTGCCACCTCTGACTCTCTGCTTCCTCCAGAATCTTCCTTAGGCAGGCTCACTTCCCTGGACCCTGGAGATGCTCCAGTGCCTTCCGTCCCCCAGGCTGAAGTGCCTTGTGCCTCCTCTCAACTCAGAGACAGGGAAGCCCAGGAGAAACAGCTCCACCAGCTCTCTTTTGATCCGCTGTTCCTCTGCATGCCCAGTTTTTGTTTTCAGATTGTGTATGCTGATTTGGGTTTGCAATTGATCATCAATGTGCTTGGGATAGCGTACAGCCCCCTCCCCACCATTCTTTGGTGAATAACTAGGATGCAGAGGGGTGAATAGATTTCCCTAAAGTTCCCCAGTGTCTGCCAAGACAGGGAAGGACTGGGAATAGACTGTGGAAGCCAGACCTCCTGAACAACTTGCCCCAGCTTTCTCTCCCCATCTCCTTATTTGCTCCATGGCCCACCCAACCTTGCCTCCCCCATCACACTGCAGACACAGCTCTTACTCAGGCCACTAGTGAGCCACCATCACCTCCACACTCTAACGTTACCACGTGATATAGCAGGTGATGAAAGTGGAAACCAAAAAAAAAGAGGACCAGCAAAAAAAAAAAAAAAAAAGGAAGAGGTGGTTTGCAACAGACACCTAGCGAGTTAGCAGTAAAGCCAGAACTGGAACCCTGGTCTCTAGGTTCCTTCCCCAAGGATCCTTGCTCTGTAACAAGTTGTCTCCTGGGATGGCAAGGGTGAATCTCCCCAATCACAGAGATCCTCCTGCAATAAAAGCTGCATTAATTTACCAAAATAATATTAACACAGCAGAATAGAGTTGGAGGATTCACACTTCCCAGTTTTAAAACTTACTCCAACCCTGCGGTCTTTACAACACCGCAGCAGTGGTATACGGATAAGCATACAGACCAGTGTAACAGAACTAAACCAGAATAAGCCAGACATAAACCCATACACCCATGGCCAATTGATTTTCAACAAAGCAGAGTCATAAAACACATGTACTGCATAAATGGAAATTATGAACTGGCTGAACCCCAGAGGCCAGTCTAGCTGGCTGAGATTTTCCTCCTAACCACATACATCCCTGCCTCCAAGGGACGTGGTGGCTCATGCCTTTAATCCTAGCACTTTGGGAAGCCGAGGCAGGTGGATCACCTGAAGTTAGGAGTTCAAGACCAGCCTGGCCAACATGGTGAAACACCATCTCTACTTAAAATAGAGATTTCTAGTAGCTTCGCCACTGCTGGGGTCACAGGCTGGGGTGTGGTGGGATGAGAAGGAGGCTGTCCCAAGACACTGATCCTCTGGGATTGCAGACAAAGTGCCTGTTGGCTGGCAGAGGACAGTTAGGAGGATAGGGCTGAAAGGCTGCAGCATTTGGTTAGGAGGACCTGAGAACAAAGCCTGGGCCCAAACTGGACATGAGGAGCTTCACCACCCAGGTCCCTCGTGGGGCTCAGGCATTGGTAGTATTCATAGAGATGTCTGTGATGATGGAGGCAGGAAGTAGGTGGCATTGGATGGACCAGACAGGTGGATTATGAAAGGAAGAATCAGGGCCCTGACGTGGGCCAGGTGCGAATGGAAGGATGGGAGGTTGGACTTGAGAACAAACAGCATCATGGATGCCTGGAAGAACCTTGGAAAGTCATGTCCATGCATCCAGCCAGCTTGGGTAGACAGGGCTGGTGCCTCACCCTAAACCACCAGCCAAGTAATCACCAAGTTCACTGGATTATTCTTCTGCACTGGGTCCGAAGGTTGACCCCTCTGATCCCTCCCTCCCGTGTCCTTTAAAACTGTGTTTTTAGGGCCCATTACATCCTACTATAGACATCTGGGTTCATGTCTAAATTTCCTGCTGAGTCTAAGCCCCTTTTGGCCGGGATGAGTCTGACTCATCATTGTTTTCTGCCACTAAGCCTGGTACAGTGCCTTATTCTGAGAAGGAGCTCGTGAGTTGTCCATTGCATGCATGACCATAGGACACATGTTTTGTCTGCCAACAAGCTTTCACTGGGGGAAACACAGTCCAACCTCATGCAGTTCCCATGGAGGCACTAAGCACAAAAGCCTCAGGGATGACATCCAACCTAGACTGGTCCAATTCCAGTTGTTTATACCCCCAACCCCAATTCATAGTGATTGGTTCAGATGTGGGCAGGTGACCCGAGCGGAGCCAATCAGAATCCTCCCACAAGATTTGGCTCATGGAGTCTGGAAGAGCCTGCCTTCCTTTTGGATCTTGAGCTGTGAAGACATGGCCGAGAGGCTCCCATGGTCCTATTTCTTATTATGTTTGTGAGCCTTTTATGAGAGTCAAGATAGCCACATAAGGTAAGCAAGGGCTGGGTCTGGAGAAAGAAGCAAACAGTTGATGATGTTGTGGGACATTTCAGCCTTGCCCAGAGTCCTTATAGCCCAGACTGCTCAGTTTTAGGACCAGGGATTTTTCTCTTTTCCCACTCAGGTTGGCTTGAATTGGGTTTTTGATCCTCATACCCAAGAGTCTTGGGTCATCAGTGAGAGCACCCTACTTTGAACCCCACCTGGTGGTAGAGGAAATATGGCAAATCTTGGGGAGAACAGGGAGAACTTGGTGTGATGCAGCCCTTGTGGTCTGCCATAATCTCAGGTTAATTCAAAAACAGGGCACCTGGGGGAAGCCAAGAAATGCTTAGGAGCTTGGAGTCAACGATAAGCAAAATGGCTGGAGAAGAGTGATGAAATTAGCCTCAGCTGTTGGCAGTGAGGGGGTGGCAGGGTAGAGATGGGGAGCATAGGAGGGCTGAAAGGGGCAGGGAGACAGCCTTGACATGCGTGGAAAGTCTAAAAAGACAAAAATTAGCTGGGTGTGTTGGTGAGCACCTGTAATCCCAGCTACTCAGGAGGCTGAGGTATGAGAATCACTTGAACCTGGGAGGTGGAGTTTGTAGCGAGCCAAGATCATGCCACTGCACTCTAGCCTGGGTGACAGAATGATAATCCATGTCAAAAAAAAAAGAAGAAGAAGAAGAAGTGAGGAGAGGCTACTATAACCACAGTGTGTGGTCATTATTAGATATTAGATTAGATATGAATTATTAGATGCATCTGGCATGCAGAAGATATTTAGGAAACCATAGCTATTGCTACTACCCTTAATTTCTGGATTACACAGAGAAGGGATGCTAATTCCCACTCCTTCCCATGCCAATAATTTTGTCTCCTGTTCTGACTGAGAAGGTTGAGGTGTCTGGAATGAGGATTAGCAGATGGTCCCATAAAGAGGGAGTCCTCTGTTTATGGGAGAGTCCCTCCAGTTCTGCATATGTTTGCTGAACATGCATTGATTGTGTGGCACCCCACCTCGCTGCTGATACATTATTTTAAAATCAAACTCTTTGTTTTGGTATTTAGAAGCATATCTTTGATTCTCCGTAAACAGTTATGTAACCACTTTTTTCATAGTAAACCATACATAGTTAAGGGCTACATATTTTCAGTCTAATTAAATAAATTCAATAGATATTTACTAAGTGCCAACTCTGTGCCAAGGCTGGACCAGGCCCTGCAGCTGGAGATGGAAGATGGTGTTTCCTTGAGAAGATTACCATAAAGAAGAGAGACGAGAGTCATCACTACAGCACAGGTGTGTTAAAGGGAGAATAGATAGTTTTCGAGTGTTGTGGAAGCATAGGAAGGAGGAATTAATTCCTCTTGGGGAAAGGGAGGAGGAATAGCAGCAAGGCGGATCTGACATGTAAGGGTGTGAACGCCCCCAAGGAGCAGGGGCATTCTAGACACTGTGGGTAAACTTGCTGATGGCCTCCTGTGGCTTCCGCTTGGGCTTGGTGGAGAGGAGAGGAGAAAGTAAGGCTGGAGAGGCAGGTGGGCTGGGAATGCTGAGGCTGGAGCTTGACAGTAAGAAGCCCTGAAGTGTTTTCATCAGGATTTGAGGTGATGGAGTGGCATTCCGGAAAGATCCCTTAGGCAACAGTGGGAAGAATGAAGCAGAGAGAGGCAAATTGGGGCTGAAAGAGTAGCAGGGGCTGTTGAAATAGCCCAGAGGAGCTGCAGTGATGGTCTGAGCCAGGGCAGCAGCAGTGGGGATTTCTCGGGGGCTTTGGACGGAAAATTGACAGGAGGTGGCTGGAGGTCAGACGTGAGGCTCCAGGGCGGTGAGGATGGCTCCCAGGCTTTCCGCTCCAGTGACTTGGGGAACACAGTTGGAATATTGTGAGCGTTTCATTGACTTCACCAGAGGTGTGTGAGCCCTCTGTCTTCTCCTGAGCCTCAAGAAGTCCGGGAGAGGATGAAATAGGGGAGGGAGGGCATGGGAACCAGGCAGGGTAGGAAAAGCCAGGCTGCCTATTGTGGTCAGACCTCACCACTCCCCGATTTCCTGGCAGACACGGAGAACAGGGATACCGGGCTGGGCACAGGAGTGGGGCCTCGACAAGCAAGAGAAGCCCCCTCCAGAAGCAGCCCCGGGAGCCGTCCTCTGGGGAAGCAGATGGTCCAGGAAGCAAGAGGAGGGAACAGGGCCTCATACACAGGTGTCAGAGGATCCTAAGAACATTCTGGACTGGCAGCTTTCTCTGTGGGTTTTCATGGGCTCAGCGGCTGCCTGGGTGGGACGCTGATCCTGGCTCACTTTCAGGCATCGAGGAGACTGACAATCTCCTCGTCTTATCCACGTTCTCACTCCAAATTCATTAAGTTAAATACACACACACACACACACACACACACACACACTAAGACAGTTTCAAATGTGCTAAGCTAGGCAATAGATTTATATATTATAAAGAGATTCTATTCTCTAAGAACTAAAAACAATACTATAAATGCTCCAATTACAACTTACTTTTAAACTTAATGTTTGATGATATCCTTTTGTACTTGTCCTCTCATCGTGCTGGTCTCTGATTTTGTGCCTTTCCTCTGATTTTCCTTCACAGGTGAACACAATCGACCAGCCAAGGTGATTCACACACTTCAGCTTGAAGCTGATCTGCCACTTGTGTCTTCTTGTCTCTATTGAATTAAGTTCCTGAGACCTAATCCTTCCCATCACTAGTATCGGTGCTTTTATTTTTGTTTTCTACTTAGTTGGATAACATAGTGAAGGAAAATGTGCTAATATAATAGAAATAATTGCATTAATAAGCCTGGTAAACAGGCAGAGACAGTGGGAGCCATGGCCAGAGGCAAGCTGCTGGCAGCCAGGCAGTACCACCATACAAAAGCTCACAAATTTCTTTCAAGAAATGCCATACGGCTGGGCATGGTGGCTCATGCCTGTAATCCCAACGCTTCGGGAGGCCTAGATGGGTAGATCACTTGAGGTCAGGAGTTCAAGACCAGCCTGGGCAATATGGTGAAACCCCCCGTCTCTACTAAAAATACAAAAATTAGTCAGGCATGGTGGTGCATGCCTGTAATCCCAGCTACTCAGGAGGCTGAGGCAGAAGAATCGCTTGAACCTAAGAGGCAGAAGTTGCAGTGAGCCGAGATCATGCCACTGCACTCCAGCCTGGGTGACAGAGTGAGAGTCCATCTCAAAAAAAAAAAAAAAAAAAAAAAAAAAAAGAGAGAGTTCATAATGTCTGCGTGTGAAGGTGTAGGCTATATGACAGCTAAATATATAACAGTGAGGACCATCTGGCTTCAATTTACAGATTTATTTATGTAAAAACTCTCTTCTATTTCTTCACCTTAAAGAAACATGAATAAAATATCCAACGCTCTCACTGGTGCAATTCCTGAGAGATTCCTTTGTCGTATTGGGATCTGTCAATGGGTAGATAAGGAGAAACAAAGGAAGGGATAGAAGTGACACAGAGAGAGAGAGAGAAGGTAAAAAATAAAGGGAGAAGCAGAAAAAATCTTTTTAAAAACCTATAATTAATATACTTTGAATGCTAAGGTATTGCCTTACTGAAATGAGACCAGGAAATTGTGAAAAAACAATAACCAGAGAACAAAAAGGAGCTCTTGGAAATAAAAATAAAGCAGAAAAAAAGGATTTTACAGGGAAAATGGATAAAGGATGAGACATTTAGAATAACAATTTAAGATGTCTAATATCCAATTAATAGAATTTCTAGCAGTGGAATAAAGAAGAGATGGGGAAGGGCAGAAATTAGCTAAGAAATAAATGGATTTTTTCTAGAATTGAGGGAGATGAGTTTCCAGACTGACAGAACCTATTGATTGTCCAGGACAGTGAATGGGAAAGACACACAGTAAGTAATATTGACGCAAAATTTTCCAACAAGAGGGATAGAGAGAAGTTTCTTAGAGCTCCCCATGAAAAAATAAGACAGGTCCCATACAAAGCTTCAGGAATCGGATGGTGTCAGATTTCCCAATTACACAAGGTAAGCTGGAAGACAACGGAGCAGTCCTTTTAAAACACTAAGAAAAAATAATTTCCAACCCAGAATTCAGTACCTTACCAAATAAAAAATGTACCCTTTCTCAGGAAGGCACTGAAGAAGGTGTTCCAGCAAGACAAAAGAGTAAATGTAAAAAGTAGAGGCCACAAGCTCTAGGAAACAGGCTTACAGAAAGTTTTAGTCCCAGAATAATCACTGATTACTATTTTACTTAAATATCATCATGATAATGGAAGGATGAGGGAGAAACTGTAAAGGGGAGTGCAGTGTAACATTTTTAAGTTCTCTTTTGCCATTTGAAGAAGCCATGAGACGATGCCTAAAATTGGTAAGTGATGACATAGCCACATAAGCAAATTATTCAGAAATATACAGGCAAATACCAGAAGCAGCAGCTGGGAATTGATGCTGGTTTGGTTGCCTCTGGTGAGCAGGACTGGGCAGAGAAGGGGCTGGGAGGACAATTGGGAGGTGGTAGGCAGGAAACCAGTTTCTAGTTGTTGCTGTTACATATTCTTTTAATATGAATTGATTTAAAGTACAAAAACTATGCGCACATATTACTTTGATAAAAAATTTTTAAAGAAATTTCTGTGAAAATCAATGAACCAAGTACACCTGTGAGCCATTACTAATATGGTCACCCAAGCATCATCCAAGTGGCGTGGACAGAGTGGGGGGTCATATGTAATTTCTGCCTATCCCGACACCACCCTCCCCCTACACCTTCCTTCCCAACTCCCCACTCCCACCTCTGCACGATGCCCATCCCACCCACTCTCGGGCTGCACCCGGAGGCTCAGCACCCCCTCAGTGCTGGATCTGGCAGGACCACCCCTCCCCCGCCCTGCCTGTGGCTGCTGGAATCCCTGTCGCCCTGGGACTCAGCTGACAGCGGACGGACAATGGTATTTCCCATCAGCCTGGATATCAGGAGCCGGCCTTATCCAGTGGTGTTTTTCTATTAGTCTAACACCCCATTGTCCACTCCTTATCACTAAAATGTTGATGTCATGCCTGGCTTGGAAGTGGTTTCTGCCGCTCGGCCCTGGGACAGCTTCACTTTAATTGGGGGTGTGGGAGGAAGAGGGGTGGAGAAGCCCATTTATCAGAATTCTCATGAGAATTCACCCCGTTCCTCCTTTCAGTCAGGGCCACGGAGGAGGCTTGGTGGGGAGGGTTCCTAGTTGCGATTCCTGGCCTTTCTCTCTTCCCTAAGTAGGTGCACTGGGTCTCAACCCCACTGGCCACCCTCAGGGCTGAAATATCGAGGTGGGTGCAAGGATGGGGGGACACTTTCATCCCACCATGCTTTGGGCTGGGGATTTCGGGGACCTGCTTTATCCTTTTGGTAGATGGAGAGCTCTGGGTGGGTGGGACACGACTTTTCCTTCTCTGAATCTTCTGCAGCTCCTGACGGCCCCACCAGAGACCGCTCTTAGTAGGAGCTCCATAGATATGTGAGGGGCTAATGCGAATGGCAGCCAGCTGGAAGGTCCAGTCTGAGAACAGATAGAAAATGTGAGGCCCGTCTTCATCTCCATTCTCCTGAACCCCACCGAATTGCATCAGCTCTTAAGGGAAGTCTTAGAAATACACTCTGTGCCTTCCCCACGTGCCCTGTCCTTCTGTCCCTCTCTGATTCTGTTTGTTCATAGTGGAGGTTAGCGCACAGGGAGACAGCATGTATGTCTGATGCACATGCATGTGCGAATGTGTGTGTGTGTTAGAGGTGCAGGTGGTGTACAGCCCCCCAGGGAATCTGGTTAAGAGAGGATGCAGTTCACTCTGGAGTGGGGTAGGCTCGGCTGTGGTTTGCTCAGGCAAATTGCTTCACTTTTCCAAGACCCAGCTTCCTTGTCTGTTAAACAGGTACCACAAGGCAGCTTCCCAGGGGCTTGCAGTGAAGGCTGAAATGAAACGATTGAGGTGCTTAGCATGCTGCCTGGCACATAGTAGGCATGCAGGAAATGGCAGTTATTACTGGTATAGCTTTCTGTGGGCTTTGACCAAAAGCCTAGTCTGGGAACTGGCAAGCACAGCAGAGTGCCATGCTCCTGGCACTCTTCCTTGGAGAGCTGGGACAGGGAGGCTGAGTTCCCCTCTGGCTGGGCCAGCCTGTGTGGAAAAAGCAAGCTTGCTGGGCCTCAAGTTCTTGCCTCAAGTTTAAAAAGCAAATAAGTGCATACCATAAGCATTTGGAGGCTGCGGTTTTCTATGGAGTCAGCATGTATAGACCATGAGTGTATTCTGGAGTGCTCCTGATGGAATGCAATTTGGGACACAGATGGCAAGCGCACAGACGGCAAATGCATCTTGAAGGTGCATGTTGCCTGTGCAAAGTGGCCACCCCACGGTAATCTAATTTAACACACACACAAACTCCGCGAGCAGGTTCTGTTCTCTGCAAGAGGGTGAGAGGCTCAAGACCAGTTCTACGACACATAGAATGTGGCCGTGCTCTCGAGCCAACCAGCTCCAGCCCCCTGCCCCATGTCTTACAGAGGAGCTGCTTACACTGCTGTGGAAGCCGACCCTAGAGTAACGACCAGCACAGCCCCTGAGGGTCAGGGGCCACATGGGAATACATCTCATTTGGTTCTCACCAGACCCTGCGAAACACGTCAGGGAGGAATCATTATGTCTGAGCAGAGGAAGCCATAGGGGCTCACAGAGAGCTAGAATGCAAGCCTAGGCCTTCTGAGTCCAAATCCAGGACTTTTCCATGACTTCAAGTGACAGCAGATAAAGCACTTGACTTTGTCTCTGAAACACACATTCCTGGGAAGAAAAGAGGCCTAAAAAGGAGAGCAGGGTCTGTCTGCTTTGTCACCGTGTTTACTGTGTGATCTTCATTCCTCAGGGTCTTGCCAGGTTCTCGTGAGCACTACAGTCCTTGGGGATCTTGGCCCAGAGCCCAGGACTAAGGTGGCCAGAAGTCCAGGATAGGGGTATACTACCTTGCCCTGGTTCCAGATAGCATGAGACCCGTCTTCTCCTTCCTGATAGGACGCTTCTGGAAATTCCAAAGGTTAAAATCGGGAAACAAGAAGGAGGCAGGAATACTATGTGTGGCCTGGATAGGAAGATATAGTGCTTTTCAGGGGGCAGCTTTAAGCCATGTAAATTCTCTTACCCTAAGGGACTTGAAGGGTTTCCAAAGGTCTGTGGATGGGGTAAAATCCCACCAATGAGCCTTCCATCTGTCCTAACTTAAGGTGCAAATATTTCTGGCAGGCCAACACACAAATTCATGAACACTTCAGCATGAATGAGCAACTCACACGCACTCTTCTGAGAGTGCCGGGTGCAGACCAAAGATGCTGAGGGGAGAACACACAAGGCCCAAGAGGAAGTGGGTATAGAAACAGAAAACAGTTCTTGACAGTTTTCCAGATCTGTCACTTTTTTTTTTTTTTTGAAGGGTGGAATTTTCTCTCCTGTCAAGTTTATGCCTAGAACACGCGTTCCATCGGTTGGATCCCTGGGTTTAAGGCGGCATTTCCAGGGTGCCTCTTTGCTTAACTAAGCACTTACACTCCTTAAGCTTCAGTGATCTCAGTGTCTGATGTCCAGGGTGTTGGAGGGTCTGGCTGGGTTTCCTGGAAAATTCTTACATACACTGAAGTGCCCTCTCCCTTCCCAGAACAAACAACTTTGCATTATCAGAGCCCCTTGGCTTTACAAAACCCACGTTAGCATACAATGCCCAGCTCCTCTTTTTAATTGTTCCCTTTCTCGTTTCTCCCTCCCTTCTATCCTGTCTTTCACATTTCTATCCTTTCTCCGTTGGGATTTGCAATTTTGTTTGTGAAATAATGACTCACTCCAGTAATCAATGACCTGGACCTAGAGGTCACTGATGTATTCTTCCTTGACTATTCACCTAAATCAGCACCTCCTTCTCAGTTTGTATCTTTCACCAAACCCTTACTAGCATTTGCTATGCTGTGTGATGATTTGTTCATTTCTTGTATCTACCCCCAGATCTAAGCCCCATGGGCAGGGACTGTCACTCTTGTTCCCACCGTATTTCGTGTCTTGGCGTGGTGGCCAGCACACAGATGTGTTTAGCAAACACAGGGTGAATGAATAAATACGAGGATAAAGACCAGTGTGCTCTGCACAGACTAGTGATTGCAGGGAAGATGGACTGCCCTGAGTTTTCCAGGCAGACTTTGACGATGAGAAGTGACAGCGTTTGAATCCAAGTGAGGAGGCCACCCTGGACTCACATCTCAGCTTCGGAGATCGGGAGCCAGAGAGATGTTGGAGACTTTTAAGAGAAGAGCAGGAGCGGAGGGCTCAGGAAGAAAAACCACCTGGGGGGGCCGGACACGGGGAAGGGGAGGGGAGTCGCTCCCGGGTTCTTCCCTGGCTTCATTCGCTGCTTCTGTCTCTGCAGCCCCAGTTAGCGCCTGCCAGGCTCTGTGAGGGAGCGGTGCATGAGCGTGCCATCCTCCTCGGTGACCAGGTTAGAACCCAGGCATGCCGTGTCTGGGCCCTGAGCAGGTAGGCAACACCAGGCAACGTCTCAGGAGGGAAGGTGGTGAGCGGAACGGCATGCAGCCAGCCGGAGAACCTCACAATGAACCACTCTTCACGCTGGAGCCGTGGGCTTCCCAATTCTCCTCCCATAGCAGAGCCGAAGGAGGCCCTGGTCCCCAGGAGGCGGCTGCCCAAGCCTGAGGCTGCCGCCTCAGTCAAAGGGGCTGGAGCTGAGACCCCCAGGCTGTCCTGGGGTGTCAGTGAGGAGCCCAGCCTCCGCCTGAAGCCGCTTTCAGGGAAGGGAAGGAAACAGTCACTTGGTGGAGCTCCTGGTGCCCCAGCCATTCACCCTGCAGCACCTCTGTTCACACCACAAACACCCACGGAGGAAGCCGAGTTCTTTCAACCCACCCGCCATAGCCCCGTTTTTCCGCGGAGGAAGGGACACTGGAGCTGGTTGGGAACTTGCTGGAGAAAGTGGGACGTGCCAGGCTGCTTTCAGGCCCAGCCTCCCAGCCTGGTTCCAGACACGAGGCCCTGGCCCGGACCCTGGGCGGCTGCTCCGGGCCCGCGGTTCTCCCCTCGCCTAGCACTTCCTCTGCGCTTCCTCAGCGTCTTCCTCGTCCCTCCGGCTCCCCTCCCTGGCTCCGGGGGTCTGCCGCTGCAGCCGGCCTCCCCTCTATCTTGTCTCCCCGTTTCCACGGCTATCAGTCATTATCTGGTGCGATCCACCCTGGCCGGGGCACAGGAAGCCGGCCTGCGACGCTCCTCTTTATTCTCCATTCTTTTCCTTCTCCAGAGACAAAAGCAAAAACAGCCTGTTAACAGATCCGCCATTTCCCTTGGCTCCTTGACTCCCATTTCCCACTCTCATTTTTTTTCACAGGCTCCAGTGTTCCATGGTCAGGTCCTCTGGAGCCGCTGCCGCCCGGGCCTGAGGGCCCAGGCCTGTGACTTCCTCCTGGCCTGTCTGTCTGCCCGGGAGCCGGCACCGGCACCCACAGGCCCAAGGCTGTCTCCCTGGCCAAGCCGAAGCCGCCGGCTCCCTCTTATCCTCTGCGAGATCAGCCCAGCCAGTTGGAAGGGGCCGGCCAGCCGTCTGGCTGTCTGAGCCGGGACCGGTTGGCGGGTGCTCTGGCCTTCCTCATTAGCGGGGTCTCCACTGCCCTTCCTCTCGCAGGCTAGGCTGTGGCTCCTATTATAGCTGCTGGAGGGTTTTTTAGTCAAAGAGCACCATGCATCCATTTATTATTTTACCATTCACTCAGACGTTCCCTGAGCACTTCCTATGCTGCTGCTGGAGCCCAGGGATCAGCCAAATATGACCTCTGGCCCCAAACGGCAGATCCTCTGTGGAGAGTGAGGAGGTTGCTGGGCTGAATCAAAGTGCTCTCACGCACGGTGGAAGTTGCTACGTGCAAAGAGATGCGGGCAACCAAGTGCTCTGAGGTGCAGAGGAGGCAGAGGCCATGCCAACAAGGAGAGCTTACGGCTCTCAGCCCTTCTCCGTGCCAGGCGCTGGGCTGAGCACTTCACATTGCTGTCTCATTGAATCCTGGAGGTAATCCATGGGGTAGGTACGATGATCATTAGCCCCTATTTCCGGATGAAGAGACTGAAGCTTAGAGTTAAGTGATCCACAGTGAGTACAATGCCTGGATTCATAGCCAGAGGCCCATGTGCTTTGAAGCCCCAGTTCATCATGTTGCCCTCCTACCATCTCTACCCACTCCCCCAGCCCCTTGGGGCTGCAGAGCACGCTGGACAGAGCTGGGGAGGGGGGTGGTGGGCGGGTCTCTGGCTCAAGCTACTTCGTCATATTGCATCTCAGTTTTCCTGTCTCCTAAGCTTGTTGTGGGTTTTAAAGGAACAAAGCCTCTAGTGTGCTCAGCACAGTGACTGGCACAGAATACATGCTCCATAAACGTTAGCCATGTTTATTTTTGTAGTGATTGTCACTACTACAGGAAGGTTATCGGGGAGGTGCTTTGCAGAAGAGTGGCGTAGGAGGCTGATGCACCTCTTGCGTCAATTTTCGCTTTCCTCGTGCATGCACCCTCTCGGGCTGAAGCCGTGCACATCCCAGAGTGTCCTCTGCCATTTCTGTCTCAGGGTCAGCCCGAGTTCTCCCCAGTGCTCACAATCTGTTCATTTCAAGATCATCTGGGCCCTTGAGAAGTCTGAGTCCCTTCTTTTGTGAATCCAGCTTTATTTTTTAAAATTAAAATTGTAATAAAATATACAGAACCTAGCTACAAGTTACCATTGTAACTATTTTTTAAGGATTCAGTTGAGTGGCATTAAGAATATCTACACTGTTATGCAACCATCACCACCATCCATCTCCAGAATTTTTTGCAATATCCTCGACTAAAACTCTACTTCCATAAAACACGGAGTCCCATTTCTCCTCCCCCGCAGCCCCTGGCAACCCCCATTCTACTTCGCATCTCTATGTATTTGACTCCTCTGGGTGCCCCCATATAAACAGAATCATACAATGTTTGTCTCTCTGTGACTGGCTTATTTCACTTAGCATGATGTCCTCAAGGTTCACCCATGTGTCAGAATTTCCTTGTTTTTGAGGCTGAATAATAATCCATTTGATGGATGGACCACATTTTATTTATCCATTCATCTGTCGATGGCCACCTGGGTTGCTTACACATTTTGGCTATTGAGAATAATGCATATATATATATATACATACCCAAATGTACCCAATATATCTACTTCAACGTCCACAACTATAATTGGTGGATCAAATGGCAATAATATGTTTAATTTTTTTAATTTTTCTTTTTCCATTGGTACATAATATTTGTACATATTTATGGGGTACATGTGATATTTTGTTACATGCATGGAAGGTGAAACGATCAAGTCAGGGTATTTAGGATATCCATCACCTTCAGTATTTATCATTTCTATGTGTTAGGAACATTTCAAGTCCTCTCTTTTAGCTGTTTTGGAATATACAATACATTGCTTTAACTATAGTTATGCTACTCTGCTATCAACATTAGATCTTCTTTCTTGTATCTAACTGAATGTTTGTACCCATTAACCAGCCTCTCTTTATCACTCCCTTCCAACACACCCTTCCCAGCCTCTCTACATCCATGAGGTCAACATTTTTATCTCCCATGTATGAGTGAGATCCTGCAATATTTGTCTTTCTCTGCCTGGCTTATCTCACTTAATATAGTGACCCCCAGCTCCATTCATGTTGCTGCAAATGACAGGATTTCATTCTTTTAATGATCATGTAATATTCATATATATTTATGTATATATATAACATTTTCTTCATCCATTCATCTGTTGGTGGACACTTAGGTTGACTCCATATGTTTGCTATTCTGACGAGTGCTACAATAAACAGAGGAGTGCAGGTCTTTTATACTAGTGCTAATTTCCTTTCATTTGAATAAAAACCCAGTAGAGGCACTGCTGTATCATATGGTAGTTCTATTTTTAGTTTTTTGAAAACTCTCCATACCATTTTCCACAGGGGCTGTACTAATTTACATTCCCACCAACAGTGTATAAGAGTTCCTTTTCTCCACGTCTTCTCCAGCATCTGCTTTTTTTGTCTTTTTAGTAATAGCCATTCTAACTGAGATGATATTTCATTGTGGTTTTGATTGGCATTTCCCTGATGATTAGTGATGTTGAGTATTTTTTCACATACCTGTTTACCATTTGTTTGTCTTCTTTCGAGAAATGCCTATTCAAATCCTTCGGTCATTTTTAGTGGGATGATTTGATTTTTTTACCGTTGAGTTGTTTAAGTTCCTTATATATTTTGGATATTAGTCCCTTACTGAATGAAGAGTTTGCAAATATTTTCTCCTATTCAACAAGTTTTCTCTTTACTCTGTTGATTGTTTCCTTTGCTGTGCGGAAGCTTTTTAGTTTAATATAGTCTCATTTGTCTACTTTGGTCTTTGTTGCCTATGCTTTTGAGGTCTTAGTCAGAAAATCTTTGCTTAGACCAATATCCTGAAGTGTTTCCTCTATGCTTTTTTTCTACTTTTATAGTTTTGGGTCTTACTTTTAAATCTTTAATTCATCTTCAGTTGCTTTAAGATATAGGGCTCCAGTTTCATTCTTCCATGTGTGGATGTCCCGTTTTCCCAGTATCATTTATTGGAGAGAGGGTCCTTTCCCCAACATATGTTCTTGGTGCTTTAGTCAAAAATCAGTCGGCTATAAATAAGTCGATTTATTTCTGGGTTCTGTATTATATTCCATTGGTCTATGTGTTTGTTTTTACATCAATACCATGCTGTTTTGATTACTATATCCTTGTAATGTATTTTGAGGTCAGATGGTGTGATGCCTCTAGCTTTGTTCTTTTTCCTTAGGACTGCCTTGGTTATTTCCACTCTTTTTTGGTGCCATATGAATTTTAGGATATCTTTTCCATTACTGTGAAAAATGATGTTGGTATTTTGATAGGAATTGCACTGAATCTGTAGATTGCTTTGGGTAGTTTGGTAATTGTAACAATCTTAATTCTTCTGATCCATGAGCATGGGATGTCTTTCCATTTGCTTGTGTCCTCTTTGATTTCTTTCACCAGTGTTTTGTAGTTTTCCTTGTAGAGGCCTTTCACTTCTGTGGTTAAGTTTATTCCTAGCCTTTTCTTTTTGGTAGCTATTGTAAACGGAATTGCCTTCTTGATTTCTTTTTCAGATTGTTTGCTGTTGGCATATAAAAATGCTACTGATTTTTGTGTGTTGATTTTATATCCTGCAATTTTACTGAATTTATTTATCACCTCTAACAGGTTTTTCGTAGAGTCTTTAAGTTTTTCTAGTTATAAGATCTGTGTTTAATTTTTTGATGAACTATTTCATAGCAGTTTTTTGTTTCACAGTAGTTGTATCATTTCACAGTCCTACCAACAGTGCACAAGGTTCCAGTTTCTCCACATCCTTGTCGACACTTGTTATTTTCTGTTTTCCTTGATAACAACTATCCAAATGTGTGTGAAATGGGATCCAGCTGCACTTTGCTACTGAAGAAAGTCTCACAGCCTCCGAAAACCATTTATTCTTTATGGGGCACAAATCTGATTGTTAGAAAGTTCTTATACTGAGTTGAAATCCCCGTGTATCCTTTATTTACAATCCTGGCCTGGCCCTGGGAATCAGCCCATCTAAGTCTGTTTCCTCTTCCTCGGGATGTCCCTTCAGCAGACTGGAGCATCCACTGCCCACGCAGTCAGTGTACAGACCCTGCTTGCTGGTCCCCCTGAGTGCCTGCTGGCCCCACCCCCACCCTGCAAGACACTGGCCATGGGGTCTGGCACATCCATGCTGACTGCCTGCAAGGCAGCTCCTGCCACTGAGTGGGCACAGACACCAACAAGACAGGGGGGTACCACTCCTTTTCTCAGAGAGGGTGAGTTATTGGAGGGAAACTCTGGCTCTCTGAGGAGTTAAATCATCCCTTGACTCAGACAAGAGCCCTTTGCTCCATGGTAGAGCATTACTCATCCCGGCACCCCCGGGACCAGGCTCTGTGTCAGGGGAAAGCATGGCTCCCATTATTCTCGCTCAGAAACTCATAAATCATCCTTATTAGAATTTCAGCTCTTCAAATAGACGTGAAACAGCTGGCCAAAGCTGGGTCTCTGGAGTGCTTCTGGGGAGCAGGAGCGGATGCCTCAGGGGATCAGGGGAGCTGGCTTTTAATCCTCAGATGCCAGGACAACTCTCCCAATGTTGGTCCACTTGAGGCAGAAGGACTGAAGGTCCAGTGTCCCCAGGACTCAAATGACCATGGAAGGGGAACTAGGAGAGTGCAAATGTGGCTGTGGCTGCCATGCTCTCTTTATGGTGGCTGCCTTGCCTCTGGATCAGCACTTGGCCACAGCTTGAGCTCAATATTTCATTAAGCAATGTTGTTGCAAACCTCTGCCCTGAAGTCATGTGGTTCTCTCCCTGTTCCTCACCTTCTTCATCTGTAAAAGGAAAGAATTAGACTGGACAGTCACTAGAGCTGCTTCCAGCTCTACTATTCCATGACTTCCACTCTTGCAGAAGTGCAAAACTCCACGTGGATTGGCCACAGTTGAAATTCCAGCTGGTGCTGAGGTTCATTTGGCCATTTTAATTGGAGCAGTAGGGACCAATATTGACCACACCGGAATTTTTATAAACAGTAAAGATAGCACCAGATTTATAAACAATTTAAGCAATCAACCTGATATGTTTTATTATAGAGGCACAGCCAGATTCACGGACAGATAAGAGCCTTTCTCTGACAGTGCGAGGGCACATGCTTAGTGTCTGGGTAGGAGGATGCTGAATTTCTGACGGGAGATGGAGCTAGCCATCATGCTGACACCATTGCAGGGAGGTTGAAAACAATGCTGCCCCCAGCGTGTCTTATCCATGTGCAGGGTGGCTTAGCTGGTTTGGTTATGGATGAATATTTAAGACCCCCAGATTACGGTCTTACAGCTGCAGATTGACCTTACCACAAATTCTGGTTTGCTGGTCCCTAAGTGGGAGCTGTAGGCCCCCTAATTTCCTAAGGGACGATAATAGCACAAATCCACTTCAAACACTTGATCAATAGCGTCTACCAATGGGCCTGGGAATGTGAGATGATAGAAGGGAAAACTACAAAATTAGGAGCCAGAACGCTTGCATGCTCATTCTATCAGTATCCCTCACCAGCTAGGTGACTGGCAAACACAATGATAGACATGCTGTCCTTCTCTGCCCAGCACCTGCCATGAGGTCCTGGATCACTCATCACATCCCAAGCTTGGCCAGCCATTGGTGTAACAGCCACTGTCTCAGGGGGTGGAGTCAATGATTAGCCAACAGGACCATTAGTGCCCTTCCCTGGGATGAATGATATAGGTTCATTCATTGAACCTCATTCATTCAACCTCACTGTTGGCAGTGGGAAGTTCCTACTGGGGTAGCAAAACTGACAATAGGAGTCTAGAGCTGTCATTAATTTCTTTCTCCTCTGTATGGAGAAAGCTTGCCAGCCATAGAAGGCAATAAGGTCAACAGCCAAAGGGAGTGAGAGCCAGGAGATGATGAGACAGAACAAGCTCTGGAAACCTCCTTTGAGTCCCAGTATCACCCAAGGTCCCAAATATTTCACTGTTACTTATCCTGGTCTGAGTTGGGGTGTGTCCCTTGAAACTAAAGGAGATGTGATGCAAAAGCCCACTTTGCTACTAAGGCCTCGTAAAAATATAGGCAGTGATATAGGTGAGTGCTGAGCTCTTCCAGCTCTGGGATTCGATGTTACCTATGAGAAGTGAGAAGTCATTGTTTAGCTCACTTAAAACACTTCCAATGAAACCCAAAAGCCAGGCTTTTTATTCCCTTTAAAATCTTGATATTGAGTTCGATGGGAGGAAGGGTTGGGAGTTCACAGTCGTTGAGTGCTTGCTATGTGTGAGGAGCTGTAGACATGTTTTCTCATTTACTATTCACCATGGCTCTTTGAGGTAGGTGTCAGCTCTCCATTTGGCAGATGAGAAAACTGAGGCTCCGTGAGGTTTTGCAACTTGCCTAAGGCCCTAGAGTTAGTGAGCACCGGAGAGTTTTTGAATCCAGATCTGTCTGATTCCAGCACACTGTCTCCTCTTCCTTATAGGGGATCAGGTTTTTAGCCACAAACGATCCACTCAGCATTGTTATGTTGGTAAGAGGTGGGTCTGCTGAGGAGTGCTCTGGGCTGATTCTTCTAAGTAGCTTATGCTGTTTGACTAATCCTTACAATCATTGTGCAAGATGTTATCCGCACTTCACAAGTGGCAAGAGCAGAGGCTTAAAGAACCAAAATAACGTGCTCCGCTATGAAATGGTTTCAAAGTCCATGCACACTCTGACACCCCTTGGTGTGCTGGCAGGGCCTGAAGATGCCTGGGATTCTTGATCAGCCCAAGATTCCCCCACCCAAGCCATAGCCATGTCCAACCTCTGGAGGTGAGCCCCGAAAGCCTGGCCTGGGGTGGCGTTTGCACCGCTGGAGCTAGGAGACCTGGAAGACAACTATAGCCCCACCTTTGGCCACTGCTCTTTCATGCCTCATGACGTTGACAATGGTCAGTCATGTAAGCATAACACCTTAAAAATGCCAAGAAAGGCAGTACTTTGGGAAATATGTCCGGAGAGTCGTAGCATTTCTGTCCCTCATGGCCGAAGGGTTAGAACCACCATGACTGCACAAGGTCCTTGAAATCTTAGAGTGTCCTACGAAAGGTGGCTCCAAATGTCACCCCTTGGGATCTGTGGGCTAAAAGCTCAGTCATCCAACGCCTCTTGGCAGAGCTTCCTGTGGAGCTATCCAAGGTCCTGCAACTGCTTTGACCTGTGCTCTGAATCATCAATCGACTCCATTATTCTACCTTTGTCCTTGGCCTGCAGCCTTTCCTGACTTTAGTCCTCATCACACCTGGCCTGTCACATCACACTGTCCTCTTTCACTTACTTTCTAGGACCTGAGATCACTTGATGCAGTCCACGATGACCTTGAGTCTCACTCTTCAAGCTGGTCAAGGTTTACTCTTAGCTACCACTGTCCCTGCTGATAACAAGCTGACCCGATCCTCCAGCACTGCATGCTCCACCCTTACCTCCTCTCTCAGCCACCTGGCTTGGTGAGTGGTTGTTCCCTGGAATATGGTTGACTTTCAAGAGCCAACCAATTTATTGATCTTGTCCATTCTTCTTTCTTGGTTCCATGACTAGCCATTTATGAAACGTTTCAAAATGAGCTTCGAGCAGGGAGATATTCCTTTTCAATTAGGCTCATGACCCGTGCAGGCCTGGCCTCCAACCCATCATGTCACATCTACCACATGTGTCTTGATACAGCAAGCAGTCTCCTTAAAAACAGCCAGCTAGAAAATGAGCTTCCTTTGAAATGTGCCACCTGCTTGTTCTTTTCTTTTCTTTTCTTTTTCTTTTAAGACAGGGTCTCACTCTGCTGCCCAGGCTGGAGTGCAGTGGCACAGTTATAGCTCAGTGAAGACTTGAGCTCCCAAGCTCAAGCAATCCTCCCACCTCAGCCTCCTGAGTAGCTGGAACCACAGGTGCTTGCCACTATGCGTGGCTATTTTTAAAAAAATTTCTTGCAGAGATAGGATCTCACCACGTTGCTCAGGCTGGTTTTGAACTCCTGGGCTCAAGCAATTCTCCTGCTTTGGCCTCCTAAAGTGCTGGCATAAGCCACCACACCCAGCCTGAAATGCACCACCTTGCTTTCTGATGATAGCAAGGATTATGGTGTTCCAGTCTCAGCATTGCCCCTGACCAGCCATGTGACCTCAAGCAAGTCATCTAAGCCATGGATCCTTTTATACCGCAGTCATTTATTTACTCTCTCATAAATATTTACTGACCATGTTTCATGCATCAAGCTCTCTGCTAGTGCTGAGGATGCTACAAGAAGACATAGTCTCTATCTCCAAATAACTCACAGTTTAATCCAGGAGTGCAATATGTATATGGTAAAAATAAAAGTAACATGGCAAATTATTACAACAAGAACAAACTGTCAAGAATACACAAAAAATAGAACAATCAGTTCCCTCTGCCTGGAAGGCTTTCTCCCTCAGCCCTTGTGTGACTTGCTCTCCCACGTCTGCAGTTCTTTCGTCAAATGTCTTGTCACCAGAGAGGCTTTCCCTGAGCACCCTATTTGAAATCGCAAGCTCACCTCCATCCTGGAACCCCAAGTTGTTCTCTTCCTGCTTTATTTTCCTTCAAAGCATTTACCACCACCTGGCAAGGAGGGGTACTCTCATCTGTGAAGCAGAGGACTGTGCTAATGATTCCTGCACTGGGTTGGATGACAGCCTCCAAGAAGATATGTTCATGTCCTAAGCCCCAGAACCCATGAATGTGACCTTATTTGGAAAAAGGGCCTTTGCAGATGTAATTAAGTGAGGGATCTTGAGACAAGATCATCCTGTTCTTCCAAGGTGGACTTTAAATCTAATGCCAGGTATCTTTATAACAGACAGAAGAGAAGCAGATGTGGACACAGAGTTCTAGAGAAGCCATGTGAAGACGGAGGCACAGGTTGGAGTGAGGAAGCCACAAGCCAAGAAACACCTGGAACCACCAGAAGCTGGAAAAATCAGGGAAGGAATCTTTGGCCAGTCTTTTCTCAAGGTGTCAGAAGGCCTCAAGGCCCTTGTTTTGACACTCAGGCCTCTGGAATGTGAGAGAGTAAATGTCTGTTGTTTTGAGCCACCCGGTTTGTGATCATTTGTTATGACGGCCACAGGAAACAAATAAAATCTCTCGGTCATCTCTGCAGTTGTCTTCCAGCCAAACAGGCCGAAACCTCAATAATGAGTTAGGACTGGGAATAATCTTGAGCAACACCAACCTTTTCAATGATGCACTAGCTGGATTTGTGGACAAAGACGCAACTTGGGAAGGAAAGCAGGATGCTGGGCGCAGCCGGTCATGTCACATCAGCCACACTAGGGCAGGACGAGAACAGCTTCCTTACTCTTCCCAAGATGAAGAGAAAGACCTAAGATCATCAGGTCCCTGTGGAGAACTGATACCCAACAGCTTTGCCTACAAAATAAAAAAGAGAAAAAAATTAGACTTCCAGCATGGTTTGTAATAGGGAAAATTGGGAAAAAACCCCAAATATCTGTACGCAAATAGTTACATAATCATACCGTATCCTTACTTTATTTTATTTCTATTTGAGATAGGGTTTCACTCTTTCACCCAGGCTGGAATGCAGTGGTGCAATCATAGCTCACTGCAGCCTCGATCACCCAGGCTTAGGTGATCCTCCCACCTCAGCCTCCTGAGTAGCTGGCCCATGCCACCATGCCTGGCTAATTTTTTTTTTAATAGAGACAGGGTTTCACCATGTTCCTCAGGCTGGTCTCAAACTTCTGGGCTCAAGCAACCCTTCTGCCTCAGCCTTCCAAAGTGCTGGGATTACAGGTGTGAGCCACTGTGCCCGGCCAGTATTCTTACTTCCGAAACTCTATGTAAAATTATATTCTCTTTTCCTAAATGCACCCATACATGCATATTCATACATTGAAAAAAACCTCTAAGGAAGCTTCTTCAGAGCAAAAGAAACTATCAACAGAGTAAACACACCATACAGAATAGAAGAAAATGTTTGCAAATTATGTGTCCAACAAAGATCAATATCCAGCATCTACAAGGAACTTAAACAACTCAACAAGCAAAAAACAAATAATTATATTAAGAAGTGGGCAAGAGACATGAACACTTCTCCAAAGAAGATATATGAGCAGCCAAAAAACATATGAAACAATGTTCAACATAACGAATCATCAGAGAAATGCAAATCAAAACCACACTGAGATGCCATTCACAGCAATCAGAATGGCTATTACTAAAAGTCAAAAAGCAACAAACGCTGGTGAGGCTTTGGAGAAAAGGGAACGCTTCTACACTGTTGGTGGGAATATAAAGCAGTTCAGCCACTGTGGAAGGCAGTTTGGAGATTTCTCAAAGAACTTAAAGCAGACCCACCATCCAACCCAGCAATCCCATTACTGGGTATATACCAAGAGAAATGGAAATCGTTCTACCAAAAATTCACATGTACTCATGTGTTCAGCACAGCACTATTCATAATAGCAAAGACATGGAATCAACCTCGGTGCTCATGGTTAGGAAAATGTGGACTGGATAAAAAAATGTGGCACATATACAACATGGAATATTATGCAGCCGTGAAAAAACAAAATCATCTCCTTTGCAGCAAAATGGATGCAGCCAGAGGCCATTATGTTAAGTGTATTAACAGAGGAACAGAAAAACAAATACCACATGTTCTCACTTACAAGTGGGGTCTAAACCTTGGGTACTCATGAACGCAAAGATGAGAGCAATAGACATGGGGGACTATAAGAAGGGGGAGAGAAAGAGGGGAGCAAGGGTTAAAAAATTAGCTATTGGGTACTGTGCTCACCACCTGGGTGACAGGATCAATCATACCCCAAACGCCAGCATCATGCAGTACTGCCTTGTATCAAATCTGCACACACACCCCTTGAATCTAAAATAAAAGTTGAAATTATGTTTTTTAAAAAATTGAGGTTTTCAACAAACCATCTAAAATGAACTTAAGCTACAAAAAAAAAAAAAGAAAGAAAGGAAAAGAAAACAAAAAGAAAAAAGAAAGAAAGGAAAAGAAAAGAAAAAGAAAAAGGTCTCCAAGGACATGCTCAGCTGAGGGCATAAGTTATTTCTAGGGAGGAGATGGGGACTTTGTAGTGGTCAAAGTGAGTTTTTACTTCTGCTACTTTTTTTATTTTATTATTATTATTTTTACAATGACTTGAGCCATTATTTTTTATTAAAAAAAAAAAAAAGAAGAAGAAGAGGTGGGGTGTGGCAGCTCACACCTATAATCCCAGCACTTAGGGAGGCTGAGGCAGAGGGATTACTTGGGGCCAGGAGTTCGAGACCAGCCTGGGCAATATAGCAAGACCCATCTCTACAAAAAATGTTTTAAAAAATTAACTGGGTGTGGTGGCACATGCCTGTGGTCTCAGCTGCTCAGGAGTCTGAGGCTTACTTGGGAGGTTGAGATTGCAGTGAGCTGTGATCATGCCATTGCCCTGTAGCTTGGTTAACAGGGCAAGACCCTGTCTCAAAGAAAAAAAAAAAAGGAAGAAATACACGCAGGCAAGAGTGTGACGCCGTGATTGCCGTGGCCTCGTGCCAGCCGGGGTGGTGGGGAGGAGGCAGGAGCTGCTTTTTGCTGATGCTCCAGGCTCATAGATGTGGCTTCTGCTGCTTTCTTTCCTCGTCATTTACACGCAAAACCTGCAGATGGACAGAGTCTCGGAACCTAGTGTTCCAAACAAAAGTGCTGTCCTGGCCAAGCAAAGCAAGGAGAGTGTGTCCCTTTATCACCACTCTTGCAGGCAACCTGGGAGCTGACCCCTTTGCAGCCTGGAGGCAGGAGCTGCTGTGATGCCCTCTAGCCTATGAGGAACAGCCCCCACCCACTCTCCCTTCCAAGGCCGTGAGGTTCAGAGTGGAAGAGTCCAGTTCTGCCTGGATCGGGTACGGTGCTGCCCACGGCAGAGGGCCCCAGAGAGAATGCAGCTGAGTGTGTACTGACCCTGGGCCTCTGGGCTCAAGGGAGGCAGCCTTTCACCCTCCAAGGAACAGGGGCTCAGACAGTCTGAGAACACAGAACACCTGGGGCCAGAGACAGGCTATTGGGAAGGACTGGGGCTATCACACGAGTGAATTCTAAAATTGCGTGTGTGTGCGTGTGTCTATGTGTATGTACACATGTAAATCAGTATTTTTTAGTGCAAAGGATAAAGTGAACTGAGAATATCATAAACACAGGCTCTTTAGGGCTCCTTCAGCGAACAGATAGTCTCATTTGTAACAAACACGTGTTGTTGATTCACCAAATGATACAATGCTGAAAAATAATGTGCTTTTCTCCAAAAATCCTCCAACTGTTCCCTCATTCCTACTTCTATACATAGGTACATTTCTTAGCAAATGCCGTGTCCTGGAATTCAAAAATCAGGCTAGAACGGTTACAGCCAAGAGGAGCCTCAGGAGGCATGATGATGACATATACTCCAGGGTCATGGAAGAAAAAAAAGGGCATTAGGTGACAACTAAGTATCTGAAAAAATATGGACTTTAGTTTGTAGTAACGTATCAATAATAGTATTGGTGCATTAATTTGACAAGTTTAACATACTAATGTAAGATGTTAACAATGATGGAAACTGCGTGGAGGAATGTGGGAACTCTCTGTACTATCTTTGCAGCTTTTCCATAAATCTAAATCTATGCTAAAATAGAAAGTTTATTAAAAACAATCCGGCTGGCCATGGGGGCTCCCGCATGTAATCCCAGCATTTTGGGAGGCCAAGGCCGGTAGATTGCTTGAGCCCAGGAATTTGAGACCAACTGGGTAACATGGAACCTTGTCTCTACAAAAAAATACAAAAATTAGCTGAGTGTGGTGGTGTGCACCTGTAGTCCCAGCTACTCAGGAGGCCGAGGAGGGAGGATCGCATGAGCCCACGAGTCCAAGGCTGTGGTGAGCCCTGACCACACCACTGTGTTCCGGCCTGGATGACAGAGTGAGACCCTATCTCAAAACAAACAAACAAACAAACAAAAAACAATTGTGCCTGGCCTGGTTTGATGGACTCCTGTGCCAAATAAGGGTTACAGGTGGGAGGTGGGTGAGTTGAATGAAAAATCAGAAGGCTTGTGATGGCTTCATCTGAAGTCATCTCTGGGAGTGCTTTGCCATAAACATTCTTCTTTCCCTGTTGTCTCAGCTGACCCTTATGCCAACTGCCTGAGATATTATTATCCCATTTACAGATGGAGAAACCAAGTTTGGAGAGTGCTGTCGTTTGAATGTGTCCCCTCCAAAATTCATGCTGAAAGTTAATCCCCACGGTGGCAGTATAAAGGGGTGAGGGCCTCAGGAGGTGATGAGGCTGTGAGGGCTCCTCCCTTATGAATGATTCATGCCTCATCAAGGGGCAGTCCGGGGCCAGCTGAGGCCTTTCCCCCTCCCGCCAGGTGAGAAGGTGCCAGGTGAGCATGCGCCAGGTAAGCTCGCAGCAGGAAGGCGCCACCATGGAAGCAGAGAGCAGCCCTCTCTAGACACCAGTGTCGGCCCCTTCATCTCAGACTTCCGGCCTCCAGAACTGTGAGGAATCCATTTCTCTTCTTTATAAATTACCCAATCTATGGTATTTTGTTACAGCAGCACAAGCAGAGGGAGCAGTTCTGAGCCTCCCACCACCCATTCCACCCACGCAGCTGTGCCTTTTCACAGGCAGTCTCTGCACCCACGGCTCACTTTGCTCTGTGATCCTTCCCCCCTCTCTGCCTGACTGGTGGGCCAAACCTTAATATGCCTTCGAAATTTGCTCCTATTTCACCTCCTCTGAGGAGAATTCCTTGACAGTCCCTCCTAATTCACCAGGCCACACTCTGTATGTCTTCTGAGGCCTGTGCAAATGAATTCTCTCCTCCAGCTTTTCAGATCCTGTATTCAAGCACGCCCTCCTCCAGGGTTTCCTCTTTGAATCCACACTATCCAGCCTAATGCCTAGAGGACAGTGGCTGGGAGATTTGCATTTCTTGAATTGAATTGAAGCTGGCATGAAACCTGCATTAATCAGCTCAGGCTGCCATGACAAAGTCCCACAGACCAGGTGGCTTCAACACCAGCCGTTCATCTTCTCACTGTTCTGGAGGCTAGAAGTCCAAGCTCAAGGTGCCGGCAGGGTTGGTTTCTCCTGAGGCCTCTCCCCTGGGTTTGTGGATGGCCACATTCTTGCTGTGTCCTCACATGGTCATCCCTCTGTGTTTCTGTGGCCTAATCTCCTTTTCTTTTATTATTATTATTTTTGAGACAGAGTCTTGCCGTGTCACCCAGGCTGGAGTGTAGTGGCTTGATCTCAGCTCACTGCGACCTCCAACTCCCAGGTTCAAGCGATTATCCTACCTCAGCCTCCCGAGTAGGTACCACCATGCACAGCTAATTTTTGTATTTTTAGTAGAGATGGGGTTTTACCATGTTGGCCAGGCTGGTCTCGAACACCTGACCTCAGGTGACCTGCCTGCCTTGGCCTTCCAAAATGCTGGAATTGCAGGCTTGAGCCATGAAACCCAGACCCTAATCTCCTTTTTTTTTTTTTTTTTTTTTTTTTTTTTTTTAAGACAGAGTCTTGCTCTGTCACCCACGCATGCAGTGGAGAGATGTTGGCTCACTGCAACCTCCACCTACCAGGTTCAGGCGATTCTCCTGCCTCAGCCTTCAAGTAGCTGGGATTACAGGCATGCACCACCACATCCAGCTAATTTTTGTGTTTTTAGTAGAGACAGGGTTTCACCATGTTGGCCAGGCTTGTCTTGAACTCCTGACCTCATGTGACCCACCCACCTCGGCCTCCCAAAGTGCTAGGATTACAGGCATGAGCCACCACACCCAGCCAATCTCCTTTCCTTATGAGGACACCAGCCATATTGAATTTGGGCCCACCCACATGACCTCATTTTACTTTACCCCCAAAGACCAAGTACAGTCACATTCTGAGGTCAGGGGCTTAGGGCTTCAGCATGTGAATTTTGAGGGACACAATTCATTCCTTAACAGAGCCCAGGCAGATCATGCTGACTGTAAAGCTCAGGTCAGGCTATAAGGAGGGGTTGGGGGTAGAGAATGTCCCCAAGCCTCCACCATTTAAAAGATGCAGGTGAAATGCAGGCAGCTTCCTGGGCACGTCCAGGCTGGAGACTTGAAGGTGTTGCTGTCTTCCAAGACAAAGGATGTGAGAGTGACTTGTGTTTGGAAACTGATCTGAGGTCGTGAGATGATAAAAGCCATGGAAGAGGCTTTTATTTATCACCACTAATAATGGCTGCAGCCAGAAGAGGATTCTGGGGCCTCTGGTCTGTGCTTGTGTTTTCTGACCTTGACCTCTGACTATTGCGAGCTCAGGGTCTCCGAGCCCTGCTCCCATTGCTCCCGCCCTGGTGCTTCCACCGGGTCCAGCCCACACAGCGAGCAACATCTTCAAGGCCTTGGGATCCAGGGCAGGGGGAGGCCCCGGGATGGAATTTCAGACTAAACTTGCACCACAAGCTACCTTCTCAAGGGCACAGAGATGTCTCAGGCAGCAGCTGCAGCTGCCAGGGAGTGTCAGAAAGTTCTAGTTTGTTGTGCATTGGAGGAGATGGTCCTGAGAAACAGCCCACTCTGGGAAGGGGCCCTTTTCCCGAGAGCCCAACTGTCTAGGAAAGGCACAAGGACACTTGCAGGACCGAGGCAGCCGGCAACATTTCATAACTGCTGGTTTTGTGCCATCAACTTTGCTACTTTGGGAATAGGGTTTGTTTTGTCAGGCGGTGGCCATTTATCAAGCGTGTGGCAAATACCATCTGCATAGTGCTGTAAAGTCTACAGGGTCGCCCCTCATACCACTGCATCTGATCTGCACGGTGGGAAAGAGTGGGGAAGATGCTGTTGTTCACGTGCCCATCTTGCTGATGAAGGAACTGAACTTAGCAAGGTGGGATGACTTGCTCAGCCCAAGGTGGCAGGACAAGCCCTCTGGCATCTGAGAACTCAGCTGGTCCCCTGGCAGCCTTGAGAGGAAGGTCTGGAGCTTTTCATTTCTCAAGTGAAGCTGGTGGTCAGACGTTACATCAGCGCCCAACATCACACAACTGTTTGGAGGCAGAGTTGACTTCAACTAACTCTCCCGAAATCAGATCTGGAGTACTTCTTCCTCCATCATGCCACCATACCTGAGATGGGGGTGCGGGTAGGTTTGGGACCAAGACTTGCCCTCAATGTGCTTCCAATCTAGCTGTTTGAAAGACTGGTGGGCAGGCAGGGTGGGGAGTACAGATGGGGACCTATACACGGGCTTGAGGATGGGGTCACCTGCCCCCTGCCCTGGGTGCCATGGCTCCTCAACGATCTAGGAAACGTGCCGGCAGCAGCACTTGGGCCCACAAACATGGGAAGACCTGGGCTGTCACCAACAACTTCCATGGGTGGTGACCAGTCCAGAGGGGAAGCGCAATGCCACAGAAAAAGAGCATGGGTTTGGGAGTCAGAAAGGTCTGAGGGCAAATGCTGATGCTGCCTCGGATGGACTGCATGACCTTATGCAAGTCAATTAATTTCTCTGAGCCTCAGTTTCTCCACCTGTAAAGTGAAAGCAATAATGCCTGCTTGGTGGGACCACATTGAAGATTAAATGAGATAATGTATGTCAATTTTCCATCACTGTACCTGTAGCACAGCAGATGCTAAATAAATATCAGCTACTCCTGTTATGATTATCCTGGCGCGGCTGAGTCCCTGGCGCAGGTAGAGGCTGGGAAGAGTTGATAACATGTCCTGCTGTCTCTGGACAAGCCTCAGGCTGACCCATGTGCCTCCCTGCACACCTGTCCTCCCCACATGCCAGAGGCTGGGCAAGCTTTTGAATCACTAGCTGTGGAGTCTTGGGCAAGTTATTTTCCCTCTCAAAGTCTTTCTTTCCTCATCTACAAAGTGGGGATAATAGAAATACTTTCCTCACAGCACAGTGAGAATCACATGAGGCCATGCAGGTAAAGACTCAACATGGAGAAGGCTTCCAGCATGTATGAGTGGTTGCTAACACCACCACCACCACCACCACCATCATCATCATCATCACCACCATCTCAAGTGGTGTTCAGTGGTCAGTGTCTGGAGAGCCACGTCGAATGGATTGAGGGCCTTGTCTGGGTTCAGCACAGGGAGTGGCATCCTTGATTAGTGGTGTGTGCACCATTATTGATTCACTAGTGGATCAGGAGCATAGAACCCATGAATTTTCCCTCCCTAAAGTAGATGACCTCTGAGATCCCATTAGTCTAAAATTGGTCTCTTCTCTACTTGGGGTCTTGGTTGCCTTCTCCATGCATGACGACTTTGGGCTGACTGATCCTTGAATTTCTTTGTAGCTCCTTAATTCGAGGACTCTGAGACTCCATGCCTTGGCTGAGCTGAACATTACCCGAAATGCCTCTCTCCAGTGAGCTGGCTCCAGCCAGGAACAGAAAGGAAGCCAGCTCCTGCCTCTTGGGGTCCTCTGGGAAGCAGCTCCCAGCTCAGCAGGCAGCTCCTGATTGTAGGCAGGGCTCCCCTGAGCCTGCACACACAACCCTTCCTGGGGGAGAGCCCTTGGCGCACATCCGGGGTCCCAGCCTGGAGTGAGACTCAGCCAAGCCTCTTTGCTGTGCTTCTCACTCGGAAGCAGCAAGGGTCTAGGGAGCTTTATCTATTCCAGGGCCGGCTGCTGAGCCCACCAGCGTGTCCATAAGATGGGCTTCAGAGCTGTCCAGACCTAAGGAGCAATGGACCTTGACCACTAAAAGGGCCTGTGAAAGACCCTTGGTCATCTTCCCAGAGAAGAGAAGCATTGAGAACGAAGCGTGGTGTGGAGGGTGAACATCGGCCGTGCCCCGCTCTGCTGGCTGCGCAGATTCTCGTAACATAATGAGAAGGAAGGCACGGAGTTTGCTGTCTAGGAGGCACAAGCTGCTTTTAATTTCATTTCTAGAATTTTTAAAATGCCTCTTTTCTCCATCTTGAATATATACTGCAGGAGGGGGGATTTCCTTCATCCTGTTTACCAGGGTGTTACTCAGACCTAATAGTTAATATTCATTAACTTAATGGAACAATCACGATGCCACAGGGTGAGGATGGAAGCGATACGGTGCTGAGAGGACCTCGGAGAAGCTAAAACCAGACAGGCCACGATCAAACTGGGTTTTGAAAGATGCATAGGATTTTATCAGGGAGCGATGAGAACAGAAGTGTTTGTTTGTTTTCTTCAGTTAGATTTAAGGATAAACATTCTGTTGATGAAACCTGTAAGACCTGTAAATAAGTTATGGTGGGAGGCGAAGCTGTGAGCCGTGGAGAAATTGGAATCAGTGTCTCGAGGTTGCCACGGGGAAGGGAACTGACAAACATTAGCAGCTTGCCTGTCTGTGCCTGGTGCTGTGCCAGGTACTCACAGGCATTCACACTTGTCAACCATTCCATGACAGGCATGGACAAACTCGGGTGCAGGCTTGGAGGACCCCAGGAACTTGCTTTGGGTCTCAGAGCTCCTCCAGCTGCAGCTGGCCCTCCTCCAAGACATGGGATCCAGCTGCGCTAACCACCGGGTTACATGAAGCAAATGGCCCTCAGAATCAGAGCCTTCTGCTCAAGCTCTGGGCCCCAAGGCCAGAGCTGAAAAACAAGCTCCAAGGCTTTTGACATTTTTTACAAAAGTCTTTGAGCCTGTGGCCTTTCTGCTTCACTTTCTCCCAATCCGCCCCATCCCTCCCGTTGTCCTCCCTTCTAGTCCGAGGTCTCGGAACACTCAGAAGCTCTGAGAGGAGGCTGGAGAAGCCCCATCCATCAGCAGCCTTGAAAGGCCCAGGCAGGGTGGAGCAGCCTGGCTGTTCCAGAGAAGAGCAGCCGAGGCCCAAAGCCCTGAGGTCCCCAGGCCATTTCCCTGTCGGGGTGGGAATGGAAAGGAAGAGAGGGGCTGAGGAGGAGGGAAGATAAGCCTGCGGTCATTTGTCTTTTTAATTGGCTCAAATGCTGGGAGGAGAGCTGCCTCGTTATCCTGGCTCCGGGCTGGCCGGGGTCCAAGCACCAGGCTGCGAGCTGCGCAGTGTGGGGCTGCCCCCACTGCCCTCGTCCTGCAGGGGCAGCCATGGGAGGAAGGTTCCGGGAGACAGGCGGGAGGCAGCAGCACGTGGTCAGGGCGGCTCTTGCTTCTCCGGCATCTCAGAAATTTAAAACAGTAATCCCAGGACTGAAATAGATGTGTTTGAAAGCATCTGTGGCATCTGGAGGCCGCTTCTAATGTATTCCTGCACTTGAGGAAGAGCTGGTCCAGCAGCTAGGCCGAGAGGGGTCCTGGGGAGACACGTTTTAGAACTTTCCTTTAGAAGCGACCATACTGGTTCTGTGAAAGTACCCAGGGCGACAGTAACCCCTCCAACTTCACAGCTGTTTGTAATCAACGATGCCCTGTAGTGTCTATTGTCCCATTTGGATCTCTGAAACCATCAGGGAGGAAGGACAGCTCCTTCCCTGTGTTACCGACCGAGGACACAGCAGCCCTGCGAGGCTGTGATGTGCTCAGGGACACCACATTGCAGCTGCGACACAGGCCCCGGTCTCCTAATCTGCGTGGGCTGACCAACAAGGAGGTCCGCTCCGCAGAGGAGACTCAGGTGGATGCTCGCTGTGGCGGTCCCCAGCGAGGGTTGTTGGCACAGCTTCTAAGGGACAGACAGCCTAGTTCAAGGTCCTACTCAGAGTACATCTCAGCCTGCAAGCCATTAGAGGGGAGGAAGTTCGCTTCGGATGCAGGGAGAGACTTCCAGGAGCAGGACTGGCCCAGGGAGAGAGCGATGAGGGCAGGGAGGAGGGGAAGATGGGTGGGCCCTGTCAGTGTTGGGATTCAGGCAACAAGAAAGTATGTTCAGCTGGGCCTAATAGGTGTTTATGGGGAAAGGTCCTTGGTAAGCAGAAGGCTGCCTTTAATCCCTGGTCCGGCAAGTTCCTCGACGGAGATTCCGCTCCATCATGAAAACAGAAATCCCTTGCTCAAGACTTTCAGGCCCAAAGCGCACAATTTAAATCTCTGAAGCTGAAGCCAAGAAAGACCCCTTGACTTTGCTTCCTGAAAGCTCCCAGGCCCTGTGAGGAGACTCTCAGCTCGGAATCCTCACATGGGAGAGCTGTAACTTCTCACCGGCCGGGCGGCGCTGGCCTGGTCCCCCTGGCCCCGTAGTTCAGCCTCCCGTCACTGGACGCTGGACGTACCTTCTACTCCCTGCCCGCCTCCCTCACCCCAGCCACCTGGAATTTCCCCAAGGTTTCTCCACAAGGTTCAGCTCAAATGCCCCGTCCTGCCTGTGGGAGCTGATGCTTTGAAATGCTTCCTGCATTCCCCCACCTAACCTCACCCTCCTGGGGATGGAGGCAGGTGGCAGGCAGGATGGAGGGGATGTGGCCCCCGGGAGCGGCGGGCGAGGCAGCATCCTGGAGGGTGGTGTGGTGGGCAGGTGGAGGGGAATCGGGGCCACAGGGCCTCAGTCCTGCCTCCCTCGTGGAGCTATTGGAGGGATCCCCTCTCAGGATGACCCTTGAGCCAGCACGCAGAAGCCACGTCAGAGAAAAGTTGGAGGCAGGGCAGGGTGACTGCAGAGAGGCCTGCGTGGATCTGGGGCATGGAAAGGACCCAGGGCAGGGAGTGAGCCGAGGTCAGCTTTGAGAGTGTGCTAAGGAGGTGGCCCAGGCTGAAGCTAAGGGTGAAGTGACCCACAGGGGGTTGCCCTAGCCGGGACTGAACTGGAGTCAGACTCCTAGCAAAGCTGAGGTGGGCCCGCATCACCAGGGTGGAGCATCAGGCTGTGATGGAACCGAGGGCTCACTACCAGTTCACCAGCCCCAGCCCAGCCCAGGAATTGGACCCGACTCACCTGATTTCACTAGCCCCCACCCGGCCCAGGAGCTGGATCCAACTCATCTGATTTCACCTTCGTGGTCCTTGAGCCAGGGCTGGGCCTCCCAGGTGCAAACCAGTACAGAGCCAGGGAACCTGGAGGGTTCCAGCCCCACTGTGCCTTCTCCCAGACACAATGCGCCCCTCCAAGCTCCTCTCCTGTCACCAGCCCAGCCTGGGAGCTGCCCTGTGGGACATTGGACGGCTCCTGCTCCCCGACGCTGTGGCTGGGTTTGGCCTATGCTGGAAACTTGTCCATGTCAGGCAAAGCTGTGTGAGGGTTAAGTGGCAGTAGAAGGGTATGGATGGGTGTTGAGGAGAGAACGAGTGGCCTGGATTTCAGTCCTGGTTTTAGCCCTGTTTGCTTTCAGATCAATGCCCTTACTCCCTCTGAACAGGCCCACACAGGTCCCCACTTACTCTACAACTTTCTGGTCCCTGGACTCCAGTGACTGGGGCTCCTCTCATCTCCTCTGGCCCCAGGCTGGTGTCCTTCTGCCCCTGCTCATCTCCAAGGGCCCCCCTGCCCTTTGCTTGGCATCTCAGCCCTTGTGTCGCCTGGGTAAGCTGTTCCTCCATTTACAGCCCCACTGTCTTAACCTCGGAATAGATACCTCTTCCTGGTTGGACGCTGCCTCTTCCTGGTTGGACGCTGACTGCTGCATTTCCCAAGGACAGTCATGCCGACACCCATGTCACAGCCGAGAGGAACGGAAACTCCCAGGAGTGAAGTGACCTGTCCAAGGCCACCCAGCCAGTATGTGGAGATGCAGGGATTTGAACCTGGGTCTGCTGGAGTCTGCGGCCCAAATGCTTTCTTCCCCACAGCTGCCGGCAAGGCCACCGCAGCCACTTCACACTTGTGTGGTTCACAAAGTGCTCTGACATCCGCTGTCTGTTTGCTCCTTGTTGACCCTTGAGAGAGGGACTGGGCTGGGATTCGCATTCCACGTTTTACCCATGAGACCTAGAGCTACTGGCTGACTTTCCCCAGGTAAGCGATCACACTAAGGAGACCAAATTCCGCTTCGGTACTGAATGGGATAGTCCATGCCTTCACACTGGCTGTTCCCACCTCCTGGAATGCTGTTCCTGCCAATCTCCAATCTCTACCTATGTTTTTAAAAAAATTACTATTATGGTGAAATAAAAATAACATGGAATTTATCATTTTCACCTTGTTCAACTACAGTTTCATGGCATTAAGTGATATACAGTTCAGGGGCATTAAGTAATAGAGTTCAGGGGCATTACTTCACACTGTTGTGCAACCATCACCACCGTCCATTTCCAGAACTTTTCCATCTTCCCTAACTGAAATTCTGTACCCATGAAACACTAACTTCCCATTCCCTTTTCTCCCAGCCCTGGCATCCCCCGTTCTACTTCCGTCTCTATGAATTTGACCCCTCTAGGGACCTCCTATAAGTAGAATCATGCAGCATTTGTCATTTCGTGGCTGGCTTATTTCACTTAGCATGATGTCCTCGAGGTTCACCCAGCGTTGTAGCACGCGTCGGAATTTTATTCCTCTCTAAAGCTGAGGACTATTTCACTGCATGGATAGACCACATTTTGCTTATCCATTTATGGGTCTATGACCACTTGGGCTGTTTCCACTTTTCTAAATCTACCCATCTTTTAAGGCCCAGTGCAAATGTCACCTCCTCCACGCAGCTGCACTGCACAGGGTTGCTGAGCACATCCAGGAATGGAGGGATGGTGTCACCAGGGGGCTTGCATTGAGGTCACAGCCCTTCTCCCACCCCAGCATTCGTAGGTGGCTTGAACAGGAGAGAAAGCAAAGGTCACATGGTGCTCAAAGTCTTTGCCGATTTGGAGCCTGCTGTCACATTCCTGGCACTGAAATTCCCCTGTTGGAAATAACAGAAAGAATCAGACCGATAGAGTGACCTTTTCTTTCAAGAAGGAAATGTCTGTGTTAAGTTCAAGTCAGATTCTCGACTGGGCTGGAGGCCACTGGAAGGCAATGATTGGGCCTCTTGCCCCCAGTGCAGCCCCACCTGAGCCTCTATTTCTTCGGACACAGAGGATGACTGAGCTTGATGCTCCTGGGAGCTCACCTGGGTGGCTCAGGGTGGGAGAATTGTAACCTGGTTTCTCCTGCAGTGGATGTCTGCGTGGCCCACGCCTGTCCACGGCCTCAGAGCCTCTCCATCTACTACAGGATGAGGCAGTGGGGGTCAGTTCCTGGGAATGAGGAATCAACACAGGAAAGAAAATGAAAGGAGGCAGGGAAGGAGGCCACAAGCAGCCAGGAGTGCGAGACTTTCTGAAATTTTGCAGGATTGCTCTAGAGGCTTAGTGATTTTTTATTTGCTTTTTAAAAAATACACTTTGGCTTTTGCCTGTACATCACCGATCCACGTCCAGTGTTGAGGGTCTTGAGCATCCCTTCTTCTCCCTCCTCATGGTGAAGTGAAGGGAACAGAATCGCAGTGCTGGGCGCTGGGAGGAGCCAGGGCCCCCCACGGCTGCTGTGCGGGCTGTGGGGTATGCAAGGTCATTACGGTAATCCTCCAGCAGGTGGCGGTAATGGGTCTTGGGGAAAAGCACCTTTTTCTAATTCAGCAACACGCCCAGCCGGGGTTTGTGGTGGCTTGGGGTAAAGTGAGGGGTGTGGCTTAGACGTTACCTAACTTTACTTCAGCATTTGACGCTGTGGAGTATGACCTGCCCCTGGGTTAGCGGCTACTCCACACGAGATCTGTAGAGGCGGGTCATACTTGTGCTGCTCTGAGCCAGTGCGGGCAGATAAGTGTGAGTCCAACACAGAAAGAGCTCTATAGGAACCACAGTGCCAGAGATTTATGACAGTGAGGTGCCCATCACGAGAAGTATTGAAGCTGAGGCAGATGATTATTTGTTAGTGATACTGTAGAAAATCCTAAAACATTAGGTGGGGTTGGGTTGGACAGACTTTCAGGTTCCCTTCCAACCCATAGAGCCTACACAGCTATTTTACTAAGAGGAAAATGACGTCAAGCTCTTGAGCTCACTGAGGGAAGGAATGTGCCTTTTTTTTTTTCCCCATTATGGAATTTTGCTCTTGTTGCCTGAGGTGGAGAGCAATGGTGTGATCTCGGCTCACTGCCACCTCCGCCCCCTGGGTTCAAGCGATTCTCTTGCCTCAGCCTCCGGAGTAGCTGGGATTACAGGTGTGCGCCACCATGCCTGGCTAATTTTTTGTATTCTTAGTAGAGAGGGGGTTTCACTGTGTTGGCCAGGCTGGTCTTGAACTCCTAACCTCAGGTGATGCATCCACCTTGGCCTCCCAAACAGCTGGGATTACAGGCGTGAGCCACTGCTCCCAGCCGGAATGTGCCTTCTTTGGCATCTCCTGTCCCTAGCGGCACATATGGTAATGATGTTAATACATATAATGGGCTTTATTGAACAAGTGGGGGACAGAGAACTGGGATCAGAGCTGTAATCTGCTTAGCCAAATGACTTCTGGGGCCCCATCTCGCCTTGCAGATGGTTCCCCAATCTGGGCTGCCATCTTGAAACTCTGGATGTGCATCAAAGAGCCCCCATCTCCAACACCGGCCTTCTACCTCCAGGGGCAGAGGATTGGTCAGGGCAGCAGCCCCCAGTCTCTCTTTTGTCCTTCCGGTCTCCCTCAGGAGACGGAGTATGAAAGGAATGACATTGCCACTCTGCAATGGTCTGGACAGCTGGCCTAAATCCAGTAGAGGACTCTGAGTGTCCTAAAAATACCAGTCCCCGCCCCAGTGCTCTACCCCAGCCCCCACCCCCAGAAATCCCTGACAGTAACCATGTGCTGCCTCCACGTCACTCAGAGAAACCTTGGCAAATGTCAGCCGCAGTCGCTTGTAATCTTCAGGGAGGTGAGACGGTGCCAGAAGTGGCCGGTTTCTTTATCCACATCGCCCAGATATAAACAATATGGGGAAATAATGACAGGGAGATCCTTGTAGGCCAGCCTCCTGACAACATTTCTCCCTGAGTGAAGTCCCTCCCAAAGCACAGGCCGTAATGGCCCCGGGGGGTGGCAGCTAGTTACCTTATCTCCTGGAGGCAAAAGCGCCTCCGTGAAAGACATTTTTGGTGCCGCGTTCGGGATGTCTCAGTAATCCTCTCATTTATGTACGCAGACAAGGAGATCAAAGCCCCTGGGGATGCATAAAACATGTCAAGCCAGGGAGTTTTACATCCATTAGAGCTGACAAATGCTTTGTCCAGCTGATGGGGTGGCCAGATAGCCACCCTGAGGACTGGAGGGCTGCGAGGAGGTGGCCTGGCTGGGAGACACTGGCTGTATGGATGCAGGCACAGAGAAGGCCAGGGAGTGGCGGGGGCTGAGAGGAGAGTGAGAGCTGGGCCCCCGGCCTCCATCAGCACCCTTACGTCTTTGATATGGACAATTGTTGTTTTCTCAAATTTTTTTTTTTTTTTAGACAGAGTCTCGCTCTGTCGCCCAGGCTGGAGTGCACTGGTACGATCTCGGCTCACTGCAAGCTACGCCTCCCAGGTTCAAGCGATTCTCCTGCCTCAGCCTCCCAAGTAGCTGGCAAAAGCCTCAAGGCCCTTCTTTGTAGACATCCTGGAATCACCTCTGACAGACAGAAAGGAGGCATGGAACAGGAATGAGAAAGCCTGAGAGAAAGGAAGGTAGAGAAAAGGAATGAGAATGCCTGAGAGAAAGGAAGGTAGAGAAAAGGAATGAGAATGCCTGAGAGAAAGGAGGGTAGAGAAAAGGAATGAGAAAAAAGCAGGCAAGAAAAGAAACTGAATATCATCAATATTCTCCTTTGAAAGTCACAGGATTGTAGAATTCACCCGCAGCCTGGCCTGTCGCCATCATGGTTGCTATAGGGTGGCCCAATTCTTCCGGGACCAGGCAGGAGTGTGCTCCCCGGATCCCGCTGGGGGGAGATCCATACACAGAGGAGCAAAGTGTCCCTGAGGCGGCCAGGAGCTCTCCTGATCCCGGGAAGGCAGAGACCATTGTTCATCCCCAAATAAGGGGAGTGTTTAAGTGAGAATGTTGGGGTGTATGTGTGTGTGTGCGCACACACGCATGGGGGGTGGGGGTGCGCCACCCAGGAGCCATGCCTGCTGCTTCTCCTGGGAGCAGGAGCACAGACAGCACCTCTCATAGGTCCAAGAGCCTGCAATGTGAGTCAGTGATATTCCTGTAGTTTCATAACTTGAGTGCATTCCCGTGGATCCTCACGGCGACTGCAGGGCCTCATTGGATAGTCATATCTGGCTTCATGTTGCAAGTCTCACTTGCAAATGGCAAGTGCGTGGAAGTCTGTTGAATGGCCAGGGAAACCTTGCCTTCAGTTCTGTAAGCTGTCCCGCCCGGCGCCGTGAGCACAGCATGGTTGCTGTAGAGGTCATTGGGCCTCACAGTGGCTTGGGCTCTCGGCTCCTCTGTTGCTGTGTCCCTCAGTGTCCCAGTACAGGGTCCATGGTACTGTTTCTAGAACCAGAAGCTCAGTCAGCGAGTCCTCCGTCTTCGTCACGTGAAAGAGCCTTGCAGGCCGGATCCATCCGTCTCTCCTGGTGGGCCCGTTTCAACCTTAAAGCTAAGGAATTGATGATGTGGGGAGTGCCTTCATATGGATGGGTTCATTTGGAGCTAGTCACACGCTTCCCTGTGGAAACAATGGAATGCTTCCAAATCCAAAAATGTCCCAAACCCATTTCCTAAAACGCCATCTATTTCCAGCAAAAAATACATTCTGTTGCAAACTTGTATGTAATTTAAATCAGCAGTTCCCCAACCTTTTTGGCACCAGGGACCAGTTTTGTGGAAGCCAATTTTTCCACAGACTGGGGAGAAGGGATGGTTTCGGGATGATTCCAGCACTTTACACTTATTGCGCACTTTACTTCTGTTATTATTACATTGTGATATGTAATGAAATAATTATACAACCCACCATGATGTAGAAACAGTGGGAGCCCTGAGCTTGTTTTCCTGTAACTAGACAGTCCCATCTGGGGGTGATGGGAGACAGTGACAGATCATCAGGCATTAGATTATCATAAGGAGCATGCAACCCAGATCCCTTGCACGCACAGTTCACAATAGGGGCTTTCAGCAACACAGCTGCTTCTTGCTCCTATGAGAATCTAATCCCATCGCTGATCTGACAGGAGGCGGAGCTCAGGCAGTAAAGCATGTGATAGGGAGAGCTACAAATACAGATGAAGCCTCACTCACTCACCTGCCGCTCACCTCCTGCTGCGTGACCCAACTGGCCACAGAATGGTACCAGTCCGTGGCCCAGGGGTTGGGAACCTTTAATTTAAATAAAGTAAAACAATTTGATGAAGCTATCATTTCCTTTCCCCAAATACTAGTTCCTGAGGAAAATTTAATTTAATCAAAAGAATGCAGAGATACATACAGAGACGTTTGCATTCATCCAAGGGCGCTTCCAAGAACCTGCAGGTGCTGTACTGTGAAGATGGATTGCTTTTTGTTTGTTTGTTTGCTTTTGAGATGGAGTCTTGCTCTGTCACCCAGGCTGAAGCGCAGTGTTGCCATCTTGGCTCACTGCAACCTCTGCCTCCTGGGTTCAAGTAATTCTCCTGCCTCAGCCTCCAAATACCTGGGACTACAGGTGTGCACCACCACACCTGGCTAATTTTTGTATATTTAGTAGAGATGGGGTTTCATCATGTTCTCCAGGCTGGTCTCAAACTCCTGACCTCAAGTGATCCACTCACCTCGGCCTCCCAAAGTGCTGGGATTACAGGCCGGAGCCACTGTGCCTGGTGTTGCTTGCTTTTTTTTTGGTTTTTTATTTATTTATTTATTTATTATTATTATACTTTAAGTTTTAGGGTACATGTGCACATTGTGCAGGTTAGTAACATACGTACACATGTGCCATGCAGGTGTCCTGCACCCACTAACTCGTCATCTAGCATTAGGTATATCTCCCAATGCTATCCCTCCCCCTCCCCCCACCCCACAACAGTCCCCAGAGTGTGATGTTCCCCTTCCTGTGTCCATGTGATCTCATTGTTCAATTCCCACCTATGAGTGAGAATATGCGGTGTTTGGTTTTTTGTTCTTGCGATAGTTTACTGAGAATGATGGTTTCCAATTTCATCCATGTCCCTACAAAGGACATGAACTCATCATTTTTTATGGCTGCATAGTATTCCACAGTGTATATACCACCATTAATGCTTAATGTGGCATTAAGAAAATGCCACATTTTCTTAATCCAGTCTGTTGCTTGTTTTTTTTACACTGCTCCACTTCAAACAGAATACATTTTCCTTTCATTAATACAGACCCTTCACATTTATGATTGAGGTCATTAAAAAATCTCCCTCTACTCCAAAACAAAATGATGAAAAAAGCAAGAGAAAGCAAGGTAGGGTCGGGGGAGCCCTTCTCTGAGACAACTGGGTGAGAGCTCAGGGGAGACACAGGAGTAAGAGAGAATGCCCATATGGGAGCAAAGGTCTGATCTGAAGTTCACTGTGTTTTTTTGTTTGTTTGTTTTTGAGATGGAGTCTCGCTTTGTCACTCAGACTGGAGTGCAGTGGTGCAATCTTGGTTCACTGCAACCTCTGCCTCCCAGGTTCAGGTGATTCTCCTGCCTCAGCCTCCCGTGTAGCTGGGATTACAGGCAAGTGCCACTATACCCAGCTAGTTTTTTGTGTTTTTAGTAGAGACAGGGTTTCACTGTGTTGGCCAGGCTTGTCTTGAACTGCTGATGTCAAGTGATCTGCCCATCTGGCAGTGTCATGTAGAGTGACAGTAAGTGACAATTACACACTTAGAACCTCCATTGATACTGCATTGTCTTTAGGATGGAGTCTAAACTCCCAAAGGTGGTGGGTTCCTTGATCTCTCCCCAGTCTTCTCTGGCCTCTCCTCTTCACATTCTTTTAATGTGCGCCCTTCCTTGTAGCCTCTTTTAGCTCACGTTTCTGAGCCCTTGCATGAGCTTCTTCTTAGAATGTCCCTCTCCCAGCATCAGCTTGGCAAGACCCTCTACTTGCTCTCAAAGCTCAGCTCAAGCACCATGTCCTATCGGAAGCCTTCCCTGAGTGTCTGGCCTGGGAGGCAGGTGACTTCCTGTGTCCTTCCCTCCATTCCAACTCTTATCCAATTGTTAGGTTGCATTACACAGCCCCTGCTAAACCAGTTGCCCATGGCATCCCCTAGACACTGAGTTTCTGGTGGGCATAGACCATGTCTCACCCATCTCTGTATTCCTAGTGCCGGACAGCACAGCCAGTCTCAGTGAATGAGCACAGTTTAATGAATCATTGAATAATTCATGTGCATTCGAATGATGTACTTAAGTGCTTCCCAGATATGCCCCCAAGAAATTCCATTTCCACAGAATGATAGATATTGGCGGACAAGTGTTTTTTGTACAAAATTAATTTGGGGAAATGCTAGATGAAGCAAATAAAACAGATGTCTTTATTGCAGTGTTTTAAAAATCTTTTACTATGCTAACATGTATTAATATCTAAGGGGCAGATATAAATTTAAGCATTTCCCAAACTCATTTGATCACTGCCATCTTTTCTCTTTGTAAAGAAGTCCATCTTTACATAGAGTTCTACGGTGCACGCTTTTGGGAAATTTCTTTATCAGTTCTCCTATGAAGCACGCTTGCTGGAAGACAGCAGCGGGATGGCACTTGGGAGAATGTCATCATGGCCATGGCGATGTATGTTCTGCTTGCATATTTAATTAGCCATGCATCTGCTGCGCTTACATTGCCTTCTTATACTAATCATACTAGTTATTCATAATCTCTAAGATGTGTGGGAAACTCACTGAACCTCAAGCGAGGCCTTCTCTTAGGCAGGGATTCTCTTCTTTCTGGTTAGCAGATTGGATTCATTTTCCTAATTTGTGAGTTTTGCATTATTTGTTAATATTTTCCCTCTGTGCTCTTTTGCTGTACAATTATTTCTCTGGGTTTTCCATGAGACTCGGCAGTCACTAACTGGCCTCCTTTGCTTTTTAGGAACACACTCAGCAGGGAAAGCTCCCGAGTGGCCGCTCATGCAGCCTGACCCTGGAGCATCTGCAGGTAGCCTCACAGACTCCAGGAATCCCTGCAACTTGGGAAGGGGACCTCCCAAGGTCACATAACCCATCTCCTGCCTCCAGGAGTGGTCCCCTTACTACCGTTAACATAGTGCCTGGGCTGACAGTCTTTGAGAGGTGGCTGAGTCCCACTCTCATCACTTCCCTCACCCTAGCCCTGGTGGCAGACCCCATCTGCTCTCAGAGCTCCCTCTCCCATTTCTCATGGGGAAAGAATTGGACCGTGGATGTGGGAGGTTTCAACCACAGTGAAAGAAACCGGGATTACTCATGGAGGAATGTCCCATCAATCACAGAGCATTAAAAACACGACCCAGAGGGATTTAAAAAGCACAGACACTGATTGTCTGCTACATTTATTCCTGAGGGAGGACGATGAACAACATGACTCCTCAAGGTCTCTGCAACTTGGGGCATCAGAGCTGAGTCTGCTCTGTGATGGCGATGGGGAAGGGAAGACAGTGGGTGGGGTAGGAGGTAGAAATAAGGTCAAGCAGGGGTTTCCACTTGACCTTCTCAATTCATTCCCTCCTCAAACATCTGCTGAGCACCTACCGTGTGCCAGGCACCGCCTCGGACCCAGGGGACTCAGCTGCAAGTGACATGCCAGCTCTCTCCAGGCATCTACATGGCTGTCCCAGAGTCCAAAACAAAAATAACTTGTTCAGTGAACACTTTTGAGGGCTACTAATTTGCCAAGTTAGGCACCAACTTTCATTTTTTTAAAGTTCTGTTTTATTGTGATAAAATACACCTAAAATTTACCACCTCAACCATTTTTATGTGTACACTTCTGTGGCATTAAGAACATTCACATTGTTGTATCATCACTGCCATCCATCTCCAGAACTTTTCCATCTTTCCATACTGAAGCTCTGCACCCGTTAAACACTAACTTCCCATTCCCCTTCCCCCAGACCCTGGCAACCTCGACTTTGTCTTTGGATTTGACTCCTCTAGGGACCTTCTATAAGTGGAATCATGCAGTATTTGTCCTTTTGTGGCTGGCTTATTTTACTTAGCATAATGTCCTCAAGGTTCATCCATGTTGTAGCACAGGTCAGAATTTCCTTCCTTCTTTTGTTTTGTTTGTTTTTTGAGACAGAGTTTCACTCTTTTTGTCCAGACTGGAGTGCAATGGCATGATCTCGGCTCACTGCAACCTCCGCCTCCAGTGTTCAAGGGTTCTCCTGCCTCAGCCCCCTGAGTAGCTGGGATTACATGTGCCTGCCACCACGCCCGGCTGATTTTGTATTTTTAGTAGATACAGGGTTTCACCACATTGGCCAAGCTAGTCTCAAACTCCTGACCTCAAGTGATCTGCCCACCTCAGCCTCCCAAAGTGCTGGGATTACAGGCATGAGACACTGCACCCAGCCCCAATTTCCTTCCTTTTTGAGGTTAAATAATATTCCACCACATGGATAGACCATGTTTTGCTTATTCATTCATCTGCCAATGCACACTTGGGTTGTGATATGGTTTGGCTGTGTCCCCACCCAAATCTCATCTTGATTTGTAGCTCCCATAATCCCCACATGTCATGGGTGACCCAGTGGGAGGTAATTGAATCGTGGGGGGGCAGGTTTTTTCCATACTTTTCTCATGATAGTGAATAAGTCTCTCAAGATGTGATCATTTTATAAAGGGGAGTTCCCCTGCACACTCTCTTGCCTGCTGCCATGTAAGATGTGCCTTTGCTACACCTTCACCTTCTGCTGTGATTGTGAGGCCTCCCCAGCCACGTGGAACTGTGAGTCCATTAAACCTATTTTTTTTTAAATAAATGACCTAGTCTCAGATATGTCTTTATTAGCAGCTTGAGAACGGACTAATACAGATTGCTTCTACATTTGGCTATTGTGAGTCATGCTGCTATGAACATGGGTGTACAACCAACATTAATTTTACTTTAACATTTACAATAGCTGCAGGCACTCATCACTTCTAGGGGGAGGAGGAGGCATCCCTGAATTGCATGTCACGTGTCAGCAAAGGGGCCCAACTATATAAGTGCTTTGTGGCTGTAGCCTTGTGCTAGTAGATCTGAGAGACAGGGAATGGAAAGTGAGAGACCCAGGTGAGACTTGCAAGTTCACGGAGTAGAGAGGTGACATGTGAAGGACATGTGAAGCACAAAGTGAACCGATCTCGGGCTCTCCTCCCACCTCACTTGGTGAGGCCAGGTGAGCATGTTTTAAAAAGTGAGCTGATGGGGCAGGTAGGAGCCTCCCCTGTTTCCTTCCTTCCTGCAGAGACTGTCCCATAAGTGGACAGCCAGGCTAATGAAAGGCAAACCTCAGGGTCTCATCCCGTTTCTGAATTCTGCAAACTCGCTAGACTAGCCGTGGTGAGTATGTGAAACCCAGCTTCTGATCGCTCAGTGGGAGACTTTCCAGACCCCTCATGTTGCCATCCTAGCATCTCTGGTCACCTCTGTTTGCTGCTTACTCTAGAATGTGTGTGCAGAGGAAAAGAAATGGCAGCAAATATCGATCCTGCAGTGGAGATTCTTATGAGCAGTTCTGACCAAGAAGAGGAGATCAAAACCTCCTCCACACATCCAGATGGGTTGCCTCCTCCTTCTATGGGCCTGGAGGCAGGAGCATGGGCATTAGTCCAGGGTGAGTCTGATCCAGATTAAGTAGGGGAATCACCTACCTACGCCTTTAAAACAATGCAAATAACTAGTGAGAACTTTTTAAATTCATGAAGCATTTTCTTGTATTTCATCTCATTTGTGTGAGGTTGGTGGAGCAGGTGTTATTTTTCCAATGCCCACATGAAGACCGGGACACAGGCTCAGGGCAGTTGAGTGCCTGCTCCACAGTCACACGGCTGGTGAAATGCAACCTGGGCTCTTTAACTAAGGCCTGTTTCATTGAAATTGAATGTTTGTGTCCCCCTATAATTTACACATTGAATTCTGAATTCATATGGGGCCTTTGGGAGGTGATGAGGATATGAGGGTGGAGCCCTCACAAATGGGATTACTGCCCTTATAAAAGGGAACCCAATGTGCTCTCTTGCCTTCTTTCTGGCAGTTGAGGGCACAGCCAGAAGTCAGCAGTGTGCAGCCACCAAAACATGCCAGCAGCTGACCTCAGACTTCTAGCTTCAGAGCTGCAGGAAATAAATTTCCATGGCTCATAAGCTGTGTAGCCTCTGGCACTTCATTATAGCAGTCCATACTGATTGACCCACCCGGAGTCCTTCATAATGTAGAGGACTGGACTGAGGACTGGACCAGCCCAGTTCAACAGCAGTCTTTCAGCTTCAAAGTTCTGGGACACCATTGTGACACTCTCCTCACTGGCAGATGCCACAGGCTGGACTGCCCCTGTGGCTCATCCTAGGGACCTTAGCATCTGGAAAAACACTATCAGAGAGGGCAAAACTTCTGGGTGCTCACTAGTATTGAGTGCTTCTCTGTGCCTGGGCACTGCATTGTGCACTGTGCAACTAACTGAATGCTCATGACCGTTCCAGGCCATGGTAGGGAGGTAGGAGGATTATTCTCTGTTTGTAGAAGAGAAGACTAAGGTTTATAGAGGTTCCATGAAATTCAAAGGACAATATGGGAGCATGCCAGGAGTAAGTAGAAAGCCAGATGGGTAGCGTTCAGAGAACATCCCTGAACATGCCACATGCACAAGGTGTGTTAACACACCTGTGAGGCCCTGGGTCCTTGGATCAGGCCCTCCTAGGCTGGGATGTTGCCATTCTCAGCCAAGCCTGAGGCTCCCAGCCCAGGGAGACATGCCCAGCTCATCCAGATTGGCTGCGGATGCCTGGTGTTTACACCATCTTCACTGAGGTGACAGCCCCGAGCTTCCAACACAGCCCCTCCCAGCAGTGGGGAGAGTGGACATACCGGACCAGCTGCTGGCCCCAGGCTGACCCCCCTGACCCCAAAGCTGTCCCAGGGAGACAGTTATGCGGTGGGCCCAGACCACCAACGATGCAGCCAGACAAGGTGGAGTTGAAGCAAAGGGGGAGCCAGGGGGAAGGACCCCTCAGGCTTGGTCCATTCTTGGCTCCACACAGGTGTGTACTGAATGCCCACTGCTTGAGTGGACGGCAACCAAAACACTGGCCAACCTCGACTGAACACTTCACAAACACCATCTCGAGTGTCCTCACCACAGCCCAGCGGGGTGGGCCTGTTACTAACCAGATTGTGCAGCTGTGGAAACTGAGGCACAGCAGAGAGGGTCAGCCACATGCCTGAGGTTACTATGCCCTGGGGAGGGGCAGAGCCAGGACCTGCATCCAGGCGTGGCTGCATCCAGGGACCCCTGGAGCCCTGCCTCACTCCACTGCCCGGGATGGGAGCCCACTGAAATTCCCACTGGCGCCTTTCCAGCTGCATCTGCGGTGGGAATGCTGGTGTGACACAGGCACTCAGAACACCGAGGGGGAAGAGGGTGGAGTGTTTCATGGTCAGTGGGTACAGGGCCCACCACCCATCCCACCCCAGCCCCGCCCCACTTACGTGGCTTCCTCGACAGAACGCAGCTGTCGCCTGAGGGCTCGTCCAGCCACGTGGGAGGGAACTTGTCCAAGACCACAAATGGCCTTCCCAGGGTGGGGTGGCGGTGGTTGTAGTAACTCCTGAGTTCCCACCCTTGTCCCAGGAAGGCTGGGCACAATTGCAGTTCAGCTCAAGAAACAAAGCATAGCATCCTTAGCTGCACAGAGGTCATTTCCATCAGCCCGCTGCCTCCATCCACAGGCCCGGCCTTTCTGATGAAGGCCTGTCTCATACTGCAAGAAAAGGGCAAGTCATGCATTCTGTGGGCTTTTCCCCCCAAACACTGTTAGGGTGAACTGTATGAAATTGCTAATATTCAATGATTTTTGATCTACAGAATTGCAGTTTTATATGGTCCAACCTCATACTTGAGAGGTCCACATTGGCCCAACAGAATTTGCTGGGAAGCCCTGATTAGAACCCTTAAATCCTACAGTATGCCAAGTCCTTTCTCACGTGGCTGACTCTGTCCCTGCAAAGTGCTCTCCAGGGCCAGCTGTGCTGGGAGCAGCTGGGCCCACCCTGTTGGCAAACCTTGCCAATGGGGAAACGCAGGAAGGACGCTGGACTGGAGGTCAAAAGCCTTGTGACCTGGGGCAATTCACGCAACTTCCATGAGCCTTGGTTTCCTCATCTGTACCTTCCCACAGCATTATCATGCCATCCGGTGAAAGGATCTAAGTGAAGTGTCTCCCTCCAGGCCTGCACTCAGTGCCGGGTAAGTCTGTGGGGAGTGAGTTGGAATCACCGAGAACCCAGTTCAGCTCAGAAAGTCTCCATGAAGATGCACGGCCAGAACAGAACACTTCGGGATCAGCCAGCCACCCCTACCCCAGCTCCACTGCTGGGCCCTAGAGATGCCTAGGCCACTGCCAGACACTGTGGTGGCCATGTTCACCTCTCTCCATCCGACGCTTGGCCTGCTCCATCTCTTCTGCCCGTCTGCCTGGCTATTATTTTGCCAGAGGCCCTACACACTTGTTCAGGCTTGCTGGGTTGAGGGTGCTCTGGACTTGGAAGATTGCTCCCCTCAACTCTAGTCCTATTCCTCTTGGACAGACCCCTATAGCCCACCCAGCCCTCTGAAACCCCACTTCTTATAACACACCCACACTTCTACAGCACTTCCCATAACCACCCCCGTCATGGTACCATAGCCACCCGCCTTCATGACACCCCACTCCCCATGACCCACCCACCCCAGGACACACTCACTCCTGGGGAACACACCCATCCATCCATCTTTGCATCTTTCCTGGCCTCCCGGCGAGGGGTCCCACCACTTTTACCTGCCCTGGGAAATGATCCAGGCAGAATGGAGCACCGTCTCCACCGGCCTCTGAGAGAACCAAGAAAGTGTTGACGTTTCCCCCAGTCAGTTCCTCTAAGTCTTGATTATTGTCTCCAAGAGTTAGGGGACATTGGATGAGAGCTTTCTAAGTGCCCGGTCCTGCCCTAGGTATTCACCATAACCCTAGGAGATAAAACTGTTATAATTTTCATAAAAGAAACCTGAGGCACAGAGAATTTCAGTAACTTGCCAGAAATCACAGAGGTTGAGCCCAGGCAGAGACCAGTCTGCACACCTCCAGCTCTGAGGGTCTAAGGGTTCTTTCTGTATTGAGGCCTGGAACAGCTTCCTGCAGTCATTAATGGCATCAGAGCCCGGAGGGAGCTAGGAACAGATGCTCAGTCTCTGAAAACCGAGGAGACTTCTCCACAGATCGGAGATTCCTGCTAAGTCCAGTAAGGGATTTTATCCAGAATTCTCCAAAGCTCCCAAAATCTCAGACTTCAGGTGAGCCTGGACTCACAGACTAGACTCTTGCAAAGGTGAAGATTTGGAAAGTAAGGCTGTCCTGCTACTTTCAGGGGGTACTAAGGAGCTCAAGAGAGATTAACAGAGTGTTGTCAGGGAATTGCTTTAAAAGAGATTAGTGGTAAGCACATCCAGTAGGTTTCTGGAGGTTCTTGGAAGCCTTTACAAGGTTTTTCTTCCCTACTCAGGTGAAATATATTTCTCCATTTGCATTGGTTTGGCGAATTCTATTTCCTCAAAGAGTGTGCCAGAGAAACTCCACGTTGCTTTTTCAGAGTTATAGACAAAGTTGGAAGAGACCTAACAGGGCTTCTAACCTTTCCTGTTAATGCTGAGGAAGCCAGGGTCCAGAGGTTGACCCTGATGCTGATGACGACAGTACCCGGTTCCTAACGCTGGGGCCGGCTGGGTTCGAGGTGCTTGGTCTACATGACAATAGTGCTCGGTTCCTGGCACTGGGGCCAACTGGGTTTGAGGTGCTTGGTTTCCATGAGGACAGTGCCCAGTTGCTGGCACTGGGGCCGGTTGGGTTCTAGGTGCTTGGTTTCCATGACAACAGTGCCCAGTTCCTGGCACTCGGGCCAGCTGGGTTCGAGGTGCTTGGTTTTCATGTACTTGGTATCACAGGGCTTGGCATACATTTGACATCTCCCTTACTCCCATTGGGACTTCTCCTGTACCTGCTTTACAGATGAGAAAAGTGAGGCTGGGAAACCGCACAGCTGAGCTCCAGAGGCCGTGGGCCCTGCCAGGGCTCTGACTCCATGAAGGGCTCTTTCCACCTGACCCACTGCCGGGAAAGCCGGGAAGACTCCCATTCTCTGTTACTGGGCTCAAGTTAGTGATGCCTTTGTGAGCACCACGTCTCACCACCCGCAATGGAGAGGGTCCCTCGCTCACTGCCAAGGATAAGGGGGCAGAGTGTGTCACCACTTATCATGAGGGACACTGTGGGAGAGCCAGGGTGGCACTAACTAGGTTCACCGGGACCCCTGCTTTCCGGGCAGAAGACTCTGCAGTGACCTGTTACTGTGTTTGCAGTCACAGCACAAACCTGGGTTCTGGTGACCTGGTCCTGGTTCTGCTGTGTATCTTCTGGTGACCTGGGTTACTTACTATCTCTGAGTGTTTCCCCATCTCTGAAGTTAGTTAGGATTGTGTAAAGATGAAAAGGAGCCAGGCACGGTGACTCACGCCTGTAATCCTAGCACTTTGGGAGGCCGAAGTCAGTGGATTACCTGAGGTCAGGAGTTCGAGACCATCCTGGCCAACATGGTGAAACCCTGTCTCTACTAAGAATACAAAAATTAGCCGGGCATGGTGGTGAGTGCCTGTAATCCCACCTACTCAGGAGGCTTAGGCAGGAGAATCACTTGAACCCGGGAGGTGGAGGTTACAGTGAGCTGAGATTGCGCCACTGCACTCCAGCTTGGGCAACAAGACCGAAACCCTGTCTTAAAAAAAAAAAAAAAAAAAAAAAAAAGATGAAAAGGAACAAAAAGAACATCCCTTGCCAGGCACAGTGGTTGGCCCTAGTAGGCAGCCATCAATGCCAGGCGCCGTGACTGTTATTGTAGGAAGTGGGGGTTCTGAAGAATGCCCTCCTTGGGATGTCATAGCCATGGAGTTGTCCCTAGTGGCCAGAAGTCCCCTCCCCCAAATTAGGATGCTGGCCTGGGTGGAGGGGAGGGGCCAGTCCTCTCGGCTGGTGGGTGCACGGCCTGGACCCCCCAGCAGCCTCTCTGGCACAGGGACAGGGACGATAAGCGGTGATGGACTGTTCTGAGGGCTCCGCGGCGGGCACAGGGAAGGCAGTGTGGTGTGGGGTGGCCTCCCCACTGATAACCTGGGGGAGGGCGCTATCGGCAGAGGAAGTGGGCAGGGAAGGGGCTGGAGGGGGCCGCTAGAGCCCCAGGGCGGGACCCAACCCCAGGGGTCACGTCATCCATTCTCTGCCACCAGGCACAATTGCACCGAACCATCCATCACTGCCTGCCGGCCTGGCTTTTTTCTTCTCCGAATGCATTAATGCACTCTCACTACAGAAGACTCCAGCAATGCGGGTAAAATGCCAGCGCCCTTCCTTATCCCTCTGCGCTGACAGCCCCAGCCGCTCCCTCCTCGGAGGTCACGGGGCTCTCTTTGGTTGGTATCACTGGGATCCCTTTGCTGCATGTTTACACAAATATGCATGTGTGTGATGAACATAAAATTGTGTGCGTGTGTGTGTGTGTGTGTACATCATGCTGCATGTATGTGTTTTTCTGCACCCTTTCCCCTCACTTGATAGTCTTGGCCATGTGTCAAAATCAGAACCTATGGATGTGCCCATTCATTTTTTTAAGTTTTTTTTTTTTTTTTAATATTTTCTGCAGAGACAGGGTCTTGCTATGTTTTCCAGGGGATGGCCTCAAACTCCTGGCTTCAAGAGACCCTCCTGCCTTGGCCTCTCAAAGTGCTGGGATTATAGGCATGAGCCACCATCCCTGGCATGCCCATTCATTTTAATGGCAGAATAGTAGTTAATAAAATAATTATGCCCTTCTAGCTGGCCCTTCGGACAATTAAACAAGGAAAAAAAATTGTGCCCCACTTCTTTCAGCTACCCTCTTGTACCATTAAGTTGTTCCCATTGTAATTACAAACAAGTTGCAGTAAAGAATATCGTATGTTTATCTTTGGGAATAAGGGCATATCTTACCGTAGGATAGTTTTCTACAAATGCAGTAGCTTCATCAGTGTGTATGCGTCAACATTTTGGATGCCAAAAATGCTTCCCCAAAAGGCTTTATCAAATTACACGGCCATTAAACTTTATGAGAGCAACAGTTTTCCATATCTTTACCAGTATTATTGGATATAAGCAGTATTGCCATTTTGCCACCTGATGGTAAAAGTATCTGGCACTACTATTTCAACTGCATTTTTCCATGGACTGGTGTGGCTGGGCACTGTTTGCTTTATTTATTAGCTGTTCTAATCCTCTTTCTGTGCAGTGCCCATTCTTATCGTTGGCTCATTTGTCTTTGGGTTGTTTAGGAACAGGAAGAACTTCTTCAGTTTTCTTTGCAGTAATCCTTCGTTATACAGGCACTGCAAATATTATCTTCCTGCCTGACACTTGCTTTAACTTTGTTCACAACGTCCTTCGTCAGGTTTCCCTCTGCAGGATTAGCAACAATGCTATCCTGTTTCTAAGGGTTTAATCCACATTTTTTTTTTTCGCTGACATCCAGTAAAAATACTAACAACTTCCTTCTGTTGTATACCTAACTGTGCCAGGCATTCTGCTGAGCACTGGAGAGGCACCGTCTCGTCCACTCTGGGCAAGGCTGCTGCTTAGCAAATGTGCTTGACAAGTGAGGAAACAGGCTTAGGGAGGTGACTGCTTGCAGAAGGCCATGTGGCTGGGCAGGACTTGAGCCCACATCCAACTGGCCCCAGAGCCTTGACCACTGTGCTTCTCTTCCTTTCAACCTCAGCTGGCTTTTCTCCCAGCTCAAATCATCCTTGCCTGAGCCCTGACTGAGTGTGTAGTTTTGGATTAAGATGTTACCAGGTATGGGATATGGACAAAGAATAAGATAGTGACTTGTCCCCATTCCTTTGCGTATTTGACAAATATCCTTTGAGAGCACTTTCTTAATCTCAGGGGTGATGTGTGGGTGGAGTTGGGCCAAGTGTTTAATGCTTGGGGCTAGAAATGAGTAAGCTGAGGCCATCAGCCATTACATGGGAGCCTTGGAGATAAGCAAGAAATAACACAACCTAGGAATGATGCTGCTGATGAAATGCTTGCACAATTCCACAACTGTCACCTTCCTAGACACCCTGGTTTGGTTAGTTAGACTTGTAGGCACACCCACCACGGGCACAGGTACACATGTGCATGCACACACCCCACCCTGCTCCAGCCTCCAAGGCGCCGGGCATGTACTGTATCTGCTCTTTGGAGAGCCGAGGGCATGTAGCCCAGCCCTGCCTGTGCAAGACCAGGTCCTACTGGTCATGAGGAAAGGCCACTCAGTCCAGAGCAGTGAGCAGGAGGCTAATTTTAACCAAGAGCAGTGGAGTGACCTTGGCACAGAAAAGAAGGCACCAACAGAGATGCCCCTAGATGGACCCCTAGCCCTTCCAGAGATGTCAGGCTGAGACTGGAGTGTTCTCCTTGCCCTCCTGCCTGTCCTTCCTCCCAGGCAAGGCTGTCAGCTCTAGGCAGCAGTCCCTCTTCACCTCATCAGTCCTCAGTAATCAGCCTTCAACCCCCCTGGGGCTGGCTCCCATCAGCCCCTGTCAGCCTCTGCAGCCCACAGGGGCCTGGTGGCCCAGGGGCCAAGCTGCTGATTGGAAATGGAGGAGGATGGGACCAGACTGGGAAGGGAGACCAGGGGACTGGCAGACCAGGCTCCTAGGTGCCCCCAGGGAAGGTGCTGTCTGGCCTGGGCCTCTGCTGTCAAGGGTGTATGGGGAAAGGGAGTGTGCATATATTGACATCCTGCTGTGTGCACCCCATTGTGGCCAAAGCTTTGCGTACATTATCTTAGTTCATCCCCAGCTTCCCTTTGAGACAGGTATGCTTATGTCCATTTTAAAGGTAATGAAACTGAGGCTTAGAGAGGTTACAAAATTTGCCAAGAATCCCATAACTGATAGCAGGCAGAACCAAGAGGTGAAGTAAGCCCTGCCTGACTCCTCCAAAGCCTGCTCTTCTACGACATGACCTGCAACTGGCAAGGAGGCCAGGCCAGAGGGGTGTGGGCGGGGCACAAGCCTGGCGGCGCCTGGGGCCAGCTCCAGCTCTGGCTCTTGCTCACTGTGTGACCTGCAGCCTCAGAGCCTTGTTCCCCGCCCCTCCCGAGAAGCTCTGGCTGGAGGCGGCTCTGCTGAGGCCTGGCAGGAGGCCAGGCTGACCTGGGCTTGTGTCCCAGCTGCGTGGGCTTGGCAGATGGCCTCAATTTTTGGATCCTCCATTTTTTCATCTACAAAATGGGACCAGTAACGATCTACTCCTAAGGGCGGTCGTGCTGGCTTAATGGGACCATGCACCTGCCGTGTGAGCATAGTCCCCAGCACATCACACAGCTCGGTGGTGTGACCGGCAGGGGAGCTGACATCAGCATCTGTGTCTGTGAGCGTGGGGAGGCCTTTGCTTCCGTCAAACAGGGTGCATGGCAGAGCTCCCTGGGAGTGGGGCTCTGCTATCTCCGCAGGGTCAAGTGAAAGCCTGAGAGGCCACGAAGTCCCCACGGTGCCAGTTGGAAATTTTCTGTGTGCACCCACAAATTTTAACATCTCCCTGTGCTCTCCTGAATACTCGCCCAGGGCTATTTTTTTGGTCTCCGACTGATGTCAGGTGGAGCTGCCTCTCTCTGAATCATCAGTAGAGCACCTGGCCTCCTGCACGGGGACTGGCCAATTCACCCCTCCAGGGGCTGCCATACTGCAATGAGAATGCGGATCCATTAAGCCTGGTGGCCCCATCCGCACCAGATGTTTCTCTTCCTGGAATCTTTTCCACCAGGCTTTCACGAACCTTCCTGTCATCCTCTCAGCAGTTTGCTTAACCTTATTAAAAGGTTTGCCCCCTGAGGGCCACTGGACAGGCCCCATGGGTTATGTCTGCCTTGTTCCTCAAGTGCTCAAGAGCACGTTTAATCTCACTATCCTTTGGGGCCCCTCAAGTGCTGGCCATGGAGCTGAGCTCAGGATTCAAGGACTGCCCCCCATCATTTCTAGGGATGTGATGTGGGTGACAGGCTCAGCATCTCTGCCTTTCTTCTGTCCAGACTGAACAGAATGAAGATGCCACACCTTCAAGAGGCTGCTGTGAGGAGCCCCCGAGGCAAGGCACGGGAAACCCCTTTGTAAAATGTGGAGTGCGGTGGCTATGCCATTCTGGAAGAAAAGCTGCGAGCAGTGGGTCCCTGCTCTGCCATTTATCAGCTGTGTGGCTTTGGGCCAGTTACTTACCCTCTCTGGGCCCTAGCTTCCTCCTCTGTAAAATAAGGATCAGACACCTACCTCTTGGGATTGCTCGAGTCATCAGCACTTTACACTCGATACACGGTGACTGAGTATGAAGGTCTCTTTAGCTGTCTAAAGATTCTAAGAATGGTATGAAGTTTCAACCTTTAAGTCGGGTGACTCTGCAATCCCAGCGATGTTGTGGAGAGTGCCCACAGCCCAGGTCAGGGGCCCGGTGCTTCTGCTTTCCCTGATCTGCCCGTGGGTCGTAGTGGCGCTGCCTTCTGCTCTCTGTCCTTGCCACCTGAGACTGAGTGCCTGGAGCTAGGCATGGTTCTTGCCTGCTTTGCCTGAGATGCTGTGTGTCCAGGCAGTCTTTGTGAACATTTTGGGGTGGGGGTCTGAGCACGTGCCCACCAGGATGCAGACCCGCCTGGAGATGTCTGGTGAGGATATCGACCAACTGCCCCTTGACCCTGAGGCAGCACAGGGCAGACCTGCCCAGGGGAAGAAAGAAAAAGGTTCTTTCCCAAGAACAGAGCCAGGGGCTCTTCCAGAGGGAAGGACTCCTGCCCCCAGCGTGAGCGGGCTCCTCCCAGCCAGGCCCTGAAGCGAACATCCCTGAACCCCTAAAACGCGTGGGGGCATTTCAAAGAGGGCTGAGGTGCCATGGGGACCAAAGTTAAAAACATGCAGTTAATGCTCTTAAAACAATACCACAAGCCTCACACCCACTAGGATGGCAACTATTTCAAGCAACAGAGAATAACAGAGGAGGCAGAGAAACTGGAAGCTGTGAACAGCTGATGGGAATGCGGAATGGCGCAGCCGATGGGAAAAGCAGCGTGCGGCTCCTCAAAACATTCAACCTAAAGTTGCCATCTGGTCCAGCAGGTTCATGGAGACATTTGCACACCAGGCTCACAGCAGCATTATTCCCAACAGCCAAAAGGTGAAAACGACCCAAGTGTCCATCGACTGACGAATGGATACGCAAAACGTGATGTATCCATAAAGGGGAGTCTTATTCAGCCTTAAAAAGGCAGGAAACTCTGACATGTTACAACATAGATGAACCTTGAAGACACTATGCTAAGAGCAATGACCCAGTCACAAAAGGACAAATACTGCACGATTCTTGAGGTCCCTAGAGAATCAAATTCTTACAGACAGAAAGTAGAGTGTGGGTTGCCAGGCTGGGGGAGGGAAGGAATGGGGCGTTAGCATTTAATGGAGACAGAGTTTCAGTTTGGGAAGATGAGAAAGTCCTGGAGATGATGGTGTGGCACCTACACAGCAGTGTGAATGTACCACTGCATGGAACACTCAGCAAATGCCTATGCTTGCAAATTTTATGTTATGTGTATGTATTTTACTACCTTAAAAAAAAAAAAAAACAAACGACATCATGAGTCCTGGGGAAACTCGAGTCCTGGTTTTTTAGTATCTAATGGAATAAGTGGTGGAAACTTTTATAAAATATTTCATTAAAGGCGGTTTTATCTTTGGAGGAAATCCGGATTTTCATACGTGAATTTGCTTAAGAGTGCTCTACTGGTGTTCCAGCTTACCTTTGGGTCTTTCTTATTTGTAGATGGCACATTTATTCACACCAAATATTCTTGATTTTGAAACTAATCAATGAGTCACAAGAATACATGGATACCTACCACATGGCAGGTAGAGTGAAAGAAACAAAAGCAGAAATAACACATATGCTTATGTGTTATGGTTCAAGGGCTGAACTGTATCTCCTCTTCTCCACATTCCTATATTGAAACCCTAACCCAACTGCCTCAGAATGTGATGGTATTTGGAGATAGGCTTTTTAAAAATCGATGAGTAAAGTGAGGTCGTATGGGTGGGCCCTAGTCCAATATAACTGGTATTCTTGAAGAGGCAACGAGGACATAGACACACACAGAGGGACGACCACATGAGGACACAGGGAGAAGGTGGCCATCTATGAGCCCAGGAGAGAGACCTCAGGAGAAACCGACCCTGCACGCAGCTTGATCTGAGGCTTCCAGCCTCCAGAACTGTGAGGCAATCAACTTTTAAGTTTTCAGCCACTCGCCTGTGGTATTTGTTCCAGTAGTCCTAGGAAACGAATACACTATTCCATTTCCAAAATACTCCTTAAATCCTTAAAGCAACCCTGCAAGGAGGCCTCACTGCCCTCTGTTTATAGACAAGGAAATCAGGGTTCAGAAGAATGGAGTCACTCACTCAAAGTCACACAGCCGGAGAGTGCCAGGCTGCCTAGGTCCTTGGCTTCTGACCCCGTGTGCTCTTTTGGAAGTTCTGCCCCGAGGGTGGGAAGAGCGTGAAAGTACAGGAGTCCCCCTTATCCACAGGGAATACATTCCAAGACCCCCAAACTATCTAGATGCTCTGAACTGCAGATAGTACCGAACCTTGTATACACTGTTTTTCCTATACACACATCTCTATGATGCAGTTTAATTTATGAATTAGGCACAGTAAGAGATTAACAACAATAACTAAGAATAAAATAGAAAATTATCACAATATACTAGAATAAAAGTTCTGTGAATGTGGCCTCCCTCTCTCTCTCTTTCTCAAAATATCTTATTGCATGTAATATTTTGGGACCGCAGTTGACCGCTGGTAACTGAAACCTTAGATAAGGGGCCACTACTGTAGACAAAACAGATCACAGCAGCAAAGAGAGAACAAAGCTCTGAACCGCAGAGCTAGAAGCCCGAGGCAGGGGAGGTATGGCAGAGGCCAGGGAAGCCCGGCTAAGGGGGCTTAGCTGGGATCGGGGTCTCTGGAGGCCCTTCTTTGGGGGTTATTATAGCCCTAATGAGAGCTAACATTTCTGAGCATTTAGCATAAGACAGGCACTCTGGTAAATGCTTCCTGTGAGCTGCTTTGTGCAAACCTCGCAGCAAGCCTACAATGCAGGTGTCAGCATTGTGCCCATTGCACAGATGAGGAAACCGAGGCTCAGAGAAATGAAGCAAAGTCTCCGAGGTCAAACATCCGGGGAGAGGAAGTGCCTGATTTTGAAAGGTCTGTCTGACTCAGAGACCCTGCTGTTGCTCACTTCACAGCAACGCTGAGGGTGTGTCCTGGCTCTGGAATGGAGGAATGGAGGCAAAGGGAAAGGCACCAGCTCCTTCACAGGCAAGGAGAGGTCTGGGGTTCCCAGACCTGGGCTGCCCCCTTCACCAGAGCTCTGGGTGTCGGGACAACAATCATATGACCCGGATGGCTCAGGCATGGGCCCCCCGGCAATGTCCTCATATGTGCAGTTTTATGGTTGGGAGAAGGCCGACTCCAGGCCATGAAATACCCTCCCTCCCACAAGGAAGGCAAAGCCCTAGAGCAGGAAATGAGGCTTTCGTCCATTCATGCGCTCTCTGCCTCCTCTCTCCATCTCTCTTCCCCCCCACACTCTCACATTTCACTTTCTGGCTGAGAATTGACTGAGCTCCTCATCCTTAATAGACATATTTATGTCCCGAACAAGAACACACCAGGATACAGGTTCAGCTCCGGGCACCATTCGGGCAAGTGCGACCCCTCGTGGAGAAACTCTCCCTCATCCTTCAAGATCTCCAGCCTCATCTTTCCCAGGAAAACCAAGCCGGAGGAGAGGTGGGTGTCCTTGCCTGAGAACGTGCCTCTGAGAATGTGCTGGTCTTCTGGGTTTCTTTTCTAATTTCCGCAGGTTGCCACTTGCATACCAGAGCTGGAAAAAGCCACAGGCATCTGCTGGTCCTGGAGTTTCAGGACCTGAACATCAGCCTGGCCCCCAGGTACTTGGAGCCAGGCCCGCTGGGATGGAGCACTTCCGACCTCACACAGCCCTGCCCAGGGGTTCCCAATCCGGGATCGACATTAGCACCAGCTGGGGATGTTTAAAGTATGCTGAGGCCCTGGATAAAGTATGCTCACCCGGAACCCTGGCACTGGCACTTTTTAATGTGCCTCCCCCCACTCCAACCCCATTCTACCCAAGGTGACCCTAGTGAGTAGCCAGGGCTGAGAACTGCTGGTCCAAGCTGGAAATGCTTGCACAGGAATCACTCAGGGTGCTTCTAAAAGAGGACGTTTCCGGATCCAGACTTCAACCCACTGAATCAGAATCTCCGTGGGAGAGGGAGAGGCTTTCGGCCTGCATTTTATTTTATTATTTATTATTACTTTTGTTTTTTGAGACTGAGTTTCATGCTTGTCGCCCAGGCTGGAGTAAAATGGCACGATCTTAGCTCACTGCAACCTCTGCCTCCCAGGTTCAAGCGATTCTCCTGCCTCAGCCTCCCGAGTAGCTGGGATTACAGGCACCTGCCACCACGCCCAGCTAATTTTTGTATTTTTAGTAGAGACGGGTTTCACCATGTTGGCCAGGATGGTCTCAAACTCCTGACCTCAGGTGATCCACCCGCCTTGGCCTCCCAAAGTGCTGGGATTACAGGCATGAACCACCGCGCCCAGCCTGCATTTTAAAACAAAAACTTGAGGTGACGTTGGCAAAGCACTGGGTGACTCATGTTTAGGGAATGACAGTGGGGTCCAGGGAGGTCAGGAGACAGTCTCAAGCCTTGCAACTCGAGGATAGCTCCCGAGTCATGGCAGCCACTTCAGAGGGGCTGCAGGGGCCGGGGAGGTGGTGTCCTGGCATATGGTCCCTGCTCATGAGGTGAAGGAAGGGCTCATTCCTCATCCCGTGATCTTAGCTCCCTCCTCAGCCCCACCCCACAGGAGCCCCAGCAGGTCAGCTTGGCCCTCCCATTCATGAGTCCCAGTGGCCCCCACTAGCAGGAGCCCCCACTGACCTTGTTGTCCCACGCTCCTGTTTACCCCCCACCAGCCACGTCCCCTGGCACCAGGTTCTTGGCCAGGCAGTTTCCTCCTTCCAGCACCCTGGTGTGACCAGGTCCTGGGGGAGATCAGAGGCCCCACAATTTCTGGAGCCCCACTGTATGGGACAGAGTTCCACCTCTAGGTTCCTCCACCTCCAGCATCCTGGAGCAGCTGGGGACACCTGTCCCTCTGGGCTCCTCAGCGAGGCCCCAGGTCTGCCCCCCCCAGACCTCCTTAAAGTGCTGTGCTCCCATCCAGTGCTTGCCCACGGTCAGTGGGGGCTGTGAGGGCCAAGAACTGGCTGAGAGGAGCCTGGTGGCATGGAGTCTGTCCGTTTCATCATCTGCAGAAACAGCTTCGTGGTAGTAATGGTGATGCACCCACCCCAGGCTGCTGGAGAATCCACACACTGTAGGGGATCACGCTATGTGAACCGCATCCTTCCTGGCTGGTGGCTGTCCTCACCCAGCACCCCTGCAGCGACTGCCCCCTTTCTGGGGGTTCTCCCACCAAGTCCCCACTCTAATCCTCTGCTGCCCAGACCTGCAGTTTCCCCCACCTACGCCCCCATCCTACCGCTTAAGAGGGGTGTGTGTGAGCACTTTCTGCCTCAGTTTCCACCTCTGTACTGCGGGTGGGTATAGTCCTACCTCGGGGTGTTCTCACAGTCAGAGGAGTCAACACTGACAAGCTGGGTGGCAAGGGTTCAAGGGGAAGGAAGCGGGTGCACAGGTGGAGCCAGGGGGCTTTCAAGTGGGGGACCCAGAACGGTAGGTACAAGTCTCTGCACTTTCCTCTACACCTACGGCATGTACAACAGGCAGCGAGAACCTGGATGCAAAAGGTGGGCTTCGGTTAATGATATTTTATCAGTATTGGCTCATCAGTGATAACAAATGCACCACCATTGCACGATGTTAGTAATAGGGGAAATGGGCGAGATATGGAGACTGTCTACTTAATTCCCACTTTTTTTTTTCTGTAAACCTAACTGCTAAAAAAAAAATCCTTCTATTAAAAACAAAACAAAAACATGCCAAGTGAAGAGCCTCCATGCATTGGGAGCCGCCGACGTTCCTCGCTTTTACGCCCCATCGTCACCCGATCCTTGTTTATGCACCTGGCCTGGGGACTCGGAGCCTCTGGAGCTGGGCTCGCGTCCTAGCCGTCCCCAAAGCGCCGGCCCACAGCGTCAGCCCCTGGCTTTTCCCCGCCCAGAGCTCCCGGCGCGGGCCCGAGCCACGGATTTATGAGGCCACAGCGCCCCCTGCGGGCCCCGCTCAACCGCCGGGAGCCCAGACCACGCGGGACTCCCTGGCTGCGCCACGCCCGCGCCCCGTGCTCGTCCTGCACGCGATGTCCAGCTTGTCGCAGGTAACGACACGGAACAGCTCGAACGCTCGTGACTTTATTGCAGAAAAGCCCCGCAGTGCTGGAGCGCAGCCTAGGCTGGGGTTGCCCCTGCTGGCGTCCGCGGGACCCAGTCTGGCTTCTGTAGCGGGGCAGGGCGGGGTCCACGCAGGGCGCAGAGGCGGGGACGCGGCCAGCACGGGGGGTGCCCAGCACGGGGGCCTTACTTGATGACAGTCGCTTACCAGTCCTGAACACCTTACTGGGGCTTAGTACTCCGGATGACCGTGCGAGGTCACTGTTACAGCCCTCTACAAATGAAGCGGCACAGAGAGGCCGCGTAACTCGCCCGGGGGTGCAGTCGGTGAAGGAGTCCGTCCGGGGACCCCCTGCGAAGCTGCCTCTGCCCACTGGATTCCGGGTCTGAGAAAAGGGCACAGGCGACACCCCGCCTTCGCGGCCCGTCTGGGATGGCACGGAAGTCGGGGTCGTCCGCGCAGAGGTGGGCACGGGGCGCAGGCGGGCGCGGCCGGCTAGGGCTGCAGCTCGTACTGCCGCTCGGTGGCCGTGTAGAAGTCCTCCAGCACCGACTGCAGGAACTCGAAGGTGGGCCGCTCCTCGGGCCGGCTGCGCCAGCACTCGGCGATGACGCCGCGGTACAGCTCGGGCGGGCAGGTGTCGGGGCGCGGCATGCGGTAGCCGCGCTCCAGGTTGCGGATGACCTCGGGGTTGCTCATCCCTGCGGCAGAGGAGACCGCAAGCGGGGGTGAGGGGCTGGGGTCCTCGGTGGGTGGGGGGCCCTGAGCGTCCCGCGGGGCACAGTGGGCCCAGGCAAGGGACAGCAGTGCCCACAGTCCCAGACCACTTCTCCAGCCTCGTGCGTTGCCTGGCTGCCCGGTCTCTAAACAGCCCTTTATTTACTTTTTATTGCCTGGGGAATGCCTAGAAATGAGGCTGTAGATTTTCTCCTGAGTACGGGGCAGGTCCTCTGAAGATGGGACCCTCCCTCTCTTGATTACCTGTGACCACCAGGGGCACAGCCAAGCCCATCACTCATGGGCAGCTGCCAGGTGCACACAGCAGCAGGTGACCCGGAGCCTGCCCACCTGTGGGGGCCAAGTGGCTGGAGCCCTTCGACTGGGGCTGGGGGCTGTCGTCCACGATTCTGGCCACACAGGAAGGGGCTTTGGGGAATCCACTATGGGTGCAAAGCCAAGGTAGGCACAACCTGTCCTCAACTGAGAACAAGCCATTGGGAGTAAACTTGAGTTCGGATGTGCCCTTTGTCTTGATTTCAGTTTGAGGGACTCATTTGACCTCTGCTGGAGGAAGGAGACACAGCCCTGTGGCCCAGAGCAATAGTGATGCAGGGGGCAGAGCTCCACCCCAGATGCCATGCCTGGGTCTCCGTCTTCGCTCTGGGACTCACTCTGAAAAGAACAGGGCAGCCACAGGCACCAAGCACAGGCGACCTGCCATCAGGGCCGGCCGGGAAAGCAGGGAGCCGCGAGCTGCGGGGTGAGCCACCTACCTGGGTATGGCACCCGCCCATAAGTGACAACTTCCATCAGGAGGACTCCAAACGACCACACGTCTGCTTTGATGGTGAAGACCCCGAAGTGGATGGCTTCCGGGGCTGTCCACTTGATGGGGAACTTGGCCCCTGTGGGAAAAGCCATGCAAGCTTTGGGAGGCCACGGCCGGTGGCCCCTACCCTCCATCCTCACCCCTACCCCTGCTCCTGCTGTCCTTCCATCAAGCCCCCACTGCGGGGCCTCACAGGGCGGGGCGGCCAGGCATGGCGGGGGAGCCACTACCGCACACCAGGACACATGACCAGGTGAGTGCAGACACGACATCAGCAGCACAGAAAGACGATATGGACACCAATACCACACAGTCACCCACTTTGGTTCTTTAAAAAGAGAGCGATGGCCTCAATGGGCAGCCACCACGTTTCCACCTGGGATGGAAGGGGCCTGTTTCACCTTACAGGGGCCTTGTTTAATTTAAAAGACATGGCCTGGGCAAGCCATTTAAACCTGCGGGCGCCTCCGTTAGTCCCTTCCTGCAAAATGGAAATGGTGACACTTGTACCTCCGAGGGCCGCTATGAGGAAGAACTCACATCCGGCTGCCCTGTGAAGCACCTCAATGGCTGCAGCCCCGGCCAGCATTTGGAGCAGACCTCAGGGCTTGGCACTTCACAGCCTCCCCTGGCCTCCATTTCTCGGTCTCCCCAGCCAGCCTGAAGTTCCCGAGAGAACAAGCCATATCCTGTCTGCTTGTCATCTGACTCATAGGCTCAGCAGACACTGCTTGCTAGCTTGATAAATATATGTGACCCCTTCAGATTCTCTTGTGACGTAGATTTCCACCTCAGTTATATGCACAGAGTAAAACAGTGCTCCGTGGACACCCTAATACAGGTTGGTTTGCTGATCGCACATGAGAGCTGTGTTTCCCACAGTGTGCTCTGTGAAAGCCTAATTCCATGGAAGGTTAATAGGGACTATATAAAAATAGTATTTGGGCATGGCTTACACCTGTCATCCCAGCACTTTGGGAGGTCAAGGCAGGCAGATCACCTAAATTCAGGAGTTCGAGACCAGCCTGGCCAACATGGTGAAACCCCATCTCTACTAAACATACAAAAATTAGCCAGGTGTAGTGGCACACGCCTGTAATCCCAACTACTTGGGAGGCTGAGGCAGAAGAATTGCTTGAACCCAGGAGGCGGAGGTTGCAGTGAGCCAAGATTGTGCCACTGCACTCCAGCCTGGGTGACAGAGACTCCATCTCAAAAAAAAAAAAAAAATAGTATTTGGAGCTCAAATTAGTTTGGGAGGCACTAGGTGAGGCAAACATAAACTGTTTCTTTGCTGCAGGACTTCTCAGTGCCTTTAATATGTTGATGTGCACTGGGAATCTCCAAGACAGGGAGTAGGGTGGACTGCTGTTTCTCCAAACCTACCTTATCCTAAAGCTGTTCCTCCATGGGAGGTCTCAGGGCACTACCATTCTGCTGAACACATTTGGGTAAATGAAGGAAATGCTGATCTAGAGCTGTAGAAACCGTATAGCCCTCAGGTGTCTTCCCTCAGGGCTGTGCTGGGAGAAGTTAAAGGCGGCTTTGAGGAGCTGGGAAAGATAAGGCCCTAGGTTTCCCTTGTGGTTAGGGGCTGTGCTTACCCTCTTGGGCCGTGTATTCACTGTCGATGATTCGAGCCAAGCCAAAATCAGCAATTTTGCAGCACAAGGCCTCAGACACCAGGATGTTGGCCGCCCGCAGGTCGCGGTGGATGGAATTCATGCGCTCAATGTATGCCATCCCTTCAGCAATCTGAGGGAACAGGCACATGGTGAAGGACAGCCTGGGGGCCTCCACGCCAAGACCGAGCCCACACTGTGTCCCCCGCACAGCCCCTGTGGGCTGCTGGGGAAGGAGCTGTTTCTTGGATGGAGTAGAAAGGTGACTGTGTTGCTCCTCAGCCGAATAAACTCCTCTCCTAGAAGCCCAGAACAGCAACGCAGCAACGTGGGCATCAGAGACACAGGGGCTACCTGTGCCCCTCCCCCTCCTCGTTCTCGCTCCACACAGCTGTGTCCAAGGGTCTGCAGAGATGGAAGATAGAAGAACACAGGCAGGAGAAAAGGAGAGGGAGGGAGAAGAGAAGAAATGGTAAGGAAGGAGGGGGAGGGGGAGCAGGAGGCAAGGACAGGCAGCTCTCACTGGCTGGCTGGAAGCACAGCTCCTGGAGCTGGAGGCCCTCGGGAAGTCGCTGACCTCTAGCAAGCTGCTTAACCTCCCCGAGGGGCCACAGTCCTGACATGGAACATGAGGGATGTGGTCTCCAGGGCAGGGGGTTGAGGCAAGCATTAGACGAGGTTGATTTGTGACCAAGAACCTCACCCAGCGCCTGCCCCGTGGGGGCACCCAGGGAGCACTGGCAGATCCAGGTGGACAGAGGCTGTGAAGAAGAAGAGACTTGTCTCTCCTCCCCTGATCACCAGCCTGGGCCAGGGATAGCAGCTGGTGCTACTTGGCACCTTTTAGCTGAGGAAACTAAGGCTTTATTCACCCAATCAATGGACGAAGAAACTGAGGCAGAAAGCAGAGACCCCATTTACCTCTTCAGACATGCGACTTCAAGAAGCCAGCACTAGAATTGATTCCACTTCTCCTTATGCTTGCATTTTGTTGGTTTATCTATGAATCCATCCATCTATCCATGCATCCATCCATCCATGCATCCATCCATCCACCCACCCATCCATCCATCAACACATCCATGCATCCATCCATGTATCCATCCATCCATCCATCTATGCATCCTTCCATGTATCCATCCATCCATGGATCAATCCATCCATCCACCCACCCACCCACCCATCCATCCATCCACCCATTCATCCATCCATGCATGCATCCATCCATCCATCCATCCATCCATCCATCCATGCATCCATCCACCCACCCACCCACGCATCCACCCATCCATGCATCCATCCATCCCCTTGCTACACCATGCAATCAATACTCATTTACTAATATGGGACTGTGGGGAATATAAAACTGAGTACTAAATATATCTGGGCAGCATCTAACAGTACTCGTTCTGATAACTAATATTTATTGAACAGTACCAGAAATATATTTTAAAAAATGTTGAGTAGGGCCCAGATCTGCTTTCAAGAAGAAGCTGCCCAGATCTGCTGAGCAAGAACAGTGCTTCCGGGAACACCTGAGCTAAGGGCTCTCTGGCAGTTTCTTGTCCAGGGAAACCTTCATAGAAATGACATTACGCTTGAGCCATGGATGATGATAAGGATTCTGCCAGGTGGGAAGTGTTCAAGGCTTCCTGGGCAGAGGAGGCAGAGGGGTGGCGAGGCATGGGGCATGGGAACCGGTGGCATCTGGCTGCAAAGTGGGGCCCGAGGGATTGTGATTGCAGGGTTCCTGTGGGGTTGGCCAGATCTGGCATTGGAGGAAAGGTCTGGCGAGACTTTGCATGGCTTCCTATGGAGTAAGAAAAGAAGAGCCCAGAAGGGCCGGGTGTGTGTCTGCTCATGTGTGTGTAAGTTTGCGTGTTTGTGTGTGTGTTTGTGTGTGTGTTTGTGAGTTTGTGTAAATGTGTTTGTGTGAGTTTGTGTTTGAGTCTGAGTCTGTGTATTTGTGTGTCTGTGTGAGTTTGTGTGTGTGAGTCTGTGTGTCTGTGTGTGTGTGTGTGTCTGTCTGTGTGTGAGTTTGCATGTCTGTGTGAGTCTGTGTATGTGTTTGTGTTTGTCCGTGTGTGTGAGTCTGTGTTTTTATGTGTGTGAGAGTGTGTGTGTGTACATGTGTGCTTAGAGAGCCATTGGCATGGTCAGCATGTGGTTAGAGGCTGCCCTTCTGGGAAGTTCTGATTTTCTGGCTCCTCACCCCCGATTCTGTGGCTACATCCAGGTATTAAACTCCGATGGCTTTTCACATCCTTTGCCCCTGGGTCACATGAGATTTTCCAAGGGGGTGTAGTGGGGATTGAATAGGAGACAGCGGAGGGTGAGAGAAGGAAGGGGAAAGGAAGCAGCAGCAGTGGGCAGGCTTATCACTGCCCTGGGGTTTGAAGCCGGTTACCAGCACTCATTTTCCAAAACCAGCCTGCCCAGATGGCTGTCTGCCCACCTCAGCGGAAAAAGGCGTTGTGGCATCAGTTCCTGCAGCGGCACTACTGGGTAAGGCTGGGCGAGGGGCGAGGTGGGAGGGCTGATGTGGGCGGTGGGTGGGAGCGTTTCCTCTCGGTGGCAGCTGTATGTGTGTGTGTATGTGTACGCACGTGTGTGCCTCACAGGCTGACCACAGACCAAAACTTTTCTGCTGAGAGTTCCAGTTTTAACAGGGCCACCAGATGTGCTTCCTGCCAGCTAGAGCTCTCGGCTAAAACCCTCCTCTCCACTCTGCTCTTCACCCCATGGAGTCCAGAAGGTTCTGCATGTGAACGTGAGGGACACTGAGGACCAGTCCTGGGTAGCCGAGGAGGTCCAGCACTCGCAATTCCCTGGTGGCAGAAGGTGGGGCTGTCCTCCAGGGCTCAGAGAAGTCATGTCCCTGGCATCTGTGTGTAGCTCAGGCCTGCCCATCAGCCTGGGGTCGACGCCAGGGCTGTGCAAAGGCTGAGGGCCCCTGGGATGGGAAGTCCTACAGGAGATGTTTGTGGGCACCATCTAAGGAAGAGATGAGGTCACAACAGAACACACTTGCCTGCCGGGTTCAATGGAACTCTTGCTAACTCTGTGTGTTTCCCATGACATTCATTCGCCCTCTCTTCCTTCGGAACAGAATAACCTCATTCCAACACAGCTGCCCGGGTCTAAGGCTCCATTCCCTGGGCTCCCTCACAGCTGCGTGGGGCAGGAGGCACAGTGGCCAGGGTTTGCAAGTCCAAGTGCAGTGGGTGACCTTGGGGATATCTGCCTAGAGGAAGGTGGCCTTCAGTACCCCCTGACTTCTCCTGCTGGCTGAGAGGATGGGGTGGTAAGGCACGAGCAGCCATTGTGGACAGCAGGTGGCACATGCCGCCCTTCCTCTGCACCTGGTACTTCACCAACCTGCGCCGACATGTCAATCAGCCTTGGGAGTGACAATCTGCTCCCTTCATCTGTCTTCAGGAAATCCAGCAGGCATCCTAAGAAAAGAGAAGTTGCAAGTGCCCTTCTGCAAAGTGACCCGCCCCTGGTGGTGCCAGCCTCTCTCTGGTGTGAGTGGCTCCCCATGGGCGCGGGAAGTGGGAGTTTGCACCCTCAGATCTCTCGGTGCATCAGGAAGGATCTACCTACTGCTGCCGAGTGCCTTCCACTTTACAAAATGCCAGTCTCAGCACCCCGGGAGGCAGCCAATATACCAGCAGTTGCCCAGAAGTTAGGTTTCAGCCAGGTGCAGGGACCTGTCTGAAGTCACCCAGCCGGGAGCTGCGAGTGGGACCCCAGTTCTGACTCGAAGTTTCATGCCCCTTCTTGTCTTTCCCCCCGTGTTGGCCTCGCTCCCTTGATCCCTGCTGGCAGACACCCTCTGCCTCTGAGGACCAGGCATCAGCAAGAAAGCACCAGAATGGAGAGAACTGTCCCCCAGGTTTGGTGCAGGGGACAAATGCAGCTCCCCCTGGAATCAGAAAGCTGGGAGGGATGGATGCTTGCCCTAGGGGCAGGCTAGAGGCACCCCCAGCACAGCCTCCGACCGGGGGCCCCTTGGTGACAGTTGTTAGGGAGCTATATCAACATGGGCATGTTAGGATCCTATAGGAGCAGTGTGCGGTCAGGGTCATAGGAGGGTGAGAAAGTGGCATGAGAACTTGGCCACGCCGTGGACCTCAGAGGCCATCAAGCCCAACCTCTCTGGCCATCCTTGTAAAATATTCACACAGTTGTAAATGGTTGCATGACCAGGAGGCAGGAGACCTGGATCTAGTACTGTCCCTGCATGCCTGGCCTGGTGTTCGTTTGACTTTGCAATGCTCTGTCCCTCCCAGCAGGCATCAAAGAGTGCTAGGCACAGAAGATGCACTCCAGAAATGCTGTCTGAACTGCTCCTGGGCTGAGAACATGGCTCTGTCAGAACCACTTCACCCTCCTGTTTCTCACCCTCCCTCTGTCCCTCCCCCTCCCTCCATCCCTCCCTGTCCCCACACCGTGCCATGCCCTAGATCTGCAGGACCCCCGGCCTGGTGAACCCACCGCAGCGGACCCTCCTCCTCCTGCTAAGCCCGGCCCTCCCGCCTCGCTCTGAGGATGCGGCTCTGCGGGGGGCACCACCTCTGGCCATGTACTCGGTGACAATGTAGATGGGCTCCTTGGTGACCACTGCGTAGAGTCGGACCAGCCGCTCGTGCTGCAGAGCCTTCATCACGTTGGCCTCACCCAGGAAGGCTTCTGGAGACATGGTTCCCTCCTTCAGCGTCTTAATGGCCACCTTCATGTTGTTTTTGTAGTAACCTGAGCCCGGGGGAGTGAAGAAGCCAATCAGAAGACAGAGAGCTTGCTCGGAGGTGATCCCTTAACCAAAATCGGGGTAAGTGCCCAGGTGCCACCCCATTCCAGGTGCCAGAGCTGGAACATGCAGTTCCGGAGGCCATGGTTGTGTGGTGCCTACCTTGCGTTCCAGGTCCCTTCTATATGGGGCCTCAGGCAGTGGAGGAATGTACCCTGCCTGGGGGGCATTTCACCTATTTGCCCCACACCCTGGGCCTGTGTCCTTCTGTCCTGCACGGAACCTGTGTCCTTCCCCCACCCCTCCCCTACATAATGAGTCTCTTCTATCACACAATAACTCCTTGGTGGAAATAAGCACACAGCCTGGGGTACACTGGGCAGGAGGATGACGCATGGGGGTCTCCTTCTCTCCTTCTGAAGCCCCATGGCGATCCTGTCCCACTCCTTAAACTATCTGTATCTCCACACTCTCCCTGTACTCCATGAAGTCCCCTGAAGGGCAAAAGACAACTCTACTTGCTTTTCTAGAGGACATGGGCCTTGGCAGGGACCTGGGTACAGCTCCTGCCAAAAGCACCGTGGGCATCAGCCCCAGGTAAGGGAGCACTCATGGACCAGCCCCAGGTAAGGGAGGACTCATGGACCAATCCAGGGATAAAACGGAACACGAGTTTTATATCCTGGTGGGCGGGGGGGGAAGGGGGCAGGTGTCAGCAGCGATGGAAATGTGAGGACACCAGGCCTGGAGCTTCAGTGACTTGGCCAAAGTCCCACGGCTGCCCTCGGTGTGCACTCAGGCTCTGGAACATCATGGCTCATCACGTTTAACCTCCTGTTTCCATCTGGGTGATGAAAAGCTAAGGGGAGTTAACGCGCCGCTGCAGCTCATTGTCAAAGCCAGCTTCAGGCAGAGAACGAAGGAGGGAGCGACTTCGGGGCTGGGTGAGCTGGATTCTGTTCCTGCTCTGCCACCACCATAAGCGGTCCCAGCTGTTACAACGCGGCTCTGCACCTCCACTTCCTCCTCTGTAAAATGAGTGTCCTCGCCTCTGTCCTCGCTCCCTCTCAAGACTTCTGGGGGAGGGATGACACGCTATGAAAATGCTGAACCTGGACTCAGGATGCGGCGCAGGTGGAATGGGGGGAGAAATGCTCCCACGTGTGCACACACTCACCCATCCAGACTTCGCCGAATTGTCCAGACCCGAGTTTCCTGACCAGCCTGAGAGACTGCCGGGGGATCTCCCATTCATCCTGGGCCCAGGGATTCTGCGGGGCCGGGCGCACACAGGGCAGGGTCAGCCTCTGGCATAGACCATCCCCCTTCTCTGCATTAGGGAAGAAAAGACAGGGCTGGGGGTTACCAGAGCAGCCAGGCTCTACCTTGGGAGCTGTATCATTCCTAGCTGGCCCTCCACTCCCCAGCCACCCCACCCCCTGCATGGGTGTGTGCACACGCCTGCACATGCACACACACTCAACTCTTTCTCTTCGTTTGCGCAAAGCAGGGCATGCTATCTCTAAAATCGACCTGCTCACTCTAAGACTGAAAATGCTTGCTACTCTCTAAGGGGTTCCCTGCTGAGCCAGGAGAGGGAATTAGGGCCACCAATTCCCGGTGCTCAGAGTTGCTACCTCCTTAGGCCTAACTTTGGGATAATCTTTCCATCCCCCAAGGTGGCACCAATGACTCACACAATTGGGAATCTTAGCGAGAGATCCAGGGGCTCTTGGCACAAGTCCCTGCCCCCATTGCACGCCCCCTCTTACTAGAATAGTGCTGCACCAGGGCCTGGAGCGAGGGGAAGGTGATCCGGGGGGAGATGTAGTAGCCCCCTTCATCCAGGCAGCGGATCTTATAGTGCTTGATCAGCTCCCCCTGGGTGGTGACATCCTTCACAGACAGGGAGAAGGCACCTGGAGGGTTCATGAAGACACACACGAGAAGTAAGGCACAAAGACAAAAAACGGGACTGGGATTTGGGCCTCATTTTAAAGCTTTGAAAAAAGTTCCCCAATTCTGTTCTTCATTATCAGCACTCCCTCCACAAGTTTCCTTTCCCTGCATCTCAACCTCCATGCTTTTGGAAGCCTCCCCTGTAAGTTCCATCTGACTCTGACCTTGGCATCCCCCCACTATCCTGCAAAACTCAGCCAGGGAATCACAGAGCCCTGCGGCAGGCAGCACAGTTTCTCAGCAATCATGTAGGTCCCCACTTGGGCATCTGGTCACTCGGGGACCCTTTGTCATGGACTATTGAGAAATCTAGTCTCGTTGGAGTGACTAGGGGCTTTATTTTCTGGCTAAAGAGGGTATCTCTTACTCCTACAAGCAGATAGCCATTTACAGCTGCAAGTACCCATGTCCATGGCGGACACCGTAATAAGCTATGCCCAGGGGCTCTGTTCAAAGTCATTTGCTGCCTGTTACATACACCTGTTATTTTGTCTTCTAGGTTAATGTTTTCCCGCAGGCAAGTGGTAGCAGATGTCAAGGGTTAAGGACAATTTAGGAGGTAAGAATTTCCAGGTAAGAAACGCTTTTCCATGAACTTGATGTTTTTATAAAATGCGTCTGTCCAGCTACTTGGGTACCATGACCTTACCCCGCCCCTTACCCATTATATGGGAGATGAGGACGCTGGGGCCCAGCAGAGTTCGCGGCAGGCTGGGGGGCTCCCGGTTCCCCGAGTCCGCGCCTACCACGAGCAGTACCACGCCTCCCCGCCAGGGGTCAGGCACGGACCCCTCGTTCTCGTTGTGGACGCTTGGTTTTCCGCGGTCCTGTTTGACTTAAGGCTCTTTCCTCTCCTGTCAATTCCCCTGCCTCAACCCCCTTCCATCCTCCAGTTTCCCTCAGCCAATGTGCCTCTCTCATCACCTACTTGCAAAAGGACACCCAGAGGCGTACGCCATGCTGTTGCCACAGCCCCTCCACACCCCCACCCCAGCCTCAGCCCAGAGGCTGCAAACTGTCTCCCCGACCCTGCCCGGGTGCAGCTGTGCCCCCAGTCTCTAAGGAACCCGAGCCTGGCCTTAGGGAGTTCATTCATCAAGGGCTTTTCTCTCCATTTTGTAGGCTGCACTTGTGTCGGGTGCCTCGGGCGATGAGCCCAGGAGCCCGCTCTCCACGCAGTGACGCTTCCCAAGCTGGTGCTTTAGAGCCCTCACTTGCCTGGCTGCTCTGAGGCCCCGTCCCTGATGGCTTCTGACAATTTGGTGTCCTTTGTAAAGACGACCTCAGATCCTATCAGCTTCAGTTTCACAAAACCTGGATCCCCTGCCTCTGTGGTATGTCTGGACTGCCCTGGGCAGGCAGGGCCTGGCTCTGAGATGAAGATTTCTCAGCACTGAAGGACCGCCTGCCTTTGAGCTGTGAAACTAGTCTATCCTCACATAGACACCAGTAAACTGAGGCTTGAGAGGCTCAAGGACACCCCGGAGGCCACGAAGGGTAGAACTCACTCCCCTGCTTCCATCCCTGTCTTGCATTCACTGCTGTGGCTCGGAGAAGCAGAGGGGTCTTGCTTTGGAGTTGTGTGTGTGTGTGCATATGTACGTGTAAGGTGTGTACATGTGTTGCACACGTGTTCATTGCATCTGTGCATATGTGCACATGTATATGTGTGCATGTGTGTGTATATGTGCATGCGTGGACATGTGTATGTGTTTGCATGTGTATGTGTGCACACATGCCTGTGTATGCACATGTGTGTATATGTGTGCATTTGTGCATATGTGCATGTGTGTTCATGTGTGCATGTGTATGTGCGTGTGGTGGTGATGATGGTTGAACAGTCCTGCAGCCCTGGTCCCATATGGCCTATTCCCAGCTTGGACTGGCTTCCTGGGGTGGACATGGACAGGAAAAGATGCCAGACTCATAGAGAACCCCTTCTTCCTCCACACCAGATTGGGCAGGGGGTGGGGAGGCTTTCACCTTAGCAATAGGCAATGGTTGAAATATCATTTCCAGGGTGACATGACATGATGTTTGGGATTTACTTCGAAAGAACAGGGGTGGAGCGGGAGATACAGATGAAACAAGACTGGCTCAGTTGATAATTGTTGAAGCTGGCTGTTGGGTACCAGGGGTTCCACTAAACTATTTTCTCTACTTCTGTGTATGTTTGAAATGTCCTGGAACAACAATAAAACACTTATGTCATCTCCAGTGATTCCCAAATTATTTCTTGTACAGAGGTGCTCTGCCACAAAAATGAAATAGTGACAATATCCAATATGAATATAAATATAAAATGCATATATCTATGTGTATGTATATGTATGTATATGCATTCATTGGCATATTCCAAGAAATCCTGCACAGAGCACCCCAGCTTTCCAATGCACCCTTCCTGCTCCCCAACCTGGTCCTGCCCCTTTGTGGGGCACCAAGGCCTCATGATGTCCCCAGAGAATCACAGGGTGCTATGACAGCTTTTCATACTCTGGGTTTCCACTCTGGCTGCTGTTCTTGAGCCACAGATGGAACCAATGGACAGCCCAAGGGTGCTCCCACCAGGTGACAACTCTGTCCATTCTCATCGCCCCAACCACAGGGAACCAGACTCATATTCCAGACACTCTCTCTCCCTTTCCTCCTCTGATGTCACTGTCACCATCTCCTCTCCAGTTAAAATTGGCTACAAGGCTGTACCTGGTCCCTGTGGACAGCTTCCTGATGAGCAAAGCATTCTTCATACTGCCTGGGAAGCCCCTGGGTCACCCTAGCTTGCCACGTTGTAGAGCTTGGGAAGCCTCTCAGCCTCTTAGATGATGTGGTCACTGGTGCTTTGGGCTCTGATGCTTACTGTTGGCCCCCAGCAAGTCACTTCCTGTTTCAGGGGCTCCCTTTCCTCATCTGTCAAGTGGATTAGTATCTTACAGACGAAAAGCTAGTGGCCAGTGAGCACCAGGGACCATAATAGGGTTCGGTGCAACACATGCATTAACAGCCCCAAACTGGAAACAACTCAATGCCCACAACATGAGAATGGCTAACTTGACTCTGGAATGGTCACACCCGGGATTCTGTATAGCAATGAACATGAACAGGCTCACCATCCTCAACCACATGAATGAATCTGTTACTGGTTGAATCATGTGCGCTCCCAATTCATATGTTAAAGTCCTAACCCTCGGTCCTGAGAATGTGGCTATATGTGGAGACAGAGCCTTTAAAGGGGTGATTAAGTTAAAATGAGGTCATATGGGTGGGCCCTAATCCAAACTGACAGGTGTCCTTACAAGAAGAGATTAGGACACAGACATGCATGGAGGGACGGCCACGTGAGGACACAGAGAAGACGGCCATCGGCAAGCCAAGGAGAGAGCTCCCGGGAGGAGCCAACGCTGCTGACACTTTGGTCGTGGACTTCCAGCCTCCAGAGCTGTGAGATAATAAGCTTCTGTGGTGGAAGCCACCCAGTCTGTGCCACTTTGTTACGGCAGCCCAGGAAACTAACATAGAATCCCACAAACACTGCTGAGTGACAGAAGCAAGACACACAGAAACAAAAACAGTGATTCTATCTACATCAAGCTGAAAAAACAGACAAGACATGGTGGCGAAACCACAGAGAAGAGCAAGGAAGGATTTCCATCCAAGTCAGGACAGCAGGTAGCTCTTGAGGGTGGGGGTTGAATCAGGAAGGAGCCCAAGTGGGGGAGTGAGGGGGCTCCTGGTGGTCTGGGATGCTCTTTCTCTTGGCTGTCATTACACAGGGATTTGTTTATTATTACCCTATATGATTTAGAATTACACATTCATACTTCATGCAAGCTTTATATGTGTTTTATATTTTACACCAAAAAAATTAAGAAGGAAAGAAAGCCAAATGACAGAGAAAGAGAGAAAACCCCTGAGGGTGATGGCAGCTGTTTTGCTCAGTCAGTGGATTTGAACTCATGAGTGTCTAGACTGGCATGGGCTCCCCACAATTACCACCCTCTTCTCTTACATCACGGCACAGGCCACTTCCTAACATATGCTACCTGCAGCCTCTGGCTGAGATGATCTTGAAGGATTCTTTGAGCTCCCCCTAATCCTTGATTCCAAAGAGGCTGGTGGTTAAGGGCTCAGGGTTCCCCCTTCCCTGGCCCCCACTGGCCTCGGTGTTCCTGCTGACTGGGCAGCAGGGCCAGTCTGGCGTGGGACCACCCCTGTCCACCCGGCTTCCTGTGCCCAGGTGGTTTCCAGCCGGGACAGGGAGGACTGTGTGGACAGCCCCCATGTCAACTCCCGGGCAGGGCCTGAATTGGGAGGGACACAAGCCCGGAAGCTGCTGGTTCTCCTGGCAGTCACCCCTTCCCCTCTCACTCCAGGGCCAGGCCTCTGGAGGCGCCTTCCCGGGAGGAGCAGGGCAAGGAAGGCAGGCAAAGCCACCAAGCCTACCTTTGTTGGTTTCACTCTCTCTGATAAGAAAGGAGCCGGCCTTGTTGATTGGAGCAAGAAGCTGCCTCTCAGCCTCCTTCCGACCCTGTGATCTAAAGAACCACCTGGAAAACGGCAGGAACAGGTGAAACTCAGAGCGACCCTGCTCCTCGGAGTATTCCCACACAGCCTCCCTCCTGCACTGCCTGTCCCCAAGAAATAAAAATCTAGCATTTCTGGTCCCAGTCGGCCCTGAGCTGCTGCTCCTCACACCGTGATGGAGTCAGTGCCCTCTGCCCCGCTGCCCTTCCAGTTCCGCTTCCTGTCAGCCCTGGACTCACTGTTTTCCTAGAACGAAACAAGAACACTAGTTGGTTGACCTTTGTTAATTTTGCTTTGGAAAAATGCCCCTGATCACTCTCTCCAAAGCACAGCTGCGTATCACAGGCACGTGCCTCCTCCTTGCAGTCTGAGATCTGAATTAGGCAAACTGCCGAGACTCTCTGAGCAGGGACCCCAGTATGTCCCCTTCGGTATGGGGTTGTTCTGTGCAGGACAGCCCCACGGTTCCCCACACTGTTCCAGGGAAAGAAGCGGGGCCCACAGTGTCCAGAGAAGACTCGTTGCTGGGCCTCAGTCCTCAGGCAGAGCTAGTCCCTGTGAGCAGATTCGTGGGGGCTCTGGCTGGCCGAGTCCGAAATTCCCAGTGCCATGGGGACATGGGAGAAGATGGGGGCTGGGGGATTAGAAGATTGGGAGTATTAATCAGTTCTGAACAACGCCACCCTCCTGGGAGCCCCCGAGGGCTGAGCCCTGAGTCCTGCCCATGGAGGCTGTAGGGGAGGGGATGCTGGTCATAGTGCCTCCCTGGTAGCCTTCGAGGCCATCAGACACTGGGGCCGGTTCCATCCAGGGGAGCCAGGAGAAGGACCGCTCTTGTTTAGCTGGGAAGAGCGGCTTGCTCAGTGTCACACAGCAGTCTGAATGTCGTCTGGAGCCAGCAGAGAGGCCTTTCCCAGCAGAGCTCATTTCCTGTCCCCTCTTTGCTAGTGCCTGCAGGCTCCCTGGTCAGTCCCACTCTGGCCCTGCCCTGCCTAACAGCCCAGGGAGCAGAAACAGTGACTGCATCTTGGCTCGAGGGGGGTTCCCGTGCCCACCTACCTTTCCATTTCCAGGCTCTCCACTCGGGCCACAAAGTTGCTGGGCACATAGCCTTCTCTTCCTGTGACGAGTGACCTGGCCAGCCACCAGTCTCCAGTTCTAATGGGAGCAGGGGAAACAGAGATGAGATCATGGCCCCTGTAGGCCCGTCACTGGGCAGCTCTCAGGCCTCCTCAAAGTCATCTCTCCCTGGAGGGCAGAGAATCCGCAGGGGTAGAGAGTACGGCAGGCAGGAAGGGGCTTGTGCCCACTGCTCAGTGGTACAGTGGCTATCTGGGCAAGTTCTAGGGGGAAGAGCTTATCTACACAGCCTGACCAGCCAAGAGGGCACAAGGATCCAGCCAGCAGCCTTCCTCTTGATGAATGGGACGTGTTCAGAGCTTGGTGAGGGACTGGGGACAGGCTTGAGAAAAACACGGTTGGCGTGGACTGTATAGAATCAGCAGTCAGGACCTTTGTGAGCTTGGCTCAGGGCCTTTGGAGAACTTCAAGAACCAAATCAGACCCTCAGAGCTCCACAGGACAAGCCTGGCCACTGAGAGAGAGCTGACCTAGAAGGAGTTTCTGAGAAGGACATGGGAAATGAGCTAAAGCGGGATTGGTGTGTGTCATCAGTGTGGGCTCCTGTCTTGAAAAGGAGACAAATATGGACACAACTGGCTTAAATGCAAGGCTTTCACGGAACAGCCAGACCAGCCTGCATAAAGGACAAGGTCCACATGCCCAAAAGAGTCAGGAGGGCTGCATGGAGGCGGTGGCATGGAACGTGGACTTTGAAGGATGAGCAGGAGGTTGTGAATGGAAATTACTTCACCGGAAAGATTTTGGAGAGGAAGACAAAAGGGCCAAGTTCAAGAAAATGCTGGGGCCAGGGCTGGGGGCAGGGCGATGGAGAAGACTTCCAGGGTCAGCCATGGAGGATGTGGTGGGTGGAGAAAGGAGAGATGTGGGGGAGGGGGGTCCTGCAGGGACAGGGGATGGTGTCCTGGAACCTCACCCCTTCAGGACCTGTAGCTTCTCCCCCTTCAGCATCTGCAGGTCCCGATCATTCATAGCGGTGTAGTCATACAGAGCCACCACGAAATGCTTGTCTAAAATGAACAAGGGAGAGATGACCACCACTCAGGCCCACAAGCGGGAAGGTGGGGCTGGGGTGAGCCTGGCTACCAAGGAGGACAGGCTTCTGCTTGCCCATGATGGAAATGATGTTCTCACCCAGCACAGGCCCCCACCCCCAGCCCTGTGACCCCACCAGGGATGGGCTGCCCCCCAGAGCCCATCCTGTCCTCCGTTGTAGACCCACTAAGAAGCCCTATGACCTGGACAAGGCGTGTGTGAGGAAGCTGATGGCCAGAGGTCAGCCACAGGGAGGCAGCCACTGCTGGGCTGCTGGTGGCCTCAGGCCCACATTCGGACATAGTGCTGGGAGCCCTCATCTTCTTATTCTACACCTGCCCTCGGAGGCCCATAAGCCTCCTCTTATCCTTTTCTTCCTCTGCCCCGCCTGCCTCTATCCCCAGTAGGGGTGGTCTTGCCACGTGGCAGCTGGAGCCCTGGCCTCTCCACTGTCTGTGTCCAGAGCCCCAGCCACACTGTCTATGGCTGCCAGTGACCCTGCCGGGCCCCCCACCTTGCTGGCGGGCCCTGGATGGAAGGCAGGAAGAGGGCTCAGGAGCTTGGAGCACCATCTTCAAGTGAGCCCTGCTGTGACGCAGGCTCTCTGCACAGCTCTGGGAGCCACAGGACCCACCTGATGAAGGTCACCTGGAGAGCACTTAGCTTCCCCGGGTGGGGTGGCTCCGCTCTGTCACTGAGCTGAGTGTTGTGACCTCGGGCTGGTCACCTCTTCTCAGCAGGAAAGCGAGGGTCAGAATGGGTGACAGTGGTTCCCTGAAGTTTTAAGATTCAGGTTCTGCTCACAAGTGTGACAGATTCTGAGCTTTTCCAGGGAAGGGGTCGCATCTACCTGTTGTCACCCCTTCGCCATTCCTGGGACAGAGCTGGGCTCTGTGTGCTGAATGCCCAGTACACATCATATGAGCAGGTTAATGGGTGGGGCCCGGCTGGCCGAGGCATCCCTTCCCCATGCTGTGTGGACATGGATGATGAGGAGGCTGTGGGAAGTCACTTTGAAGGAGGCCACCCTCTTGGGAGTCCCCAGGGGTGGAGCCTCTGGCCCAGAAAGGCTGAGCTCATTCCCTACAGTACCCAGCAGGCCAGCCCACCAGAGCAGAAGTGGAGTCTAGGGGCCACGCACAGTGGCTCACGCCTGTAATCCCAGCACTTTGAGAGGCTGAGGCGGGCAGATCACCTGAGGTCAGGAGTTCAAGACCAATCTGGCCAACATGGTGAAACCCCCTCACTAGTAAAAACATAAAAATTAGCCCGGTGTGGTTGTGTGCACCTGTAATCCCAGCTACTTGGGAGGCTGAGGCAGGAGAATCTCTTGAACCCGGGAGGTGGAGGTTGCAGTGAGCTGAGGTTGGGTCACTGCACTGCAGCCTGGGTGACAAGAGCGAGACTCTGTCTCAAAAAAAACCAAGTGGAGTCTGGGGACCAGGGAGGGGCGTGGGTGGTTAGGTGGTCAGCAGCGGGACTCTCGAAGTGACTGGGAGCGGGAAACAAGAAGGTGCCCTCCACATAGAGCGGACAGGGGCTGGAGGCAAGGGCCTGGAGCCACTGGCCCAGCCCTTTGCGTTTGAGAGTTAGCATATTTTAAAACTTGGGTTTGATGATGCTGTGTGTCTTCCCTGGGACTCTTGTTTTTGTTCTTGTTTACAGTTTGTAAAGTCTTTCATGTTTTAAAAGTCCCACCCAGGCTCAGGCATACTGAAGAAACTTGTTCTTGGTTCCTGAAGAGACGCCCCAAGAGGCACAGAGCCGGGGCCTCTCTCAGCTTCCCCGTTTTCTCTTCTCCAGCCCTCAAGCTGCTCCTGACTCAACCTTTTTCCAACTCCACAAAGCTGCCACCTAGGGGAGAGGGCTGTGGAGCCTCAGCTTCCCAAACCACCCTTCTTACCTTCATCCAGGTGTTCATCGGGCGGTGGAGGAGTAAGGTGGTTGAAGACAACCTTGGGTAGAAAACACACACTTGAGTTATTTCAGTCCCTGCTGCGTGGGTGGGGCCTGGGGGTTGAGACTGCTGAGCCGGGCAGCCAGGGTATCTCCAGGGACCTACTGAAGGAGGAGAGGCAGCTGCCTGTGGGGGCTGCTCAGGGACATTCTGTACCCAGGGACCAGCACTACCCTCAGACAGACCCCCGCCCTCTGCTGCCTTTGCCCTGACCGCGCTGGGGGATGCCCCAATGTGGATATGAGACAGCTGTGGACAATGAGGGAAAGCCCAACCACTTGGGCTTAACATCCTGGCTCTACCATTACAAGATCAAACTGCAAACGGGTATTTGTTGACAAGAAAAAATATTTAAAAAGCATATTTCCCCAAAACTCGACAAACATATTTGTAGGTATATATCCTGTAGAGAAACTTCTGTGTATGTGTACAAGAGTGTACAAGGGAATGTGTACAAGAGGGCTCCTAGCAAAAATCATAATACATAAACAATTTTTTTTTGAGATGGAGTCTCGCTCTGTTGCCCAGGCTGGAGTGCAGTGGCGTAATCTCGGATCACTGCAACCTCCGCCTCCTCAGTTCAAGCAATTCTCGTGCCTCAGCCTCCCAAGTAGCTGAGATTACAGGTGCCCGCCATCACGCCCAGCTAATTTTTGTATTTTTAGTAGATACAGGTTTTCGCCATGTTGGCCAGGCTGATCTTGAACTCCTGGCCTCAAGTGATCCTCCCACCTCGGCCTCCCAAAGTGCTGGGATTACAGGCGTGAGCCATCATGCCCGACCGATACATAAACAATTTTAAAACGTGGAACTAACCCTCATGACAGAAGAATAAACAAATTACAGTATACTCAGGCAATAAAATTAATGAGCAATAGCCACGTGCATCAACGTCGATATGTTTCACATGCGTAACACGGAGCCACAACCCCAGTCTCAGAAGCATATGCGCTGTTTGATGTAGTTGATTTAAAGTTTACAACATGAATAATGAAACTAAATATCGTTTAGGGGTAATACATATGTGATAATATTAAAAAGCAAAGCTAAGGAATGATAAACAGATTCTGGGTATTGGGGCCTGGGGTGAAGGGTACAAACAGGGGAGGGAGGAGGGAGATTCAAAGGAACGAGTCTCTTTCTTGTCTGAAGTTGGGAGGTGGCTATACAAGTGTGCGTTTTGGTGTATTCTTTCAACCTGACATATGTTACAAATATTCTTTTCTTAATTCCATATTTATTGAACACAATTTTGAAGTAGCATTTTGCAAAATGATGTGCATGTATGTTTCTCTTAAAAATAGGAACACATGAAATGAACACACGGAAGAAGGGTCTCGAGGCAACTCTGGTGACTCTACATAGTGGAATAATGAGTAATTATAATTTTTTCCATATACATATTATGTGACTCTTTTAAGTGAAAAAAATTCCAGGTGCTACTACTTATTATCATATAATTTTGGGGAAATTACTCAATCAGTCTAAGTCCAAGTTTCCCCATTTGATCAATTATTTATTCAATAAACATCTTGTGGTTGTGCGCTGAGACCGGCGCTAAACTGGGACAGAGATAGGTAAGATGCCTGGGTTCATCTAGGAAGTGGGATTAGTAATCCCCGTCTCCCCATCAGGTCCCTGTTAGGATAAAGAGATGACCACGTGGACATGTGGACAGCACAGGAGAGGGGGTCGCGGCAAGGCTCCCAACTGCCCCAAACCAAAAGGGGGTCACTGGTCAGGGAGTGGAGAGAGCACAAAGAATCATCTAAAAATGTATCTTCAGGCCCGGCACGGATGCTCAAACCTGTAATCCCACCACTTTGGGAGGCCAAGGCAGGTGGATCACCTGAGGTCAGGAGTTCAAGACCAATCTAGCCAACATGGTGAAACTCTGTCTCTACTAAAAATGTAAAAATTAGCCAGGTGTGGTGGCATGTGTGCCTGTGATTCCAGCTACTCAGAAGGCTGAGGTACGAGAATCACTTGAATCCAGGAGGCAGAGGTTGCAGTGAGCCAAGGTCCCACCACTGCACTCCAGCCTGGGCAGCAGAGCGAGACTCTGTCTCAAAAAAAAAAAAAAATGCATCTTCAGACATGCTGTAGCCATCAAAAGGAGCTAAGTGTTTTATAAACAAATCAAACTGCATGACTAGGAAAATGCATTCCCCAGCAATAAGACCTTTTCACTTGAAATTTCACTTTTTTTTTCCTTTGGAAAGTTTTCCTCATTTAAAATGCCCATGGGATTCCAGGAAAACTTAAGAGCCTGCTCGGGAGGTGAGGACAGGCACCCTCCTGTTTCATGATGCTTATCCCAGGAAAGCAGGCTCTTTGGAATGCCAGCAGCAATGCCACATAGGGGACAAGGGTCTCCAGGAGCTGCTGGGGAGAAGAGAGGTAGTAGCTGCAGCTAGATACCCGGATCCTTCCTTACGACACTCTCTCCCCAAGCTGACCTTTTTACATTTCTTTTTCTTTTCAAGGCTGCCCTCGAGAAATGAGCTCTGGCTAAGAATTATTGGGAGCTAACCAGGCCGGGTCCTGTGCGTGTTATATTGCATGGCACACCTGCTTATACATTGCAGATCGTTACATCCCTATCAGGAAGGCAATTTTGCTATACCCATTTTACAAACTTGGACATTAAGGCATAGGAGAAGTAAGTAATCTGCTCTTGGTGGGGGTGGGCAATCACTCACCAGGGGCGGCAGTGGCGGGGCGTCCTTGTCTTGGGCGCTGACCTTCAGGGGGCTCCATTGGCCCTTGTCCTTCTCTTTGATCGGCTTTTCCTTGTCCGGCTTTTTGCTACTTACCAGCCCCATCCTGTCGGAGACACACAGCAGACAGAGGACATGAGAGAGCGGGGCCTCAGATCTTCTGCACAGAGGGGATCCCTGGCCCCTTCCGGGAGGCTGGTTAGAAAGGTGGGGTGGAAGTGGGTGCAGCAAAGACCTCAAAGTCAGAACGTGGGTAGAAGCGGGTGGGTGAGCTAAATGGGTGTCCATCTTTTTTCGGGGGCCCATACAGCAGAAAGCACTGCATTTAGGACACAGAAATCCTCTGGCTGGAGATAACCGCTGGAAACCACTGGGGTGGATCCCGGTCCTCAGGTGACAGGAGCCTGAGCGGGAGGCCACGTGGTGTTCTAGAAAGAGCCCACCAATGTGTCTGGGGCTCTGGGTTTAGTTTTCATTTTGTCTCTGGCTGTGTCACTTGGGAAAGTGACATTTTCTCTCCGACCCATTAGCTCTTTGGTAAACAGCAGGGGCTTTGTTAGAAGATGACTAACGTTCTCTCCCTCTCAGATTTTTGGGTGAGACACTATATACATTTAGGACAGATTGATAGCACAGGCATCGAGGCCTAGCTGCGGCCTCACAGTAATATCAGGGGTCTCCTTAAAGGGGGGAAGATGTGGTCAGGTTTTTTTCTTTGGTAAAGAATTTTAGGATGGCAGATGTGGGACAGGCCCTTTTGACACCATCAACACCACCATGTTGTCACCATCCTCATTCCAGGGGCTGCTATTTATATGTTAAGGAGTTTGCTCAGGGTCAAACAACTGGCCCGTGAGAGCCAGCTCTGGAGTCCAGTCTGACCTGAGACCACTGCACTCCTGCACTTACATCGGGCTCTTCCTCGAGATGCAGACATCATAGAGAGGAAGCACCCAAGTCCCCACGCGTGTCAGAAGGGCGTGTTGTTAGTGGTGATTTCCTTTGGATGTACACACCATATTTCATCAATTCTAAGATGGACCTTTTTTCACTTTTCAATATCTCTGAACTGGGAGGTGTCTCACAATGGAGGATGCTTTGCAGTATAACTAGTAGCAGCATTTTTTTTCTCTTTTAGTGATACATAATTAAATGCTAGCCTTCCTATCAGTGGCGTCTTCGATTAAGTGAAACACAGTCATGCATTTCTTCCAGAGAGCTGAAAGCACATTCCTCATGTCATTGCTCCTCAAACCCACCTTGAAAAAGAAAACACTATAACAAATTTCGATATAGGACAGCAAGCCACAGAAGCGAAAAATTCACAAGTATGTTTTTTCAAGTATGCCTTACAAACAGAACACATAATAATTCACAGTTTTAAAGACCAACACTTTTTATATCTAAGTATTTCTTTATGTGAGCTCAGATCAGCTTTACCACTAAGTGAATTATAGTGCCAGGGTTACAAGTATCACTTCAGTTTTCAGAGATTTAGGGTTTCAGAAGTTTGGATAAGAGATTATGGGTTTGGCTGGGCACGGTGGCTCACACCTGTAATCCCAGCACTTTGGAAGGCCGAGGCGGGCAGATCCCTTGAGGTCAGGAGTTCGAGACCAGCCTGGCTAACACAGTGAATCTCCATCTCTAGTAAAAATACAAAAATTAGCCAGGTGTGGTGGTGCAGGCCTGTAATCCCAGCTACTCAGGAGGCTGAGGCAAAAGAATCACTTGAACCCAGGAGGCGGAGGTTGTAGTGAGCCAAGATCATGCCATTGCACTCCAGCCTGGGCAACAGAGTGAGACTCCATCTCGAAAAAAAAAAAAGAGAGAGAGAGACGATGGGTTTGTATTGCGGCTGGCTACTGAATTTTAGCAGGTGCCTGTACAATATCGATCAATATGATGTATGTTCACCTTTAATTTGTCAATGTAATAAATTATGTTGGTAAATTTTCTGTTATTGAAACATCCGTACATTCCTGGAAAAATACTATTTGATTACAGCATATTAGTCTATTTGGCACATGGATGGATTCTTATTTGCTAATTATTTTGTTTTGAGACAGTGTCTCACTCTGTTGCCTACGCTGGAGTCCCACGACCTAATCTTGGCTCACTGCAACCTCTGCCTCCCAGGCTAAGGTGATCCTCCCACCTCAGCCTCTCGAGTAGCTGGGATGACAGGCATGTGCTACCATGCCCTACTAAATTTTTTATTTTTTGGTAGAGACAGGGTTTTGCCATGTCATGCAGGCTGGTCTCAAACTCCAGAGCTCAAGTGACCTGCCCATCTCAGCCTCCCAAAGTACTGGGATTGCAGGTGTCAGCCATCACACTCGGCCCTATTTGCTAATATTTTATTTAGAATGAGAATCTATATTCCCAAGGGAGATTTGTCTATGAGGCATTAGCATTAAGGTGCGCTGGCTTTGTAACAGATATTGAGGAGCTCTCTTTTTTTTTTTTTCTATCTTCTTGAGTGGTTTCATAACAGTGGGGTTATCTGTTCCTCACAGGCTAAATAGAACTCAGTTGTGAAGCCATCTGTGTCTGGGGCCCTTTCAAATAGTAAATCTTTAAAGACATTTCCAATTTCTTCTATAGGAATGATCTATTCCCATTTTTTCTCCTCTTTGTGCCATTTTGATGATTTATATGGTTTATAGATCTTTAATTTCATCTACATTTTCCAATCTGTTGCCATAGTTTTATGTAGCATTGTCTTGTAATTATTATACTCTGTTCTCTTTTTTGATTGTGATGTTTTTCTTGTTCCTAATATAAATGGAATGTTCTTTTAATTAAAATTATAATTTGTAATTGCATAAAATCATCTGAAGCTTTACATGACTAAATTAAGTCTTAACCTAGCTTTATAATTATGAAATAGAAGATTGTAATCAAAACCGCATGAAATTGGAATAATAAAAGTAGACAACAATCATCAGAGCAGAATAAAAAACATACAAACAGATTTTGGTAAATACAGGAATCGCGTATGTGAAAAAGATAGCATTTTAATTCAGTAGAAAGTGGATAGTTTATTTTAATAAATGGTATTAGGAAAATGACTATTTACCTTAAGGAAAATACAATTGAACCCCTACCTCACATGATATTAAAAAATAAATTCTAGGTGTATGACTGAAAAAAATAAAAAACAAAAATGTAATTAAAAGAAATGTAAGAAACTGTGTATATAACCCAGAGTTTGGAGACAACTACTAACAAAGATAAAATACCCAGAAGCGAAGAGAGAACAAAAAAAGTACAAATTCATAAACATTAAAAATATTAGATGGTATAAGAAACTACTCATGAAGTTCGTAGATAAGCAATAGATTGGGTAAGAGATTGCAAAGCATCAGATAAATGTGTATTCATAATATATACAAAGCTCATAAACTTTTGACAGGAAGTATATTGCAGCATATAATTCATTCAATAGAAAAATGTGTAAAGATAAGAAATAGGAAGTTAGTGCAACACAAACCCAAATAGTAAAATGTTTGTTATAATTATTGTTTCATTTGTTCCTTCACGCTCCATTTCTAGGATTAATCTTCTGTGAGAGCTGGAATCTTTGTTTTATTCATTGCTGAATCCAAATTGCTAAACCAATGTCTGGCACAGAGTGTGGGCTTAATAAATATTTATTAGACAAAACATGAAATATTATTGGAAGAAGCAATCTTTTAAATTCTTTTAAAGGGCAATCTTTTAAATTCTGTTAAAATAAAAAAGCACTCATACCTTTTGAGTTTCAGTCCCACTCTGGACTATCTCAGGTTAATAAAACATCATTATATAGACACATGTGAGAGATGAAAATGTTTGTTGTAGTAATAGTTGGAAAAACAATCCCCTCCCCCGAAAAAAAATCCCAAACAGAAAACAACAATGTAACTGCCCAGCAATTAAAGACTTGTTGAATAAATCTACACTCTATAAATCTCTCACACAACTACTAAAAAAAATGTGCTGGATCTTCACCAGTGAGGTCAAGAGGAATTTCGGTACCATGTTGTTACACGAGAAAAGTAAGACCCAAAGAGGTGCATGAGGGAATCCCATATTTGCAAACACCAAATGAAAAGAAACCTCTATTCAGGCGTGTAGATATGTTTGCATATTACACAGAAAGAGGCTGGGGAGGATGAACACCAAGTTGTTTACTGTGGTTATTGTTAGAGGAAGGGAGAGTACAAAACAGAGGTGTGGTGTAAGGCAAAACAAAACAAAAAAAAAACCAGCGGACTTAAAAAACGGTGTGTGTGCTAATGCAAAGCAGGTCCCCCCAAAGTATTTTCTAAATGGATTTTGGATTATAAGACTTCATGTGACTTTGACTTTCTTTCTTTTAATTGTATATATTTCTTAAATTCTTTAATACTAAGCATATATTATTGATACAAGCAGAAAAATAAAAGGAGGATTTGAGTGATTTGCCCAGCAACAGAGGAGCATAAGGCCTGGAGCCAGGGCCAGCCTGCAGTTCTTGACAATGACCGTTAAGTGGCCAGCCAGGGCTGCCTGAACCTCAGGCCTTTCGTGGCCTCTCTCAGCCTCCCTGACTCAACGAAGGGCCAGTGGTCAGCAGCTCCTAGTATATTCCCCAGACTTGGACTCATACTTCCGCATCTGCCCAGGTGACCAGCCCTCTTGTCTTTCTTAGTCTGGCCAGCCATATTGCCATTGACTTTAAGCTTCCTGGCAAACACCTGTGTCCACTGAGACAACATAATTGAACATTGGTTGTTCAATTTATTGAACAAAGAACCGGACAGAAAGTAAAATTCCTAAGATTAAATGACCCACTACTTACACTTCTGTCCTTTGACTCCTTAGCAGTGTGTGTGCAGATGATTTTCCATGGGTCTCATGAGTACCTCAGGTCTCTATGGGTCCCCCTACTCCAGTGGCTTTGACTGGAGACCTGGGTTCCTCAAGAGGCCATGGGACAACCAGGGCTGTCACTGGTGCTCGGGCTGCACCCAGCAGTTTCAGGTTGGGTGAAGCCAGGAAGTGCAGAAGTCCAGACAGAGGCAAAACGCATCACACACTGGCTGGGGCTCCAGATGGCTTTGCTGCATTGTGGGAAGGGTGTGAGTCTGTGTATGTTTGTGAGAGAGTGGGAGAGGAAGCATACACACTTATGTGCACTTGTGTGTGTGTGAGAGCGAGAGCATGCGTGTGAATACACATGTGTGTATGTGCTTGAATATGTGTGTGTATATATGTGTGTGTGTGTCTATGTGTGCACGTGTATATGCATGTGTGAGAGAGCATGCATGTGCACCGTGTGCATGTGTGTCTAGTCGGGGGAGTCAGCAAGAGGAGGGGAAGTGGGAAAGGGGAGTTGTTTGTTTATTTGAAACCAGCTAGGCCCTCTAATGCAGACTTTCACCAGAGCAGGGCAGTCAATGTTTGCTTTGGGAGATGCTCAAAGCCTGAAACACAGCTTCAGTCAAACAAGGGGTGTGGTGGAGGCATCAACTAAAAATAGAGAAACTAGAAACCCCTTATTTGCACTTGGCTAGCATGACATGGTTGAAAAGCACTTGACGGATAACGAGTTTTTCTTTTTTTCTAATACATGTTTGCCTTGATAAATTGGTTACAGTTATCCTCATTTTACCACTGAAGAAGGCGAGGCGAGGTGGCTTGGTAAGGTCATGCTGAAGGTGGCAGAGCTGGCAGCTGGAGGGTGTTACTGTCTCCAGGGCTGCTTGAGCCCTCTGCACAAAACAGGTGTACCTGTGGCCCTGCCTGAGGCTCTGTGTCCCTTGGAGGGGACAGTTCAGATTCCCTATCATCTCCCCTGTGGCAAAATAGTTTTGCTATTTTGTATCTGGAAGCCTTGCCATGTTATGTGCTGGAGGCTTTGCCTTTCTGATTTGACCTGCCAGACATAGGTGGGTAGCATCCAGGTAGAACAGGGGTACCTACTGGCAAAGCTGGGACTCACCCTGGGTGTCGCGATCACAATGCCATGCTAGCTGCCGGCATGAGATCCCATATGGAGCATCTCACCAACATCCAGAATTCCAAATTCTCCCAGTACAAACCACCAATGCTATACTCATCTTGTAAATGAAGAAAGTACGGTGATTGGCCTATGGCTCTGAATTAAAGAAGGGGCCAAAGAATTTGAGTTAAAATTCATGTTTCATGTCTCAACTCAGGACAACACCACTGAAATGAGGCTTCCTCACCTTTGCCCTAATACTGACCTCTCCACATGTGAACCTGAAACAGCCCCGATAACAGTTCCTAGCAACGAGGTTCTTCTATTCATTCAGCCACAGACATTCAGTTGCTGTCAACCATGAACTATGTCAGGCATAGCGGAAGGTACAGGCATGAAACAAGGATGGAGCCCACTCTCACAGGAAAATAAGGAGGAAAGGCATGCACCCGATTCCATCAGTTCAGAGTGGGCATGATTCTGTACCAAAGAGAGGCCTGGGTAAAGTGTTTTGTGAGCTCAGCAAAAAGAAATTACTTCCACCTGGGAGAAAACGCTAGCCAGACCTGAGAAGGATGGCTACAACAGATTTTTTTAGATGAAAACTATTTTTTATGAAACCTTCCAAAATATACTAAAGTCAAGAATATTGGCCAGGCACAGTGGTTCATGCCTGTAATCCCAGCACTTGCGAGGTTGAGGTGGGAGATCATTTGAGGTCAGGGGTTTGAGACCAACCTGGCCAACATGGTGAAACCCCGTCTCTACCACAAATACAAAAATTAGCCAGGCACGTGCCTATAAAAATTAGCCAGGCGCATGCCTGTAATCCCAGCTACTTGGGAGGTTGAGGTGGGAGAATCGCTTGAAACCAGGAGGTGGAGGTTGCAGTGAGCCAAGATCCTGCCACTGCACTCCAGCCTAGTTGACAGAGTGAGACTGTCTCAAAAAAATAAATAAAATAATAATATTAATAATAATAGAACTCTTCTACACTCATCACCCACATTCAATAATTATCTTTAAAATTGTTTTCTGGGTTGCAGTATTTTACATCATATCATTTTATTTCCTCTAAATGAATGAAACTTGGAAACAACACGAAATCAATGTAGTGAAGTAAGTCATTTCACCACCCCATATTTTGCATTTGTTTCTAAAGCATGGAGACATTTGCTCACATAACCCCAATGTTACTTCATCACATCTAACAAAACTAGCAATATTTCCATGGTATCATCTAACCATCCAGCCATTGAACCCAATTCATAATCACATTTTAACAATTGACTTAAAAATAGCTTCTTGCTTAGTTTGTCCTACTCAGGATTCAAACAAGGTTCGTATATAACTCAACGTCTTAGGTTTCCTTTAAACAGGAGTCCCTTCTGCTCTGACTTTGGTTAGTTTCAAGCCTTTGATTTGTAAAGGCCAGTCCTATAGAATGTTCTCCATTTTGGATTTTGCGTCCTTGTGATGGTTCATCACTTGCTCTTCCCTCTCGTCCTTCTTACACATAGAGTTACCTCTGTAGGCTCCATTAGATTCAAGCTCAGCCCCTCTTGGTAGAGATGCTGTCGAGGAGGTGATCTGTGCTCCATGTTGCATCCTACCAGGAGGCTCACAGTGTTTACCTGCACCATTTTAGTGATGCTAAGATAGGTCGAGGCTCAGGCATCCCTATTCCTCCATTGACAAGTTCCTCACCGACATTTAAAAGTCCCATTAGTGGTTACAAAATGGGCGTGCTCTGATTCCATCAGTCCTTCCACACTTGTTAGTTGGGAGTTGAAAGAGCAAAGGATGAGAAACTGGGAACACTAGAAAAAAATACCAGGCATACTCCCAACAGGGTTGGGTAGTATTTCAGAAATAGGTGTTTTTCCAAACACATGAAGATAGAAAACACGTTCAGAAAACAAAGCTTTTCCATTGCTGGATTGTAGAGTGTGTGCTACAGTCATTCACAGCTAATGCTTTGTGCAATATATCCCTTCCTTTCCTTTCCTTCCTTCCCTTCCCTTTTCCTTCTCTTTCTTTCTTTCTTTCTTTCTTTCTTTCTTTCTTTCTTTCTTTCTTTCTTTCTTTCTTTCTTTCTTTCTTCTTTCTTTCTTTCCTTTCCTTCTTTTCTTTTTCTTTCTCTCTCTTTCTTTCTTTCTTTCCTTCTTTCTTTCTTTCTTTCATTCATCTGTCTGTCTCTTGTCACCCAGACTGGAGTGCAGAGGCGTGATCATGGCTCACTGCAGCCTTGAACTCCTGGGCTCAAGTGATCCTCCCACCTCAACCTCCCGAGTAGCTAGGACCACAGGCACGTGCTGCCATGCCTGGCTAATTTTTTAAACAATTTTATGTAGAGGTGGGATTTCATCATGTTGCCCAGGCTGGTCTTGAATGCCTGGACTCAAGCAATCCTCCCACTTCAGCCTCCCAAAGTTCTGGGTTGGATACAGGCATGAGCCGCTGCATCTGGCCTCCTTGTGCAATACTTTTAAATGCCAGCAGAATCTTTTCCCAGCACTAGCACAGAGCCTGATGGTGAGAGGCTGCTCTGTAACACCTGGCTGGGTGTGTAAGGGCCTTGGGCACGTGTGGCCCCTGCAAAAGGCTGACCTAGCAATGCCAACCTGTGACTTTTAGGTACTTCGGCACAGTTAGGAGGAGAAATTATGTGGCCATTTCAATTTTTTAAAGTGAAAAGATCTTTTGTGGAAATTCACCTCCCCCCATTGTGGTAAAATTGATAGAAAAGATTTTCAGGTGGTAAAAAGTTTGAGGGGGCTGAGCAGACCTTCAGGAAGGAAGGAAGAAGGCATTTTTATAAAGCTGTGTTAAGTCAAAGACAGACACTTGTTTATCGAGTCACCTACATTTGATTCTGCTAACAGAGAAGCTTGAAATTCATTAGGTAATTCTGGGGACGGATAAAATTCCTTTATGTGAGTGAATTTTTTTGGGGGGGGAACACCATGTAAATTTATGTTTTAAAAAACTCTCACAGTAGTGATTATTAAAATATGTTAGCAATATGCCAAAATGTTAATCCAACTACAGTTGTGTCTTGTATTGATGAGACTATGGGCCTTAACCTATTTTTCAATTTTTAACTTTTTGCATTGTTTGCATTTTGAAAAATTAAATGAGAAATCAAATCATGGGTCATTACTTCCCAATGGAGTCAGTTATGATTCTTTGGCACAATAGTTCTGAAACCTCAGTTTGCATTTTAACCAGCAGGGGAGTTTGCAGACTCCCAACCCCAGCCCCAGCAGTGCTGGTATCTGCATTTTTAAAAAATGCCCCCAGTGATGCTGATGCAGGCAGGTCATGAGCTCCACTTCATGGAGACCCTTTCTTCAATTGGCCGAGCTTCTGGATCATGACTTGTGACAAGGATTGAAAGGCAGGCCCGCCAACACGGGGCATTCCCTCCTTTGAGTCTCCCATAAATAATGCCTGCAGTTTTACTGCCAGTGATCCTCTTGTCTCTCCATGAAATGAATTATTTCTGTCCTCCATACAAACATTTCTTACATATTAGTATATTTCTGCATAGCTTTTTGACAGAGGGAAATAACTTCCCTTTTTATAATAACTCACACCTCTGTGGTACTTTCCAGCCTGCAAAGCATTTTCCCACATGAGCCTCATGAGGACCCTGTAAACTAGATAGATCCTCCCCCTCCCCATCTCCCTCCCTCTCCCCCTCCGTCTCCTCCACCTCCCCTTCCCCCTCCTCCTACTCCTCTCCTCCTCCTCCTCCTCCTCCTCCTCCTCCTCCTCCTCCTCCTCCGGCAGACAGGGAAGAAACTGAAGCACAGAAGAGAGATTTGAGCCACATCTCTGACTTCAAACCCTTGGTCTTTCCCACGGAGGTTCACACGTATCTTACCCAGATACACATCTGGTCACGACTTGAACCTCTCTTAAAAGGCCCTGGACATCATTCAATCCTTTGGAGCTGTTTCTCCAATGTTTCCTTGGCAGAACCCAGAGGTGGAATGTGTAAGAAGGGAGCGTGCAGTGAGAAGCACCTCCATCGGGTTTGAGGGTGCAGGAGAACATTTAGACTGAAAGGTTCTCTTTTATGCTTTCAAACATGAGAATGGAAAATGTTAAAGAAAGAAAAAGAAAAGAAAAGGTCTCAGGCCTTTAACATGCTTGGGTTGATTGTAATTACTGAGTGGATCTAGAGACACAGATGTCCTGCTAGAGAGGCAGAGATTTAAAATTAACTCATAAAACGGTTGCAGGATTTGCCTATCACATAAAAACATGAATACTAATGATGCTGGCACAGTGCCTAGTACACCTTCTGACTCAAGGCTGGGCATTTTACTGCATGCTTTTCATGTATTATATGTAGCCCTGACAGCAGACATATACCTTCCCATTTTACAGATGAAGAAACTCAGGCTCCTTGAGGCTTAAGGGCTTGCTGAAGGTACAGTAAGTCACAGAACTGTTATTCAAAAACCAATTTTATCCACAGGTAACTTAACAGTGTGCCACATGCAAGTGTGACACTCTCTAAAGAAACACGATAATATTCAGCGCTCACTAATCATATTCAGCACTCATAGTGCCTGTCATCCAGTAACAATTGCCAGGCATGCAAAGAAACAGAAAAACATGACTCTCAACTAGGAGAAAAGTTAATTGAGAGGAACATGAGCAGAAATTGCACACATTTTGATATTAGTAGACTAGTGCCTTAAAACAGAAATGACAAAAATATATAAACTGGTTCAAATATATAACTGAAAGCAATAAGACAATGAAGAGAGAAAATGAAGACATAAAAAAATTAAATGGGTCTCCTAGAGATTAAAAAAAATACAATATCTGAAATTAAGAAAAAAGAGAGGCCAGAAGTGGCGGCTCATGCCTGTAATCCCAGCACTTCAGGAGGCCGAGGCAGGAGGATCATTTGAGCTCAGGAGTTCGAGACCAGTCTGGCCAACATGGTGAAACCCTGTCTCTGCTAAAAATACAAAAAAAAAAAAAAATGAGCTGGGCATGGTGGTGCGTGCCTGTAATCCTAGCTACTTGGGAGCCTGAGGCAGGAGAATTGCTTGAGCCTGGGAGGCAGAGGTTGCTGTGAGCCAAGATCACACCACTGCACTCTAGCCTGGGCAACAGACGAGATTTTGTCTCAAATAAATAAATAAATAAATAAATATTAAAATTTTTTATAAAAGGAAAAAAAAACATGACCAGGTACATTGGCTCATGCCTGTAATCCCAGCACTTTGGGAGGCCGAAGCAGGTGAATTACTTGAGGTCAGGGGTTTGAGACCAGCCTGGCCAACATGGTGAAACCCCATCTCTACTAAAAATGCAAAAACTAGCTGGGTTTGGTGGCAGGTGCCTGTAATCACAGCTACTTGGGAGGCTGATGCAGAAGAATCACTTGAACTCGAGAGGCTGTGGTTGCAGTGAGCCGAGATGGTGCCACTGCACTCCAGCCTGGGCAACAGGGCGAGACTCTGTCTCAAAAACAAACAAACAAACAACCAAAACTCTAGATGGGATGAATAGTACATTGGGTGCTGCAGAAGGAAGGTCAGAGGGCTTGGAGACACTGCAATTGAAAGTACCCACAGTGAAGCACAGGGAGAAAAAGGTGAACATAAACAACAGAGCATCAGTGACTGCGGAGAAATTAGCACGCAGTCAGAAGACACGTAACTGGGCTACCAGAAAGACTATGAAACTTAAAGAAACCAAAAATGGAAATTCCAAATTTGATAGAAGCTATAGACCCGAAGACTCAAGAATATCAACCCCAAGTATGAAGAAAACCACACCAAGGTACATTATAATCGTATTGTTGAAAACCAATGATAAATAAAAACAATCTTAAAAGCTGCTTTAAAGAGGTACATTATATTCTTAGAAGAAAACCTAGAAGGAAATCTTTGTGACCTTGGTGTCACAAAGGATATAAAGAATATGAGTCAGAAGCATACAAACGTGACCTTCTATTCCCTTAGAATAGATTATTCCCTTAGAATAGAAGATCATAAAGTATACAAGAAAAATTGATAAATTAGACTTTTCAAAATTAAGAACTTCTGCACTTTAAAAACACCATTAAGAAAAGAAATAGCTAAATCAGAGACAGGCAGGACATTTTTGAAAAACATGTATCTATATGAGAATATATAATTAACTTTTAAACTCTATAAAAGAAGCCAAAAATTCAATTTAACAAACAGTTGAACAGAGAAGACAGCTGAGCAGCACACAAACCCATGAACAGGTGTTCGGTGTCGTCAGTCATTAGGGGAATGGCAACTAAAACCACAGTGAAATGCCACCACACAACCACCCAGATGCTAAAATTAGATGACCGATCATACCAAGTGTTGGCAAGCATGTGGAGAAACTAGAATGCTCACCTGAGGCTGATGGTAAGGTGAAACGAAACAACTTTAGGAAACAATTTGGGAGCTTCTTAACCTGTGACCCAGATATTTCACTTCTTGTTGCTTATCCAAGAGAAATAAAAACATATGACCACAGAAAGACTTGACATATATGTTCTTAGCATTGTTACTCATATTAATTAGCTCCCAGCTGGAAACAACCAAAACGTTCAGTAACTGGAAAAATCTTTTCGACTTTTCACTTAAAATGTTGCTGATTCTTTTTGTTTTGTTTTTCAGAGTAAAGAAAACTTCTACTGAGAATACAACTTTTAACAATTGAGCAAAATATACTCCTGTAAACAAAATTTAGAGCATATTTCTTTCTCTTTACCTGCCTTCTCCAGAATTTGGAAATTATCTGTGACTATTTTTAACATAAGGCAATATAGTTACTTGAGTAAGTTCAATAAGAATGTGTTTTCTTTTGTAGCAAGACACAGTTGGAGACACTGCTTATTTTACCAAGGCTTTGACTGAAATGACATATTTTCAGACTGCTTTAAGAAATCGAGGCTGACCTACAGAGCTGATGAAAGCCCCTTGGAGGAACTGGCCTCCTACCTTGTCCTGTACAGGATTCCCAACCTGTGGCAAATAAAGAATGTCACTTTCTGACAGGCCCAGGAACTCCAAGCTTTGTTGGGACCTCAAGAAGAAAGGAATTCACCCAATTCATACAAGTATCTGCAGGCACAAATAAATCCTTGGCTGGGCTCAAGAGACTTTTAAAAGGTCTAATCTGAGATTCCTTATGAAAAAAATTCCAGCAAAGCCAGTTAGAAAAAAAGAGCCTATATGGCCAATAATTATTCTTGCTGCACTTTATGTAAATAATTAGGCAAAGTATAATAAGGCAAGCTTATTTTGCAAATAAATTGGTCTTGTCTTTAGTAAAAATAAACTGGAGAGAGAAAAATTATGTTTCAAAACAGCTACAGCACACCTGTTATTAGATTCCAGCCTCATCCATTGTTCTTGAGCTTCTGCTGATGACCCCATATTTGGTTGATTTTTGGGGTTATTCACCTGGATTCCTTGAGGCTTCAGGTCAGTTCTACAGGGACTCCTGAAGCTAGGACTTTTGAAACTGCCGCTGCAAAATTACAACTGAGACAGTGAAAGAGATCTAACCTAACCAACTGCATCTTGCTTCTAACCTCCAAGCTGTCCTTGGTCATTCCTGGGCATAGGCTGAACTAATTTTGGGAAGAAGTTAATTTATAGTTTGTAGTTAAAAATGAAGACAATAACAGCGCATTCCAGAAGAACCCTCCTTCTTTCCTGGGAACTAGATGCCTTTGTAGGACTAACAAATTAGCCACAGGATTAGAAATTATGATTTAGGAGTCATGCAGCTGGAGGCTACAAGATTCTGATCTCCCACCCCCCAAACTGCTCCTAAGATCAGCGCTTGAGATATTTTGCAGACCTGGCACTTGATGGATCAGCTGGCACCACCCAGATCAAGAAACCAGCTCATCTGATCTGTGGCTCCCACCCAGGAATTGACTCAGCGCAGGAAGACAGCTTTGACTCCCTGTGATTTCATCTCTGACCCAACCAATCAGCACTCTCGACTCACTGGCTTCCTCCACCCACCAAATTATTCTTAAAAACTCTGATCGCCGAATGCTCAAGGAGGCTGATTTGAGTAATAATAAGACTCCGGTCTTCCACACAGCTGGCTCTGTGTGAATTACTCTTTCTCTTTTGCAATTCCTCTGTCTTGATAAATTGGCTTTGTCTAGGCAGCGGGCAAGGTGAACCCACTGGGCGATTTACACTTTCACTCCTTATATTAGGGCTAATTATTATTATTACTATTATTTTAAATTTTAAGTTATGGGGTACGTGTGCAGAATGTGCAGGTTTGTTACATATGTAAACGTGTGCTATGGTGGTTTGCTGCACCTATCAACCCATCACCTAAGTATTCGGTCCAGCATCCATTAGCTATTTTTCCTGATGCTCTCCTTCCCGCTCCCCAATAGGCCCCAGTGTGTGTTATTCCCCTCTGTGTGTCCATATGTTCTCACCGTTCAGCTCCCACTTATAATTGAGAACATACAGTGTTTGGTTTTATGTTCCTGCGTTAGTTTGCTGAGGATAATGCCTTCCACCTCCATCCACTTCCATGCAAAGGACATAATCTCGTTCCTTTTTACGGCTCATTATTTTTCTTCTTAAATGCTGTACTAAATCTGTGGATAAGAGCACCAATGTTTTCGTTATACACATGTTGGACCCCAACAAGTTGCACTTGAATACATACAGGCAACTGCAAGACACTTCCACTCCTTTTACCCTGGGGTCAACCCCTCCCCCAAATATGCCCCCTGTCAGCAGGAAGAAGTTAGAGCAATCATTAGCCTTTTCTCATCTCCGTAGCTAACACCTCAGGATTGAGGGGTGCTGAAGCCCAAGTGTGTGTGAGGGGGATTGAAACTACCTTTGCAAAATTATGACAGTAAGAGAAATCTGACATGGCTGACTCCATCTTGCTTCTGACCTCCAAGCTCTCCTTGGTCATTGCTGGCCATAAACCAAAGTAACTTTGGAAGAAATTTAGTTTATAGTTTAACTTAAAAGCAAGAATGATCATCAAGTGCAGTGGCTCATGCCTGTAATTCCAGCACTTTGGGAGGCCAAGGTGGGAGATCACTTGAGCTCAGGAGTTCTAGACCAGCCTGGACAACACAGCAAGACTCCATCTCTACAAAAAATACAAAAATTAGCCAGGCATGGAGGCATGTGCTTGTAGTGCCAATGACTTGGGAGGCTGAGGTGGGAGGATCACCTGAGCCTGGGAGGCAGAGATTGCAGTGAGCTGAGATCACGCCATTGAACTCCAGCCTCGGTGACAGAGTGAGACTCTGTCTCAAAGAAAAAGCAAGGATGATAATAGTCCCTCCCCAAAACTAACCCCCTCCTTGCTCAGGGAGCAAAAATCACCCTTGTAAGACTAAGAAAGCCCACAAGAACAGGATTATGGGGGGACCTGAATTCTGCTAAAATGTAGGCATAATTTCTGTAATCCCTTACTGCTCAGGAGTCATGTGGCCAGAGGTCACAAGATTTCTGACTCCCCCATTTGGTCCTGTAGATAACATCACTATTGCAGAACCTAAGATTGGTCTTTTGAGATTTTTTTTTTTTTTTACACCCAGACTTGTGCATTCTGGCAACCAATGGACCCCACCCAAACTCAAAACTCATGACTCAACTTGTCCTGTGGCCCCACCCAAAGGAGTACTCACTCACAAGGGCAATTTTCCACACCCCTACGATTTCTTTTACAAGCAATCAGCAACACCCATTATCTATTACCCTGCCCACCAAATTGTCCATAAAAGTCCTGACCTTCACACCTTTGGGGAGACTAATTTCAGTGACAACTCAGTTCTCCTGTGTGGGCTAGGCTTATGTCAATTAAACTCCTTCCCCACTAAAAAAAAAAAAAGAAAGAAAAATTCTAGATAAGGCAAAGCTATGGTTCTAGAAAGTAGATCAGTGGTTGGAGGTAGCATAAGGGGTATGAACAGAAAGGGCTAAAGGAAACTTATTGGGGTGGTGAAAATGTTGTCCATTTTGATTGTGGTGGACTTTATACAAGAGTATATATTTGCAAAAATGCATAATTGTGCCCCAAATGGGTGAATTTTGTGGAATGTTATTTACACCCCCTTAGAGGTGACTTTTAAAAAGAGCATTGCAAGCCATTGAAGGGTATGGAGTTTTGTATAGTCTTTGGTGTGTTGAGTTTTGTAAGCTGGTAGAAAAAGCTTATTGCTGTCTAGACGTCCACATTAAGCCTTAAGGACAGTGAAAGACCCCTTGCGAGCATGCACGTACAGGAAAGAATAAGCGACACTAGGACGTCCTCTAACGAAACTGCAAATAAGAATGACATGAGTTATAAGAAATAAGGATAGCCGAGTGTGACCCCCAAGCACATAAAAGAAAACGAAAGAGGCTTCATAAAACCTTGATATTTGGGAAATTCTCCCTCAAATGGCAAATTTTAATGACATAGTATCAGATGGCCTTCTCTATGTATTCAATTATCCCACTTAATTCTACAGAACAAAATTTACATAGTTATATTATTGTAGTGCCTGATTTTCAACTGAAAAAGTTTTGAGTACTAACCTACTGATGAAACACAGTAAAATTATATAAGCACTGAACACAACAGAATATAATTTTTTGTTTTTTTGAGACAGAGTCTTGCTCTGTCCCCCAGGCTGGAGTGCACTGGCACAGTCTCAGCTCACTGCAACCTCCACCTCCCAGGTTCACGTGATCCTCCTGCCTTAGCCTCCCAAGTAGCTGGGACGACAGGCATGTGCCACAACGCCCAGCTAATTTTTGTATTTGTATTAGAGATGGGGTTTCATCATTTTGCCCAGGCTGGTCTCAAACTCCTGACCTCAGGTGACCCACCCGCCTTGGCCTCCCAAAGTGCTGGGATTACAAGTATGAGCCACCAAGTCCAGCCAGAATATATATATGATAAGCCTTAATATGTAAAAATAACAGTATAACAAAAAAGTAGGATGTGAATTTGAAAGCAGTGTTTGTGAGCAGGTGTTAACTTCAGATACTGCCTAAAGCTAATGAATTGAGACGTAAACATTTAAATATATTATTTAAAGTCATAAAGCCAATCACTAGGATACAAAACAGCTGATAAAAATCTAGGAAATGGAGAGGGGAGTGTGCAGGTGAAAGCCAGGTAAGAAAAGAGACAGCATGATGAAGTGCATTCTGCATCTGTCAGTGTATTTAGCTCAGAGATATTGGCATTAGTATTTCTTGAAGTTGTAACTGTAATGAAAAGAATGTTTAAAAACAAAAGCTGCAGCTGGGTGCGGTGGCTCACACCTGTAATCCCAGCACTTTGGGAGGCCGAGGCGGGCAGATCACCTGAGGATAGGAGTTCGAGACCAGCCTGGGCAACATGGTGAAACCCTGTCTCTAATGAAAACACGGTGAAACCCTGTCTCTGCTAAAAATACAAAAATCAGCCGGACATGGTGGTGGGTGCCTGTAATTCCAGCTACTCAGGAGGCTAAGGCAGGAGAATCGCTTGAACCAGGGAGGCAGAGATTACAGTGAGCCGAGATCATGCCACTGCACTCCAGCCTGGGCGGCAGAATGAGACTCTGTCTCAGAGAAAAAACAAAAAACCCCACAAAAGCTGCTCCATTCCTTGCTTCTGAGGAGGGCACATGAGTGGTGGCAGGGAAGGCGAACTTTTGAGTTTTCAGTTTATACCTTTTCTGACTGTTTAAATTTTTGAAAACAATATTCATGGATAACTTGTATAATAATAAAATCAAGTTAAGCAAATGAATAGATAGGTAAATAAATTAGTAAAAGGATAAAAGAGATCTGAACTGGCAAAGAAAAATACCCAGGATACATTATTGTTACATGAAAGAGTAAATTGCAGAATGTTTTGTATGATATAATCCTGCTTGTGTGAAATTTAAAAAAAGGAGTCTATTAACACATTTGCAGATGAAAAGAAAATACCTGGACATTTTTGGTAAAAATCAAACTACTAACAGTGAGACTTCTGGGGACTGAAATTCACAAAGGGATAAGAGGACTTTACATTTTGCTTTAAGTACCTCTGAAGGATTTGGGTTAAACAGAAAGTAATAAACTCATGTTGTCTAAATACCTTTTCAAAATGTGATATTAAAAACAGACAAGCAATTACTTAAAGCAAATACGTCTGTGTGCCTCTGAGCAACATTAGAAAAGGCAAGGGTCAGCACGAAAGAGGTGACAGAACCCTCTTCTTTCAGTGCTCAATCCATGCAGGGAGGGCTGAGCCTTTTAGGAATCACATTAAATATGCTTTCCCCTTCACACCATCAATTTGCTTTTGATATAGGAAATTCAGAAAATAGAGTGAAAGATAAAATTAACTCCAATGCCATCATCCAGAGACAGCCACTCTGAACATTCGTGATATGTAATTTTCCATGGCCTTTTTTTTTTTTTGTAAAAAAGCAAAATGGGATCATTATCTACATCCTGTTTTGCGACCTGCTTTTAGCAGAGCGTATCACGGTCATCTTTTTCCTGTCGTTCCCTGTTTTGTCTGCAGCAACCTGTGAGGGGCTGTCAGCATCTGATCGTGAGGTTTAATGAACCGTTGTCATTTTCCCCACTTCTTCTGCCGCACACCCCAGCTGTTTCCATTTTCTCAAGATCATAAACATGCTGCAAAAATGTCCTTTGCTCATGCCCTTTCTCTTTCCTCATATCTTCCCTTAATTTTTGTTGAGGTTAAAAATCCCACAAGTGGGATTCCCACGCTCAAGAGCATACATAACCTTTCTAAGTCTTCCGATATATTTTGGCAAATTGTCCTTCAGACATTTCGTACAGCAGTATGGAAGTATGTAGTTCCCTGTACTTTCTTAAACAAGGGTTATTATTCTTTTCATCCTTTCTGAGCTGGCTTACAAAAAAGTGGTCTTTTACTTTTCAATCTCATTTTTTATTAAGCAAGTACTGCACATGTAGAAAATTAGAAAATTCTCATCTACGCAAAGGAAAAAAAATCAGTTACAACCCTACCACCAATGGAAAATCGTTGTGAATGTTCAGTGTATGCATTTTCAAAGGTGTTACATATACATATAGTCTTGAAAAATGGGCCAAACTGTTTATATTGTGTCATAACTTGGTTATTTCTGTGAACAGTACAGTATAAATTATATATAAATAAATGTAATTTTGAACCATATGAATAACTGCATGCTATTGTACAAATTTACCATTAATTTATTTAATCACTAATGGTCAAATAAGTTATTTTCAACTTTTGGCTGTTATAAATAAACCCACAGTAAACATTGTTGTAAGGTAAATATTCAATTGTCCAATATTTTTAAGCTATGTTTCCATAACCGGAATTATGGTGTTTAAGAATATGCACATTTTTAAAGATCTTGATCTATGAAGCTAAATTAATGTTTATAAAGGTAAGACTGGTTTACATTCTCACCGTGATGAAGGAAGCCATTTCTCCAGTCCCTGGACAATGGTTTATAACAAATTAAAAAAAAAAAAAACAACTTTGTCAATCTGCTCAGTGAAAAGTGATGAACAACATAGTATTAATTTACTTTTCTATTGATTTTATCATGTACTTATTAGCCACTTGTGTTTCTCTTATTATGATTTGATCATCCACGTCTTCTACCACTTTTTACATTAAGGTATTTATCATTTTGTCAATGATATGGAAGACCTCTTTATGTGATAAATATGTGTAATTTTTACATTAATGTCATAAATGTAAATATTTTTCTTAATTTAGGTTATGCTTTTTAACTTACTAATTTTTTTTGTTTGTTTTGAGATGGAGTCTTGCTCTGCCATCCAGGCTGGTGTATAGTGGCGCCATCGCAGCTCACTGCAATCTCCTTCTCCGGGGTTCAAGTGATTCTCCTGCCTCAGCCTCCCTAGTAACTGGGACTACAGGCGCCCACCACCATGCTCGCTAATTTTTGTCTTTTTAGTAGAGACGGGGTATCTCCATGTTCGCCATGCTGTACTCAAACACCTGACTTCAAGTGATCCTCCTGCCTTGGTCTCTCAAAGTGCTGGGATTACAGGTGTGAGCCACCATGCCCAACTGAACTTTGTGTTTGTATTATGTATTACAGCATGGTATGTATTATGCAGTAAAAGCTATCATTTCTACCTAGTCAATTTATTAATCTTTCCTATTAATCTTTCCTGTGTCGTTCACACTTGCAAATGTCTTCCTCACTCCTAGATGATAGAAATATACAACTATTTAAGAAATTTTTTCACCACTAGCTATGAATATTTTAAATGTATAAAAAAACACAGAAAATAATGTGACACTGCTAAGATCAAACAGATATTCATATTTTGGTACACTTTCTTCCTTCTCTTTTTTTCCTCTCTCTTTTTATGTTCCAGATATGAAGATACAACTAAAGATTGGTCATTATTTTCTCCTCTCTTTCTCTCCAAAATTAATAATGATCATGGAGTTAGTAGGTGTTAACCATGTATGATTTTGGACATTTACGACATGTATAAGCAATTATAAACAATATATATTGCTACTCTGTATGTTTTAGACTTTTAAAAATGGCTTCATAATGTATGTAACCTTTTTGCAACTTGCTTTTTTTTTCAGAAATATGTGTTTTTGAGATTTGTTTGTTGTAATACACAGATTCCCAGTGCTTTTTTTTTTTTTACTGTATCCTTTTCTATTAAGTGAATAAACTTCCTTTTATTCATTCATTTTCTAAGGGACACTGTTTCAAAATGATGAAATGCATTGGGATGGGCAACCTCATACATTCCCTGTTTTGCACATATGTGAGAGTTTCTCTGAACAACACAGGGAATTTAGATATTTAATTTACCTATGGACTTACAGGGCAGTGGGCTATGTTCCCTCAGTGGCACTATGGGTTCCCAAAACACTCCCCAAAGCGATCGAACCCATTTATCATCCCACCAGCAATACCTGAGAGTTTTCATTTTCCCCATATTCTCACCAAAACTCGTATTGTCAAACATTAGTTTTACTAGTGGAATAGGTAATAAATTAAATCTTTTTGTTTTAATTTGTTTCCCTTGATTATATTTGAGATGCTCATGGGTTATATGGATTCTTTGCCTCTGTATACGGCCTATTCATATATTTTGACCATTTAGAAAAATGTAGTTTTTTTTTATAGCTCATTTCCAATGCCAACTAAACACATAATTTACCTAGAAATGGACCTAATAAAATATGTGCAAACTTGTATGGAGACGTAAACTTTACTGAACGATGTTAAAGAAGGGCTTAAACAGAAGGAAAGATGGATTTACCATGATTAGGAGGACTCATCATTAAGAGGCATATTCTCTCCAAATTACTTAAAAATCAAATGTGTTTCCAATCTATATTCCAAAGGGTGTTTTTGAGGAACTTTACAAGCTGGTTTTCAAAATTTTATGCATAAGAAAAGGCTCAAAAATAGAAAAGATATCTATGAAGAGAAAAAAAACCAAGATAGAGAGGAGTCCCCTCCTAGATGTCCACACTTACTAAAAGCTGCAGTAATGAAGATGGAACGGACCAGGGAGTGTAAAAATAGAACAGGAAGTGAACGGAGAGTCTCAGACGGACCCTCATGCACATGCCGGGGAGGCACTGTGCGTCTCCAGGGCGGTATGAGCTACTCGATAAATGAGGCTGAGAAAACTTTTTTCTTCACATAAAACTGTGGCCTTACTGCTCAACCATTCTTGACTATTGAATCCAAATTGATTAAAGACATAAATATGGTCCAGGTACAGTGGCTCACACCTGCAATCCCAGCACTTTGGGAGGCTAAGGTGGGCGTACCACTTAAGCCCAGGAATTCGAGACCAGCCTGAGCAACAGAGTGGGACCTCACCTCTACAAAAATTAGAAGAATTAGCTGGATATGGTGATGTACGCCTGTAGTCCCAGCTACTCGGGAGGCTTAGATGGGAGGATTGCTTGAGCCTGGGAAGTCAAGGCTGCAGTGAGCCATAATGGTGCCATTGCACTCCAGCCTTGGTGACAGAGTGAGGCTCTGTCTCAAGAAAAAATTTTATTAATTGTAAATCAAAGGTGAAAATTAAATCTTTTAGAAAAAATACAGGATATCTTTAGGGTATAGATAATTATTTAATGACTTGACAAATCAAATATTAGATAATAAATTTTTTAAAAGCCATTTTTCTTACTGATTTGAATTGCCTTCCTTATCACTTACTCAATTCCCACATAATCATGGGCCTATTTCTGGACTCTGTCTTTTCCTGCATAGAACCACATAAATTAATTACTCCAGTTTAATGATACAGTTTCAGTTCTTTTTTAAAAGATTTTCTTCATTATTCTTTCTCATTCATTTTTCTGATTTAACTTAAGGCTATAATTTTGACAAGCTATGAATTCCTGCATTCATTTTTATTGGCATTAAATTTAAATTTATATACAATTTTTGGAGAATTGGCATTGCTAATGTTATTGTTGAAAAAAAGAAAGCTATTGATTTTTGTCTATTTCAGTTCTCTTATTAGCTCTAATAGCTTTTCAATTACTTGTCTTAGATTTCCCTGAAAGACAAACAGATCATCTGTTATGCCTTTTTTCGAAATGTGTAGATGTTGTATTACCTTTTCTTGTTGTATTACACTGGCAAGAATTCCCAAAACAAAGTTAAATTATCTCAATGTTAGCAGGCGTCTCTCACTTCTGAATCTGGCTATAGGCTTGCAGAAGATATCTAGGAAGTTTCCTTTTTCTTTAGGTTACAACAAGCTTTTACAGGGATGCCTTTGATTATGTTTCCTTTTTTCTTTTTTCTTTTCCTTTTCTTTTCTTTCTTTTTCTTTCTTCCTTTTTTTTTTTTTTTTTTTTTTTTTTGAGACAAGGTCTTGCTCCATTGCCCAGGCTGGAAGTGTGTGGCATGATCACGGCTCACTGCAGCCTCAATCTTCTGGGCACAAGTGATCCTCCCACCTCAACCTCCCAAGTAGCTGGGACTACAGGCATGCACCACCACACCTGGCTAGTTCTTGTAAATTTTATAGAGGGAGGTTTTCACCATGTTGACCACACTGGTCTCGAAGTCCTGGGCTCAAGCGATCCTCCTACCTTAGCCTCCCAAAGTGCTGGGATTACACTTGTGAGCCACCGTGCCTGGCTATGTGGTTCTTAATGCTAAGTTGTCTTTTCACAGTGGAATGAGCCCTCCTTAATCATATTAAACATCATGTTTGATTGAAATAGCTTGTTTTATAGAAGTATTTTTGACTCTATATTAATTAGCCAAAGTTATCTGTGGTTTGTGTGTGACTACTAATCTTTTGATAAAATTCAAAACTTTACATGAAAATGATGTGTGCTCTTTACAGAAAAATATTTAAATACAGGAAATTATAAAGAAAACGTTTCCCAGAACCCCAATACCCAGAGGCAATCTCTGTGAATATTTTGGTGTATTTCTTCTTAGTCTTTCTGATAGTGGGGGCGGCAAGGGATATGCACATTTTCAAGTTGTTTATGAAACTCAAATCAGCATACAGTAGAGTTTAAATGGAGTGCTTGGAGTGAGAGGCTCTGGATTCAAATCCTCACATTACAGTTTACAAACTACGCCATATTTGTCAGCTTCCTTGATCTGTTCATGTCTCATTTTCTCAGTCAATACAATTGAGATAATAACTACCTCACACGGTTGTTCAGAGAATTAGAAAATGTAAATAAAGTTCTCGATGTGGTGACTGGCACAAGTCCTCTAAATAAGCATGAACTGTTACGATGCTGTACATAAACTTTTGTATGTTTCATATTACTTAATACTGTACCATAAACCTTTTTAATGTCATTCAAGCTAATAGTAAATACCACTTTTGACATTTCCCTACTACATGTGGATGTATGTATATAGCTTCATCTAATATTTGTGTATGAATTATTGCCTACATTTTAGAATTTTTCCCTCAGTTTAGGCTCTCAGAAGAAAAATTGCTTTGGTTCAATACCGTGGAACTGTTTCGGAGCTTCTGGTCTAGACAGCCAAATTGCTGTCCAGAAACGCTGTGACAGTGTTGGCTCCCAGCAGCCCCACATGAAGGTAGCGAGGTCCTCTAGCACCCAGGGGAGTCCCAGAGAGGGTCTGATTCCTTCCTTTGAGGAATCCATTATCCCCTGAACAAGAACTTTTGAGACAGATCTTGCAACATGCTGGAGGCCACAGCTGGCAGCTCCTGCTCCGTGGAGCCCATATTCTAGTTGATGCAGGGAGGAGAGCAGAGGGGAAGGCAGATGGCAGACTAGCAAAGTAAACGGCCACTGATTTCTAGGAGAGGTAAGTGCCACAAAGAAATTCAAACAGGATGACGGGACAGAATCATCGCACAGGCCCAGGGGTATTTAGATAAGAGAAAGACCTCTCCCAGAAAGTGCGACGTATGCTGGAGTCTTCAGTGGCAAGGAGAGGCTTTGCAAAGCACAGAGGGCAGAGCAGAGAGACGGCTCTAAAAGTGCACAGGCTTGGCAGATTCCCAGAGCAGAAAGAGGCTCCCTGCACTTGGAGCAGAGCAGCCAGGGATGGTGAGAGGAGGGCAGGGCCCAGAGACCAGCTGGGGAAGGGTTGGGATTTCTTTCCAAATGCCGTGTTGGACCATTGTATGGTTTTAAGGAGGAGCTGACTTACCTTTAAAGGGATCACTGCAGCTGTTGTGTGGAGGAGATTGTGGGGTGCGGGTGAAGCAGGACACTAGATGGGAGGCCACCGCAGGAGATCGGTGAGAGGTGGCCATGGCAGAGCTAGGGCATTGTTAGTGGAAATAGAGAAGTGGATGGAAATGCTGAGATGCCAGCAACAGCGTGACAGTGACCTTCAGAGGTGCAAGGGAGAGAGACACCCCTCAATCCTCCCAAAGATTAAAATCTTCTGCCCCCCACCAATCCACCTACAGTGGGGTGTCTGTGTTCAGAATCAGAACCCAGTATCTAGCGGGCATCTACAGGGAAGTTTTCTAAAAAAGTGAATGCATTGCAAAAACTCACACGAAAGTGCGTATTCACTCTGGGAAGCCTAAGCTCTAACAGGATGCACCGTCTAAAAAGCAATCCATCTGGTGCTTCGTCTCAGCTGGGGTCTGATTCTGAGAGTCCATGCTTTGTGGGGAAAGACCGCCAAGCCAAGGCCACTCTGTGCAGGCTGCTGGCACACCTGGGGCCCAGGAGAACTGGGCTCTCTACCTGACTCACTTATTCACCCACTGCGTACCCTGCACACTCTCTCGCCCCTCCCAGCCTCGGTTCCCTCTTCTGCAGAGTGAGCTCTGAGTGCTGGCATCTGGGGCAGGCCCTGACAGTGAGGTCAAAGCAAAGCCAGCTCACATCTTGCTCTGATGATGCCTCTAGAAGCCCCCTTCCCTCCCTCAGTGGGCACAGGGCTGGGGTGCCCTCAATGCTATGGGAAAATGCATTTCTCTGGCTTTCCAAGAAGTCAATTTCAGCTCTGAAAGGTGACCCTTGACTCAGGTTCAAGCTGTCGGGGCATAGACTTTCTCCCTGTGACAGGACCAAGAGCTTGGCCTGCAGCACCAGGGCTGCACCATGGGTGCTGCCTCAGGTGCGTTCAGCAGCCTGTAAGCCTCTGGCTTGGCTGGGAACGCAAGAGGGTCTTCGGGAGCTGAAGCCGTCCCCTGCCTTGTCAAGGTCTGGGTGGCTGTCTCCTGGCCCCCAACATGCTGTTTCCTCCCACACACCTGAGAAAAGCTCTCAAACATCACGGGGAAAGCAGATGAGGCCGGGGAGGAAGGCTTGAGCTGCTACAGCAAGGGCTCTGGGAACCTGAAAACATCTGGAACATCCAGGCGTGCTTGGCAGCTGGGAGGCTCAAGCCAAAAAGGGGCCAGGGAAAGTGGCTGGTAGAAGTCAGAGGACCAGCTGACAATGTCACCAAGTGCTGTGGCCACTTGGACTTCTAGTAAATGTCTCAGACTTAAAATGGCCAGAGGTGAGTTCCTGGTCAATTTCCATCGCTGTGAATGGCAGCTCCATCTTCTCTTCCTCATGCTCTTTCTCTCGTATTCTGCACATACAAATCCACATGCGACCCCGATTTCTGTTGGCTCTCCCGTCCACAGGCAGCCAGGAATGGACATCTCTCTGCCTTGGCCGAGAGCCGGGTCTAAGCCACCTTCATTCTTTCCAGGATACACACAGCAACTCCTCCCTGCTCTCCTCTTCCCTGTCCTCCCACCTGCCTATTCCCAAAGGCAGCCCACTGTGACCCTATAAAAATGTTAGGTCCCATCACATCGCTTCCCTACTCAGAACTCCCCAGTGTCACCCTCTCATTCAGAGTAAAATTCAAAGTCCTGTATGGAGTCTCCTCGACAAATTAAACATAGAATTACCATATGATCCAGCAATGCCAGTTCTGGGTGTGTATCCAGAATGACAGAAAGCAGGGACTTGAGCAGGTATTTGTACACTTGTGTCCACAGCAGTGTTGCTCAGTGGCTAAAATGTGGCAGCAGCCAGTGTCCATGGACAGATGGATGGATAAGCCCAGTGTGGGCTATATGTACAATGGAATCCAGTCTTACAAAGGAAGGAAATTCTGGCACATGCTACAACATGGGTGAGCCTTGAAGGCATTGTGCTAAGTGAAATTGGCCAGACACAAAAGGACAAACACTGTATGATTCCACCTAAATGAAGTCCCTAAAGTAGCCCAATTCATCGACACAGATGGTAGAGTAACAGGTGTCAGGGGCTGGGGGCTGGGTCGGGGAGTTAGTTTAACAGGGCTGCTCTAACAGATATCGTTCATGGAAAAATGGGAGAAGATAGAAAATGCATAAGACCTACTAGATTGTCTTTCTCTCAATAGATTATTAATAAATGTTCCTTGAGTAGGTCAGAAAGATCCTCTGGGAGAGACAGCAATAGGGCGGTGAACTTTCTTTGCACCGCAAGGGGGAAGGGCGGTCGTGAGACCCACCCACCAAGTGCAGGACTCGGGGTCTGTGAAGTCTCCACTGTGCGGTGTGGTCTAAGAGCATCCACGACAGTGTCTGTCGGGCTTTCTGTTCTTTGTTACTGTGGCTGTCAGTGAGAAAGACGTCAGGCTCTCGCACCCCCGTTCTACTTTCTGTTCTCTGAATGGGACTACTCCAGGGACTCATTTAAATGGAATTGCAGTGTTTCTCCTTTGTGTCTGACTCTCTCCTCTTAGCGTCATGTCTTCGTGGTTCATCCATGTAGCAGTATGTGAAGGAATTTCCTTCCTTTCAAAGGCTGAGTGGTATTCCATGGAATGTACAGGCCACGATCTGCTTATCAGTTCATCTGGGCATGAACTTTTGTTCCATCTACAGTGCCTGACATCCCAGGCACGCGAGTGCACACCCATCCCCACACCAGGATACAAAAGCCTCCCAAAGCCTTTCCTACAGGCAATGCCCCTGGGTATTCTCTATTCTATATGATTTTGTTTTTAAAATGCCAGCAGGAGCCCACTTGATTTCATGAACAACTAAAGCAATTCCCTGTTTGATTTCCTGTTTGAAGCCACTGTTCTGAAGAACACAGACTGCAGGAAGCTGTTCTGGGCCATCCCCGCATGCAGCGCAGCACATATGACATGAGGCACTACAGTGGCGGGGAAAATTGCATTTTAAGCACTGATACAATATTAGAAAAGACAAAACTTTGAAAATTAAGGAGGTAAGTGACTGGCCTCTAAAGACAGAAAAATAATGCAGTTAAAGAAAATGGAAGGAAGGGGGAAATAGAGGCAGGCATCCAGATGAGGGCTGCAGCAAAGGAAGAAGCCAAAGACAGTAAAAGAATGCCCCAGAGAGACGCAAGCAATTAAAGGGGAGCAGGGAGGACCCCTGTGCGCCGGCTGCTTACTTCGTCCCAGACACTCCCCCAGGCCCTGAGGACTCAGGTGGAGCCACTGACATGGCTGACCCCTGGCACTACCTCTCAGCTCCTGGTCATCCTCAAAGCATCCCAGGAGGCCGGCTTCCAGACCTCCACTCTACAGGTAAAGAAATGAAGACTGACGGAGGTCAAGCTTGCTCGAGGTCCCTCAGCCGGGAGTGGCACAGGGAGGATGTAAGCCCAGACCGCCTGTACTTCCAGGACCCATCTTCCTTCTCTGCTGTGGCCACCTCCACCCAGCCCAGGGGACAGCACACCCCACTCGAGAGCTTCCATCTCCTGGCACCAACCAGCAAAACAGGGCAAAACCCTGAAAGTTCTTGGTGCATTGCAACTGGGCGTTTGCAGTGACTGCTGGCCTGTGTGGAGAGACTAGGGGAAGAATCTCAGAGCAGCAGCTTGTTGGGGAATGTGGAGGGGAGGACTCCAGAAGAGGTGAAAGTCATGTGCGTGCCTCAACCCTGGAGTGGGAGCTCCCCAGGAAGGGGAGGGGCCTGAGGTCAGTGACTCCTAGATTTGAGCAGGTATTGCTGACTGGTGGGTTGGATCAGAAATGATCTGGGACTGTAATAGCTTCTTGGGCTCCTGCATATGATACAGAAAGTATGAAACAGGGCCAGGAATCTGTATTTTTTACCTCTCACCCCCATTCTGATGCTCAGCCAGGGCTGGAATGGAGCCCTCCTAAGCCTGTAGTTGCCCTGCTGCATAGGTATATCCACCAGCAACTTGCCAGGATGGGTCCAGAAAGCAGGCTCACGGGCTACTCGAGCCCAGAGGTGGGGGCAGTGCAATTACAGGGGCTGGGTGGATGGAGAAGGCCCACAGTGGCAGCTTCGGCTGGGAGCAGCATCTCTGCACTGTGTCACTTGTACCCCAGCCTCTCTCCCAGCTGTTCCCCTCACTGCTCAGAGCTCAGCGTGCAAGAAGGGTCCTCCACTGTGCTCTTACAAGGCTTCTGAGACCTGGGATGGCCTGCTGGGCCTCAGATCCCTCGGGGAGGCCATTGCGGGGCTCTTGCCTGTAGCCCGCAAACACCCTTGTTTAGCGTCCTTCTGCCTTTAGGATGGGACTAAGACAGCATTGCCTCTCTCTCGCAAAGGACAAGTGGGTTTTCTCACATTTGCTGGAACAGTGGACAGGAGTACCCTGTGGACAGATCAAGGCTCTATTTGCTGAGTCCTGTCTTTCAGCTGAATTGGAGCAACCGTTAGACTCAGTGACAGGTAGCACATGGTCAAGGTGACCAGGGACAGAGACCTTGCCCAGACCCTGTTCACTTGAAATAACAAGGATTTTCCTCCACTCATTTCCTGGGATACCAAAACAGAATGGTTCCTTGTGCCAGAAGGGAAGGTCCGATCCCCTTGGCAGATCCTGTGTCATTACGAGTTTTATTGGGTTCAATGTCATAAAACACCACAGCCATGGAGACCTATAAAATGCCCCAAACATTTCCCTTGCAAAAGTCAGACCAAGGAGTTGAATTATTTCCAAGGTGCAGGCTTCTCCGAGTGATGGGAGACTCTGAATCCACCTGGGTCGGGCCCAGCTGCTCCATTACCCCAAGCCCCCTTCACACAGGGTTCTCATGCAGTGCGCGGCGGTGGTGTGGACTGCCCGCCAACCACACTTAAATCACATGGAATTCAATAAACGTCCACAACCTGTTCTGAGCACCACTCTATAACTCTGGCTAACTATTTAGAAGGCACTTTGGGAATGCAATGCCTCAAAGGCCTCCCTGGATCACTTGGTATGAATTTTGCAGCCCAAGGTGCAATCTTGTACGAGTCACTTCATCTCATTGCTTCTGTCTCTGTGCAGCGAGGGCTGTGGGTGGATGATCTCTGAGTTGCCTCCAGCCCTAACATTCAGGGGCTATGATTGCATCGCAGATTTAGGGGATGCTGAGGGACAGACAGCCTGGGCTCTGCTCACAGCTGCAGAGAAAAAGTGTGCAGCCTGGAGATGGTCCAGCCCTGGCACTCTCATGCCCTAAAGGAGCCTGGGGGTAACACAGGGCTCCATCAGGAATGATGCTCTGGTTTCTCTTCGCCTCTCCACTCCCTCTCAGTCTCCACTATGGTCCACGAATCACCAAGGTCTTCATTGCTGCCAGCATCAGCCTTGTACCCCTGCTTTTCCATCTCCCCCTTCCTACCATCCACTCCCACTTCAAGACACAGAGGTCCTAGTTCATGAGCCAACTGCGTGTGGTGCATTGAGGACAAGCCCTGGGACCCAGCATGCTCTGTAAGGCTCAAGGCCAGAGACCAATCTAGGCCGTGGGCATGGACAGTAGGGATCTCGTAGGAGGATAAAACAAGAAAAGTAAATATTTTATCAAGGACAAAAAAGAACTTCAAGAGACTCTTGCTTCAGACTTCCATGAATAAATAATTCTTTTAGAAAGGCAATCATGTTATGTGGCCCGTAAGACCTTAAAATTGAATAATCTGACCAGCCGCGGTGGCTCACGCCTATAATCCCAGCAGTCTGGGAGGCCGAAGCGGGCAGATCACTTGAGGTCAGGAGTTTGAGTCCAGCCTGGCCAACACAGTGAAACCCCATCTCTACTAAAAATACAATAATTAGCTGGGCATGGTGGTGGGTGGCGCCTGTAGTCCCAGCTACTCAAGAGGCTGAGACAGCAGAATCACTTGAACCCAGGAGGGGGAGGTTGCGGTGAGCCGAGATTGTGCCACTGCACTCCAGCCTGGGTGACAGAGCAAGACTCTGTCTCAAACAAACAAACAAACAAACAAAACCAGAAGCCTGTGTAATTTGCAGTAAAATTTTAAAATCTCTCTGAGCCTCAATGGCTTTATCTATAAAGTAGAGGGTGGAAATATGTTTTCTGCCTGCCTTAAAGGATCAAATTGATAATACTAAAATAATTTGTAAAACATGAAGTCCCATGTAAAAATCTCTGTTGAGACCAAATTGAACCTAAATGATTAGAACTGTTGGGCTTTCAGACTATCCACATCTGTGTCAGATGGCTGACATGTCGTCAGAGTGATTTCAGGGTGGGGTTTAGGATGAGGAATTTTACGTGCTTATAATGATATTGGCTAGACCTTGTTAAGAGATCATAACAAGTTCTGGAAAAGAGCTAAACAAACAACACAGTTTTCTGTGGTGTCCTCCACGGGTCTGCTTGAAGAACTAGTCTTCGTTCACGAGGTCATCCACACATCACCAACTCTGTACCCATTAAGTCATCCCTTCTTCTGATCCCACAGCGCTTCTTACAGACCAGTAGCATAGAACTTGCGTGTCTGCCTTCTAAACCAGACTCCTCCTGAGCTCTTCAAGGAAAAGCCATTTTGTTTGTTTGGTTGTTTATCTTTGTATTTTCAGGCCCCATCTTACCACTTGATACATTGTAGACATGCAGTAAATCTTTCTCTTCTTTGAACGAATAAATTAAATAATCAAACAATCACAGAAAACCCAAACGTAAGAAAATGCTTACTTTTCCACCTCCCGACAGCATCCACTGCCAGAAAGAGTAAATAGTTTCATTTACCAAGACAATGGTGGAAAGATGTCATTCATACTCCCAACCAGTGTTATCCTAAATATTGATTATGGATCATTAGCCAATACTTTGGGGTCAAGAGGGCACATTGATCTCATGTTGAATGTTGCACTACATCTAAGACGCCCAAAATGAAAATATAATTTTCTGCTTTTTGTTGCATGACTGTTTGCCGTATTTCAGGAAGTCCATCCCCTTTAAAGACTGCCAGTTTTCAACAATAATAAGTGGGAAACCTAGCAGAGATTCCCAGAGGAAGAAAGGAGAAGAGAAATTGAATTACACCCCATGTTCTTTGCTCCAGGTATACACACTTGCGTTTAAGGAAATTTAAGACAGAATTTCTAAGAGAGAAAGCAAATCAAACTTTTTTAGGAAGTCAAACCCGCTGACTGGTGCCAGAGTTTGTTGTTAACAGAAACTGATTTTTTTTTTTAATACTTTAAGTTTTAGGGTACATGTGCACAACATACAGGTTTGTTACATATGTATACATGTGCCATGTTGGTGTGCTGCACCCATTAACTGGTCATTTAGCATTAGGTATATCTCCTAATGCTATCCCTCCCCGCTCTCCCCACCCCACAACAGGCCCCGGTGTGTGATGTTCCCCTTCCTGTGTCCATGTGTTCTCATTGCTGTGTGAAGACAAAAGGCCGAGCTGTATTCAGGAATTCAATGAGCTGAAGTCTCCCACTCCGTTGGGTGGAACTTTTGGGTTTGGTCTCTTGAATTTCAAGGTTTCTTTGGCTCCTTCAGCCTCAAATAGTAACATTTCAGTTTGGTAAATACAGCTCACCTCCTATGGTGAGTGTTTGTAGCAGGAAAGAACAATTAACTAACCACAAATATTTGTGTGTCAGTCTGACTCCCTGGTGAGAAATGCAAAGCTTACGGGGATCCATGTGTTTTAAAATGCCAAAGCATTTCCTTTAGTTAAGAACCACGGACGGCCATAATCAAGGCAGAATCTCGTACTTTAACACATTAGCAATTAGCTTTGGTTAAAAAAGTAGAAATAGAAGCAACTGCCTTAACAAAGAGGCACTTTATTTATGTATTTATTTATTTATTTATTTATTTATTTATTTATTTATTTGAGATGGAGTCTCTGTCATCCTGGCTGGAGTACAGTGGCGCTATCCCGGGGATAATATATTCCCCATCCCATTACTGGACCTCTGTATGTAGGCAAAGATCTTTCGATTTCTTTCATTTCAATCTCGGATTCCCAGAAAGGGGGAAAGAGACAGAGAGAGAAAGCTGGGTTTTTTAAAAAACATTTTTGGGGCCACAGCCCCCGTTGAGAACCTGATGGAACTACAGACACTATCCCTATAAAATACACTTATCACAAACATGCCAAATTTTGTGCTCAGCTTCAGGACCTCTCCCCCGACAAAGCCCCACAATCATTCATGGACTTCTGATTAGAAACCCTGGTTTAGATGATGGGACAAATGTACCCAAAGCCTTGGGGTTTGTTTCCTTATGAGTCATTTCATTTCACAGAGAGGAAAGTCTGCTCTCTGGCCAAAGACCACACCAGTAACCCTGGCCAGCAAATATGGCCGTCAAGGAGCTGGAGAAAAGAGATGAAAAACTCAAGTCACTATCACACTGACTTTAAACGCAATTTAAAGCTTACCCCAAGCCAGCCCCCAAATGAATGTTTCATCTCCCCATATCATCGTAATTCCTTGAAGGGATTAGGAAAGAACACTCTCCAGCTCCACGATGTAATTCAGAATGACTTTGCAAGCTGCATTTATTTTTTCAATCATCACCTGCTATGGTGATACAAAAATATGGAAGCAAACGAAACACCTGATTGAAATGGTGATAGAGTTCACACAGTGAAATATTATGCAGGCCCAAAAATGATCATTTTGAGTCCTCAAAAGTGATCAAAAGTAGCAGTGGGAAAGATGCTTATGTTATAATAAAAAGAAAGAAAAAGAAAAGAGAAGAATCTAAGGTGCTATGTCTTTATGATTCCAGCAATGAAAACTGCGCATCAGATAAATCAAAATGGGTAGCTCTTAGGTAAAAGTGTTAGGTTGCCAGTGTTATTGATGGTTTATATCTATTTTCAAAATTTTCTAGGGTATTATATAATGTTTACAGTTTAAAAGTCAGGAGAAAATGACACATCTGTACAAAATCAGCCTGTTCTTCCAAGTGGCTGTGGCCAGACTGCCCCTCTAAGTGGTCCAGCTCTTTCTGTGGCTTCTCTGGTGATTAGGCTGAAAAGGCAGCCGGGTCGCCACAGACCCGGCAGAGCACCCCCAGGCTTAGACAACCACAGAACCCGAGCTGGGAGACTGGAAACACTGGCAAGGGCACAGTCACATCCCAGCGCCCACCCTGCTTCCTATCAGCCCCCGTGCAGTTCAAGTCTGCCGCACAGAGACTGGCTCATGGAAGCTGGTGAGGCATTTCCATGTCTAAATCCACGTGGGCCTCTGATTTTTGGATTCACGTCATCCATGAATTGGCTGTGAGTCAGATATCAATGACCTGTCCAGGGCAACAGCCCTGTGGATGGTGGATGGTAAAGTCCCTGGGCTGCCAAGCCCCAGGCCTGGCTGGCTTCTTGCTGGCATCAGCTGATGCTGGAAACCGAGCTGGGGTCCCGATGACATCCCTTCGGGTGCTGTGAGGTTAGCTGCTCCCACAGCAGCCACCGAGAGAGAGGATTGCCAACTTTTCATGCGGTGTAACCTAAAGGAGGGGTAGCAGCTTCAACAGTTAGGCAGCCACTGTGACCTGGTTAAGGGTTATGGTCAGCACCTGAGTCATTGTTGTGATGCCTCCTAAGTAATAGCAGTGCCAGCTGCATGCAGCTCATGGCCTGCTTGCTCCCCACAGGCTGGGCTGCTAACGACCTCCCTTGCCTGCAGCTGGGGGGAATTGATGAGTAGGAGGCACAAAAGGCGCCCAGCATTTCCTTCCCAAAGCTCTCAGTGGATGGGCAGGCACCTCCCTCGAGCCCTGAGAAAACCCCTCCACCACGGCTCCTCTGGCCTCTGCAAATGTCAGTTGCTCCCTTGTCTGATGGCCCCAAAGGGCAGGACCGGCCCCCATCACAGTTGCGTTTGGGTCAGAAGGAGAGATGGGTGCACACAGCTGACACTACAGTGGCTGTCTTATTTCTGCCGCCCGAGGCCCAGCACAGTGTCTGGCTTTCTGCACATCCCCGTAAGTAATGATTGACTAGTGACAGTTCCAATTCCAGGAGACCCGAAGGCAGAGGGAATGCGGGAGAGGACTGACATGAAGTACCTTCTGGTATAGGGTGGTCAGAAGTGGAAAGCAAGGAAGAAGTGAAAAGCCACGGGTGGGGGCTGGAGCTACTGCGTGGACAGGAATGTGGCTCACCAAGAGGGGGCCAAGGAAGGTCCCACACATGATGGCTTCGCCATGGGGCCATGTCTTCAGGCAAACTTGTGCCAGAGCCCCCTAGCGGAGGAAAGCTGTTCTGGATCCCAGGTTTTCTGAGGCCTACAGTCACCTAGCACGCGCCCCATGTGAGCACAGCTTGAGCTCACCCGTTCTTGGCTCTTGATCTACCCCCAGTAGCTGTGCATGTGTCTGCAAGCCACGGGTGATTTCCCAGCATGTGCTTAGCCTTCGCGCCGTGACACGCTTCTCTTGCCTTACAGTAGTGGCAGAGGCGGTGGTTAATGAAGACAGATGGAGGGTTCAGAGCACTGGCTTTGGGGTCAAACAGTCCTGAGCCTGCACTTTGGCTCTAGTCCTTCCCAGCCCTGGGCCAGTGGGCAGGTTCCTGATGACATCACGGGGCTGTTGTGAGGACCACATGACTTTAGGTTTGAGAAGCACCCAAGGCCTGGTGATGACCCCCTACTTGACCAGTGTGCCTGATGTGCCACACAGAGCCACCAAAGGGTGCACTGGAAGGCCGTTGACTCTACCCCCGATTAGCAGTGCTGGGCCCTGAACCCCAGAGAGAGGAAGTCACCCAGCCAGACAGCAAGGCCAGTGCTCACGTGTAGAAATGCTGGCTCGGGGAGAAAACTAGCTTGCCATGGGGTGACTGTCTTTAGCAATCTCTTCCCTGCTCTCCTGGCCTCAGGTTCCCCCTCCAGTCCTAATCCAGGTCACCATCCTGCCTCACTGTCATCTGCACCCTAGGCCTGGCTGATCTTTGGCACCCACTGAGCTGTATGTTGACATGGACCCAGTAACCCCCAAACCCCCAAGCTGGTCCATTGGGACTTTCTGATTCGCCTCTTCTAAATTCCAAGTGCTTGGCCACTCCTTACCTGGACCTTTTATCTCCACTGGGTCCACTAAGCTCCTGTCTCTTCAAAGTTCTTTTAAAGCGTGACTTGCCTTCTTTTAAAAGCTCCCAAAAGCCCTCAGGGTGGGTGGTGTCTTCCCCTGCAGTTGGGGTGGTCATCCCTGCCTTTCTTGAGGGCCATGACAGGCCCGTCCCCTGGGAGGATCCATTAGTGACATCTACATGGTGGTCCAGGCCAGGGCCACTGCAAATCCAGGACCACTCCCAGGGGCAGGGTTTGCCAAGGTGGGAAGGTAGGACATTCTGCCTTATTCTTTTACAATCCTAGTCCATCGTCCTTCCAATTCTAACTAGTTGTCAAGCTGTCCTTCCTCCCTAGCCCGCTTCAGTTTCCTTCCCCACTTCACTCTTCCTCTGCCAAGGGTGTTGTTACTTGGCTCCTGGCCTTGTAAAATCACAGTGTACATTTATACTGCATGTTGGAAAAAACATCAATGTCACAAGCTCAGTGATGCTTACACACTGCTCTGTCAGCAGATGGGACAGGCTACCTGCCTTTCTGAGATTGTTCTTCCTCCTATTTGTTATTTTCCCTACCCGCACCTGAACCATTCACGATGGTTCTGCACCCATTGTCACAGGAAAGCAGAAAGAGAGACAAAAGAACTTTCCTGCTTTCAGCCCGTGATGCAGATCTTTCAGCCCGTGACTGAGAGATCTTGTTGAGTCAGTTTGGGCAACCGCGTCTCAAGTGGCCTCCCTGAGAGTCCCACCTGGGGGGCCCCAGAGTGGGAGGATGCATCCCTCAACCTGGGATGTGGCCTGGAATCTCTGAGAGGGGGCTTGGCCAGGGTCAGAGGCTGACATGACATTCTAGCAGCCCCCTGCATGGACTGATGACAAAGACCAAATAGGCCACCCCAGAATTCCTGAGACTCATGAGGCTCCCAGAACTTAGACCCCACCCTGGAGAAAGGTATGAAGACCCTGAATTGAGAGGTCAGTTTCCTCTCCCCAACAGAGATGTAGCTATTACCAGATAGCTTTTCTGTTTTTGCACACCAAGCTGTGGACTGAGATTCACACTCAACATACGTAAATCCAGTCTGTCAGTCATTCACCTGAGCCCACCCACACCCCTCCAGAGGCCAGGAACGCCCTCATAAGAAGCCTAACCTGCCCTTCCACCTTCCATGAAACTAGTGCCATGGCCAACAGTTACAAGGATTCAGCACATTCTGTTGTTTTCTTTTTTTCTAAAAAATGATAAATGAGCCAACTACATCTTTCTGAGTGTCTTCAGGCTGTGACCTTGGGAAGGCAAAAAGCCCTGGCATTGTCCTCCCCTAGGTCTGCAAATAGGACATAAAACAGCTTCAAGCACATTCAAGGTCACCTTAAAGACACCCCACGATGTGGCAAAGAGACAGCTCCAGAGCCAGGCTGGTAACCTTCTGCGTGACCTCAGGAAAAGCACTCAGCTCTCCAGGTGTGCGGTGGGGAACCAGGATGAAGAGCCACGTGCACCTGGCACCTGGCCCAAAACCTGTTCTACCATCTGCCTCCCTGTTGGGCCCACTGTGGGAAGAGATTTGTCATGCCTGGCGGGGACAGGAGCAGGGCGAGAGGAAGATGGGGAGAGGTCTTATCGGAGGCAGGGACATTAGGACTGGACCTCCAAGGATACATAGAAGCTCTCTGAAGGAGATGGGCATTTCAGGCAGGGAGTGGAGTTGGCAAAAGCTCTGAAGTGTCATGTGTGCCAGGGAGTCCTCAGGGACAGGACAGATGGGCCCAGCGTGCTTGGAGAAGAAAGGAGACCCAGACTGTCCACTCCCTGGAGGCCTCAATGGGAGACTTGGCCCTTGTTCTCAAACACAGAGGAGTTTATGGTGGCTTTACCCTGTGCGGTGATAGGGCCACATTTGAGTTTTAGAAAGACCTTGGCAGCCACACATGGGATGAATTGGAGCATCAGATTCTGAAGACAGAGAAATGAGCTCCAAGGATGCGGAACTGCCCAGTCTAGAAGGGGGAGGGCCTGAACGAAAGCAATGGAGCTTGGGAGCAAATTGGAGAAAGGAGAGAACAAGTGTTATTACAACTTTGCCCTCACTCAGGGACACCGGCCAGAGGCTACAGTTGGCCCTGCATTGAGTTATGAGTGTCCAGGTCACCCTCTGGCTTGGCAGGTCACCATGCTGTGCTCAGGGACAAGGGGTGGAGGGAGCGGGTGCTGTCTCCCTTCTCCAGGCCCATTCCAAGTAGAAAACAGAGATCTCTTGCTATTTGACAACAGAAAACTTTGTACAGTAGAAAGAATAGAAAGAACTTTGTGAAGGATGATACTCAAGTGACTAGATTTCTACAAAATAGATGAGGTTTAGGAAACTTTATGGCACAGAATTTATTTGTTCAGTTTTGCTGCAATAGTATTTGTCATGGTAGGTGGTTTTGCTGTTGTTTTTGATAAGCATGTAGATGTACCTGTATGTGTGCCTGTGTATCTTTGTGTGTTCCTCTGTGTCTAGGTATTTCTACATGTCTGTGCATGTGTGTATATGTGTGGGTGTCTGTGTGTTTCTGTGTGTATTCTTATGTGTATGTGTCTGTATCTATGTGTCTGTGTGCATGTATGTGTCTGTACGTGTCTCTGTGCATGTGTGTTTGTGTGTACATATGCTCTGTATCCATTACCCCCTTGCCTGAAACATGGCCACAGAGATGTCCTCATTTTGGTGTTTCTTGTCGTAAAATCCTTGAAACAAAGTCCACATGGGCCACTTAGGCCAAACACCACATGCTGGAGAGCACCAGGGTGCCCAACACTAAATATGCAATCACCCTTATCAGGCCTCATCTCAAGGGTGGGGACAGGGGGCACACTCCTCAGTCGCTTAGACCGTCCTCAAACAGCAAGTCACCATATTGGAGACAGTTTTTGAGCACATGCTCCATGTAGCCTGAGCTAGTAGCCCCTCCCGCCTGCAATTAACTAAAAGTATTTAGCTACGAAGACTGATAAAAGATCTTAAACGCACGTCCCTGTGATGGCATTACACACGGATAACCAGCTTCTGAAGGCGCCTACTTCTCCCCCTTCTGAAGGGCCTACTTCTTCTTCTGTGGCCCTTTCCTTGGCCACAAAGGGGTGTGGCTTTTGTGCAGGTGAATGGGATCTTTTCTTTTTTTTTTCTTTTCTTTTCTTTTCTTTTCTTTTCTTTCTTCCTTCCTTCCTTCCTTCCTCCCTTCCTTTCTTTATTTTGAGATGGAATCTCGCTCTGTTGCTCAAGCTGGAGTGCAATGGTGCGATCTCAGCTC